>NC_000014.9:61126864-61429894 GCF_000001405.40 Homo sapiens
CATTGCAATTGCACTGTGCACAAGTAAACAGCTGGGCCTGTGACATTGCACAGATGGACTGGATCTGGGCAATTCATAGATATCACCATATGCATTTACTTTATAGTACATATTTTCTGGGCAATCTATCCCCCAGTGTTCTATAAAGTAATAAGAATAAGGTTTCAGAGAAAGGGAGAGAGAGAAAAGTCACTGGACAATGGGGAAATTAAGAAGCAAATGAGAAAGGATATGTTTTCAGATGAGATTATTAAAAAGATGATGAGTTGATGAGGTGGCCAGACGAAGAGAAGATAATCCAGATGGCTATTGCTCCCAAAGAGAAGGCTCTGTGTTGTAATCAGAGCAGAGAAAAAGGGTGAAGGAGACCTACTGGCTTTCATGAAAGAGACAAAGGGGAGCCCCTGCAGGGGAGTCTGGGTGAGGACCACAGGCTTGAAAGCAAAGCAGACCCTTCCTTTGTCTTTATTGGAATCCTATGAAAGGCAAGTCCTGAATGCCTTTACGCCTTTCTCTCCATCCTTTTCTCATTATCTGCTCCTCTGAATTACATCTTGCCAGCTCCAAACCCTTCCCCAGGTAGCTCCCATCTCTCCCACCCGCTAAGGTATCCTGGAGTCACCTCTGCCTCCATCAGTGCCTTTGGGGATGCAGCAAGTGGAACTGAATCCACATACTCCGGTTATCCCTGACTGTAGAGTTCATACAGAAGCTATCTGTATGCCTCCTCATTACGTAAAATTTAGAGTCAATTCAAAGGAGGGTAACAGGACAATGAGGGGTCTGGAAATGGAGTCAGATCAGCTTAGGTAAGGTAGGGGGCTGATACTATAATTAGTCTGGAAAAGAGAAGATTTCAGATAACCCTGCAGGTTGTCTCCAGGTCTGTCCCTCATATTTGTGGGAGATAAATGGAGACCTCTTATCTTCCAAACCCCTACTCTGTCCCACTGCAAGAGGAGTTGCACACATGTACATATGTGGACAACCCAGGCTGCACATCCAAGCTGCATTTCCACACCCCACCAGAAAACTGCCACTTGGCCACTGCTGGAAGCTGGGGAGTTCACATCAGAAATGTGGGCCATCTTTCAGAGGACACACCCGGGAAGAAGCTACAGGCTGGGGTCATTGGACTGGGCACCCCCAGGCTTGTTACCTGGAGCAAGTTCTAGAAGAAGGCCTTGCTGGATCGAGGTGGGCCCGTCTCCATGGTCCCACTAACTTGTCTTGCTCATGGAAAGTGGTATGACCCAGGAAGGGCTAGAATGGAGCCCCCAAAATGTGGGGCCTATGGAAGAGACCCCTTGCCAGGATCTAAGTCTGCTGCTGAGTATGACCAACTCAAGCTGTCCAAACTGGATGCCAAATCTGCTCCTTCCTCTACATTCTGCCTCATGAAAGTTTTCACTGTCTCCTGCAGGAGAACCCTGACAGCCTGGCCTTAACCCCTCACTTCTCCTCTTTCTCCATCTCCAATGCAGCATTCAGTCCTGCTGACTCCAACTCCTTCAGGCCTCTAGAATCTTCCCTCTTTCCCAGCCCCTGGCTACGCCCAGTGACAGTTCTCACTTGTGCCAGGACTAATTGCCTGGCCTCCTGAGTTGAACTCTTCTCCTCCAGTCTCCACACTGCCAGTCCAGCAATCTCTCCCTGAGGTAAATATGACCTTACCACCCCCTTTCCTACCTAAAGCTCTTCAGCGGTGCTCCCTATGCCAGTGGGATCAAGCCCAAGCTCCTGAGCCCAGCACACAAATCCCTCCGTAGCCTGACTGCTGCCCCTGGCCTCTGACTCTCAAACCTTGTCAAATATTCTTACAGTTAATGCAACAAACATACCATTTCCTGTTTCTTTGCTCACACTGCTCCCTCTCCCTGAAGGGCCTTTTCTCTCCTGCCTGCTTGGTTGATGTGAACTCACTTTCTCCTGCATGGAAACCTTTCCAATATCCCCTACTCTTCCTTTCCTCCCCAGGTAAAATTGATTATCTGTAAGCTGAACTGAAGTCTACATCATAGCAAATAAAATAAAATATTTTCTACGATTTAATTGTTCACAAATCTGTTTGGTTTTTTGTTTTTTTTTTTTTCCACCAGACCATAGTCTCTCTAAGGTAGGGGCCACATTGTTCTTGGCAACCCTGTGCCTGACACCGAAACACGTGGTGAACTGAAATGGAAAGTGTGTATCTGATCAATGCTGGTTGCCACACATCTAATCCTATGTTGATGAGCACATGTCATTTTTTGTTCTTAGCAGCTATTATATATGGTAACACTTTCTAAACAATGGACAGAAACTGATCACAAGTTCCAGGCAGGCATGCAAGACAGGGGGAGTCCATAAAAGGTGCTCAGCCTTGCTGAGAACCCCTGGTATCACCAGCAGCTGGAAAAGCACCCAGAGTCTGCAGCAGTTCCAAGCCTGTGGACTTTGTGTCTCAGGTACCAGGGTTATCTCAGGATGAAAGTCAGGCCAGTTCCTCCAGCCACTTGGCTCTGCATCCCCTTCTCCTACAGGAGGGGCCAGCAGGGACTTCTGGTTTACCTTTGGAAGGGAGGGAGAGGGGATAGGCCAGGCAGGTATGAAACCTACTCAGGTATTCAGGGCCCAATAGGCAGCTTGTCTACTTGTGACTCATCGAATGGGCAAGGATGCACACAGGATGCGACGCAGCCCTGCCCTGGAAGGGCTCATACTCAGTGTGGAGGCCAGGGCAGTAAACCAATGAGGTGAATATGAAAGACCTGCCAAGGGAGAGGCAAATGCCAAAGGATGAGTGCACCCGGGCAGAGACTTCTACCCACCTCCTTCCCAAGACCATGTGCTCCCCTCCCCTCACACAGGGGTCCCTGTCCCCCTTGTTCCCTGATCTTCTGTCTGCACAAACTTCCCGCTCTGTCTGGACCGCTCCTCCCACTGTACCACGCACAGCCTGTTCCTTTCCATCTTCAGTGTCCGCTGAAATGTCCTTTCCTCAGAGGCTTCTTCTGTCACCCCCTTTATAGCAGCTTCTGTACTTTAAACTGCATTATTTGCTCTCAGCTTCTTGTTTATTTCCTTGAAAACATGAATTGAAGGAACCATCTTATTTATTATGTGTATTGTGTCTCTAATCCACTGGCTCCATGAGGGCAGAGGTTGCATCCATGTTGTGTTCTCCTGTGTTGACAGCATCTGGGACATAGTAGAGGCTTAATAATTGTTTACTAAACAAATGAAGGAAAGAAGTGCTCTTGTTGGTTCTCTGGTAGGTGGTGATGAGAGATGTCATGGGAGGTCCAGAAGTCAGGACATTCAAAGAGGGCCTAGTAGCATTGTCAAGCGTTTGCCAGATGGAAGAGGCATTGCAGGTGTGTGAGCAGGGATGTGATTCTGAGGGTGATGAAGGGTGGTGGTGGGGATACATGTAGCCCACCTGGGGAGGTAAAAGGGGGCAGCTATTGTCCCTTTTTGGGGGGATGGCCCCTCTCCTTGATGGTTGGGACAATGAGGTAAACTATTAAAGGTCCATGTGGACACATCTACCCCTGGGGCATGCCCATCCAGGCTAAACAAAATCAGCACAAGCTGAACAATTAGGACTCAGAGAGCTACCTGAGGGATCTAACAAGGACAGCAAGGACACTCAAGTGACCTCAGATGATTCTGAAACCTGGGAAAAAGACTCCACAAGCCCAGGCCATCTGATCATGAGATGCATCTCCTGACTGCCTCTGGCTGTTCACAAAGAGCTGGCCAAGGACATTCCGGCTATGCCAGGCCACCGGGCCAAGTTCCCAGGGACAGCAATCCACCGCCTCTCTCCCCCCATCACACCCAAGGGAAGCACACAAAGTAGGCCTGGGTCCATGGCCTGGCAGACACCTGTCCCCGGCTTTCTGGGACAGTGCACTGCATCAGCTGCCAGCAAAACAACCAGCCCCTTTTCAATGGGCCAGTGGGCAGGGCTGCCATTGGCGGAGCCCTGGTGATTTACGACACCCCGGCTCAGTGCACCATCAGGGAGCTTCCAGGTAGAATCTCCAACTTCACCAGGCAAGGGCTCTCCCTTCCAGTGATTTATGGAGCCAGAGTGAGCCAGTTGTTTTTTTTCCCTTTCCCTCCTCCCTCCTCCTCCAGGACAAATAGGTTTCACATCGCTGTGGGCACTCTGGTCTGCAATGACAAGACAAAGAGGTTCCACTTGTCCCTCTGCCCCCTGCACCTGCTGTCAGGGGATGATGGTTATTGGTCAGCAGCCACATCCATTTCACTGGCACTTTTAGCTCTTTATGTGGTGCCGGCCACAGCATCAGCCACAGGGCTCTCTCGATGGCTTTGCTGGTTGCTCAGATATATTGCCTATCTAGAATAGACCTGCCTCCAAACTACAAGGTCAAACTTTCCTCTCCTGACCTAAATTCCTTCCTTCTTTCCTTCCTTCCTTCCTTCCTTCCTTCCTTCCTTCCTTCCTTCCTTCCCTCCCTCCCTCCCTCCTTCCTTCCTACCCTCCCTCCCTCCTTCCTTCCTTCCATCCAAATAATCCATACATCTTGATTTCTTGGCATAAGACTCCAGGGGGCTGGGGTTGCCTTCCATAGCAAGAGAACAATCATGAAGCAGCTGGTGCCCTGAGCCTGCTTTGTGTTGTACAATGAAGGGCCTTGAGCTTTTTCAAAGTCATGTCTTAGCTCCAAGAGGTCAAAAATGAAAGAAGATGGCTGTCCATCTCTGTTATTCTCAGGTGCCTTCGCATTGCTCTGGCGCTACATCAGTGCAGTGGTGTCCTCAGGGTCAGGGGGGTAGCAGGGAAGAGGCACAGCCAAGACAGAGTGGGAGGGAGACTGAGAAATGCCTCCCAGCCTCGCCAGCTTTGGGAGTCAGAGGTCCTTGGCAAAGAGCCTTCACTCACTTACACCCCCAAGAAGTGCCTGGGAATTTATCAGGAGAGGCTGCCATCTATGGAAAATCACAGACAAAATGCAACACCAATCACTCTGTGAAGTCCAGTCCCTTTTCCTCTGTCATGCATGGGGAAGGAAGAAAAAGTGAGCAGTCAGTCCGGCACCAAGCCCACCCGCCCTCACCCATAGCAGCCCCTCCACAATCCACTCAAGAGAACTGATGTAAGCCAGGCTGATTGTCTCAGCTCCAAATGTGGCAGCCAGCAGCAGAAGGACTTGTCAGGTCTCTGGGATGCCGGGGCTGCTTCTCCAAGGTTACCAGGCTGCTGCATGTGGCTTCATCTTTCTGTTCTCTGGCGGCCTTCATGGGCTTCTGTAGCCTGCCTGTGCACAAGACTGTGCTGGAGACTATGGGATGTGTTGGGGCCCTGTTGTTCGGGATGTTGTTGGGTGTGGGAGAGGCACTGTTTCAGCAGCCCCTGCTCTCAGGGTGATGGCATACTGTGGGTGATTAATAATATATGCTAGCATTTTGGGGCACTTACTCTCTGCCAGGCACTGTGCTAAGTACTTTATTTATATCATCTCATTGAACCCTCTCGACAGCCTGTCAGGAGCACACTATTGCCTGATTTTTGCAGATGAGGAAACTGAGCTTTAGGAAGATTAGATAATTATCCAAGATCACATACTAGTAACAGGGAGAGCCAAGAATTGGACACATGATTTAAATTCTCGTGTGCTTAGTAAGTTGTACAGCCTTCTTCTATGAGGGTTATTGGGAATTCAGATATTTAAGGAGCACTAAGAAAATTAGTCAAAATTCCAAACAACAGTTAAAGCCAGGCTGTTTAGATAAAGCATTTTCCAGAATATGGGCTGGGACAAGGCAGGAACACATCAAACCCTTCAATTCCTCGGATGAGTCTAAGGCAGCCACCAGCTGCAAATGGTTTTCTCTGCTCCTGAGAGGCTCAGAACACACCTCCTAGCCTCACCTGGATTTATGTGGCTGGGATGAGGCCTTGACAGCAGAATCCCAAAGACGTAGACATCTTTGAGGGGCCTCTATTCTGCCTATCATGCATAGGTTTCCTTATTAGTCTACATGATAGCCATATGAGGTATGTATTCTGATATGGCTGGGCTCTGTGTCCCAACCCCAATCTCATCTCGAATTGTAATCCCCACGTGTCAAGGGAGAGAGGTAACTAGATCACGAGGGCAGTTTCTCCCATGCTGTTCTTGTGATAGTGATTGAGTTCTCTCAGGGTCTGCTGGTTTTATAAGTGTTTGTGAGTTCCTCTTTTATTCTCTCTCCTGCCTCCTCGTGAAGGTGAATGCTTCCCCTTCCACCATGACTGTAAGTTTCCTGAGGCTTCCCCCACCATGCAGAACTGTGAGTCAATTAAACCTCTCTTCTTTATAAATTACCCAATCTCAGGGAAGTTGTTCACAGCAGTGTGAAAACAGATGAATACATATTCTTATTTTCACTCGCGTGAAGAGACCACTAAACAGGCTTTGTGTGAGCAACAAGGCTGTTTATTTCACCTGGGTGCAGGCGGGCTGAGTCTGAAAAGAGAGTCAGCTAAGGGAGATAGGGGTGGGGCCGTTTTATAGGATTTGGGTAGGTAAAGGAAAAAGGGGGGTTGTTCTCTGGCAGGCAGGAGTGGGGGTCACAAGGTGCTCAGTAGGGGAGCTTTTGAGCCAGGATGAGCCAGGAGAAGGAATTTCACAAGATAATGTCATCAGTTAAGGCAGGAACAGGCCATTTTTACTTCTTTTGTGGTGGAATGTCATCAGTTAAGGCAGGAACCGGCCATTTGGATGTGTACGTGCAGGTAACAGGGGATATGATGGCTTAGCTTGGGCTCAGAGGCCTGACATTCCTGTCTTCTTATATTGACAAGAAAAATAAAAGGAAATAGTGGTAAAGTGTTGGGACGGTGAAAATTTTTGGGGGGTTGTATGGAGAGATAATGGGCGATGTTTCTCAGGGCTGATTCGAGGGGGATTACGGGCGGCGGGGGAACGTAGAGTGGGAGAGATTAAGCTGAAGGAAGATTTTGTGGTAAGGGGTGATACTGTGGGGTTTTTAGAAAAAACATTTGTCATTTAGAATTATTGGTGATGGCCTGGATACAGTTTTGTATGAATTAAAAAACTAAACGGAATAAAAGAAGGAGAAAAACAGGTATTGAAGGACTAAGAATTGGGAGGACCTAGGACATCTAATTAGAGAGTGCCTAAGGAGGTTCAGCATAGCCTTGCCAGCAAAGATTATTTATTTACTTTAAGAGTTAAGAATGGTGGTTTGGGGATAGCACCAGGAGATATCAGCTGTGATGACTTGGAGAAACAGTGTAAATTGGCAGTGTAAACAAGAGCAGGGCATGTATGAGTAGTTGAGAACGGTGAATAGGAGTATGACTAGACAGAAGATAGTAGGGATGACAAGTTTTTCGGGGCACAGTCCAAGTTGGTCTGGTGTCTGGAATGAGACTGGGGCCTAATAAAAAGGAGCATCTATACAGGAGCTCAAGTGGGCTGTACCTTGTAGCATTCTGAGGACAGGCCTGAATTCTGAGAAGGGAAAGTGGTAAAAGTATTGTCCAGTCTTTTTTAAGTTGGTGGCTGAGCTTGGTGAGGTGTGTTTTTAAAAGACCATTAGTCTGTTCTACCTTTCCTGAAGACTGAGAACTGTAAGGGATATAAAGGTCTCACTGAATACTAAGAGCCTGAAAAACTGCTTCGCTGATTTGACTAATAAAGGCTGGTCTGTTATCAGACTGTATAGAGGTGGGAAGGCTAAACGGAGGAATTATGTCTGACAGAAGGGAAGAAATGACTGCGGTGGCCTTCTCAGACCCTGTAGGAAAAGCCTCTACCTATCCAGTGAAAGTGTCTACCTAGACTAAGAGGTATTTTAGTTATCTGACTCGGGGCATGTTGAGTAAAGCTAATTTGCCAGTCCTGGGTGGGGGCAAATCCTCAAGCTTGATGTGTAGGGAAGGGAGGGGGCCTGAATAATCCTTGAGAAGTAGTAGAATAGCAGATGGAACACTGAGAAGTTATTTCCTTGAGGACAGATTTCCATGATGGAAAGGAAATGAGAGGTTTTAAGAGGCGGGCTAGTGGCTTGTACTATAGCATAGCCTGCCTTTGCTGGTGTGTGGCGATTAGGCCTGGTGGAACTGCCATCAATAAACTAAGTGTGATCAGGGTGAGGAACAGGAAAGAAGGAAATATGGGGAAATGGGGTGAACGTCAGGTGGATCAGAGAGATGCAGTCATGAGGGTCAGGTGTGGTATCTGGAATAATGTGGGAGGCCAGACTGCAGTCCAGGCCAGGAACAATGGTAATTGTGGGAGACTCAACAAAGAGTGAGTATAGCTGAAGGAGCCGGGGAGCAGAAAGTGTATGTGTCAGGTGTGAGGAATAAAATAGATTTTGGAAATTATGAGAGCTGTAGAGAGTGAGTTGAGCATAGTTTGTGATTTTAAGGGCCTCTAAAAGTATTAGGGTGGCAGCAGCCGTTGCAAAGAGACATGATGGCCAGCCTAAAACAGTAAGGTCAAGTTGTTTGGACAAAAAGGCTACAGGACACGATCCCGGTCCTTGTGTAAGAATTCCGACTGCACAGCCCTGCACTTCAGCTGTGTGTAATGAAAAGGGTTGGGATGAGTCAGGGAGAGCTGGGTTGGGGGCAGTCTCTAAAGCTGTCTTCAAGGAACAGAAAGAGGAGTGGGGAAAGGATTTAGGATCTATGGGGTCAGCTAGGTTTCCTTTTGTGAGTTTATCTAATGGTTTTGTTAGGATGGCAAAATCAGGTATCTAAAGGTGAAAGTATCTAACCATGCCCAGGAAGGAAAGGAGTTGTTGTTTTGTAGAAGGGGTTGGGGTTTGAGAGATTAGTTGGACACGATCAGCAGGGAGAGCACGTGTGTTTTTATGAGAATTATGCTGAGATAGGTAACAGATAAGGAAGAAATTTGGGCTTGACTTAAGTAATGGGGGCTGTCTGTGAAGCTTTGCAGCTGTACAGCCCAGGTAATTTGCTGAGCCTGATGGGTGTCAGGGTCAGTCCAAATGAAAGCGAAGAAAGGCTGGGATGAAGGGTGCAAAGGAATAGTAAAGAAAGCATATTTGAGATCCAGAACAGAATAATGGGTTGTTGAGGGAAGTATTGAGGATAGGAGAGTATATGGGTTTGGCACCACAGGGTGGATAGGCAAAACAATTTGGTTGATAAGGTGCAGATCCTGAACTAACCTGTAAGGCTTGTCTGGTTCCAGGACAGGTAAAATGGGGGAATTGTAAGGAGAGTTTATAGGCTTTAAAAGGCCATGCTGTAACAGGCAAGTGATAACAGGCTTTAATCCTTTTAAAGGGTGCTGTGGGTTGGGATATTGGCATTGAGTGGGGTAAGGGTGATTAGGTTTCAATGAGATGGTAAGAGGTGCATGATTGGTCGCCAAGGAGGGAGTAGAGGTATCCTATACTTGTGGGTTAAGGTGGGGGATACAAGAGGAGGATGCAAAGGAGGCTTTGGATTGGGAAGAAGGGCGTCAATGAGATGCGGCTGTAGTCCAGGAATAGTCAGGGAAGCAGATAATTTAGTTAAAGTGTCTCAGCCTAATAAGGGAACTGGGCAGGTGGGGAAAACTAAAAGGAGTGCTTAAAAGAGTATTGTCTAAGTTGGCACCAGAGTTGGGGAGTTTTAAGAGGTTTAGAAGCCTGGCCGTCAATACCTACAACAGTTACGGAGGCAAGGGAAACAGGCCCTTGAGAAGAAGGTAATGTGGAGTGGGTAGCCTCCATATTGATTAAGAAGGGGACGGACTTACCTTCCACTGTGAGAGTTACCTAAAGCTCGGCATCCGTGATGGTCTAGGGGGCTTCCGAGGCGATCAGGCAGTGTCAGTCTTCAGCTGCTAAGCTGAGAAGATCTGGGAAGGAGTCAGTCAGAGAGCCTTGGGCCAGAGTTCCAGGGGCTCTGGGAGTGGCTGCCAGGTGAGTTGAACAGTCCGATTTCCAGTGGGTTCCTGCACAAATGGGACACAGCTCAGGAGGAATCCTGGGCTGCAGGCATTCCTTGGCCTGGTGGCCAGATTTCTGGCACTCGTAGCAAGCTCCTGCGGGAGGTGGGCCTGGAGGAACGCCTGGCCACTGCGGTTTAGGTGTTTGGAAGTTCTTGTGTACTGGAGATGTGGCTGGGGTTTGTCTCACAGTGGAGGCAAGGAATTACAACTTAGAAATATGTTGCTACTTGGCTGCCTCTACTCTATTATTGTACACCTTGAAGGCGAGGTTAATTAAGTCCTGTTGTGGGGTTTGAGGGCTGGAATTTAATTTTTGGAGTTTTATTTAATTTTGGGAGTAGATTGGGTAATAAAATGTATATTGAGAATAAGACGGCCTTTTGACCTTTTAGGGTCTAGGGCTGTAAAGCGTCTCAGGGTTGCTGCCGAACGAGCCATGAACGGGGCTGGGTTTTTTATATTTGACGAAAAAGAGTCTAAACGCTAACTGATTTGGGAGAGGTCGGATAAAGAAAAAGGAGTATTAACCTTGACTATACCTTTAGCTCCAGCCACCTTTTTAAGAGGAAATTGCTGGGCAGGTGGGGGAGGGCTAGTTGCGGAATGAAACTGTAAGCTGGACTGGGTGTGAGGAGGGGAGGTGATAAAAGGATTATAGGGGGAGGAGCAGAGGCTTAGGAAGAATTGGGACCTAGCTCGGCCTGGCGAGGAGGGGAGAGGTCAGATGGGTCTGTAGGAAAGGAAGATTAGAAAGACTCAGTAATGCTTGGGGTTGGGACTGAGGGGACAGGTGGGAAGGAAAGAAGGAAGATTTGGGACGAGTTGCATTGGGAACAGAGACTAGGGAGGGACCGATGTGTAAAAGAATGCGTGGACATCAGGCACTTCAGACCGTTTGCCTATTTTACGCCAAGAATTATTTGATCTTGTAGGATGGAAAAATTGAAAGTGCCATTTTCTGGCTATTTGGAACTACTGTCGAGTTTGTACTGGGGTCAAGCGGCATAGCAGAAGAAAATAAGATGCTTAGATTTTAGGTCAGGTGAGAGTTGAAGAGGTTTTAAGTTCTTAAGAACACAGGCTAAGGGAGAAGAAGGAGGAATGGAAGGTGGAAACTTGCCCATAGTGAAGGAGGTGAGCCCAGAGAAAAGAGACAGTAGAGACACAGAGAAAGGGTGGGGGGTTCTTGCCCTCCAGAAAAGCAGAGAAGGGGTCGGGGCATGGAAATAAGGAGTTGGGGCACAGAGTAAGAGGTCGGGGTGCGGAAATAAGGGATCGGGGCACAGAGATAAGAGGTCAGGGCACAGAAATAAGGGATCGGGGCACAGAGATAAGACGTCGGGGTTCCTGCCCCTCCCCCAGAAAAGCAGGACTTGCCGCTAAGGGTGAAGGAAAAGGGGTTGAGGGGTTCTTGCCCCTCCCCCAGAAAAGCAGAGAAGGGGTAGAGACACAGAGAGGAGGGGTTGGGGTTCTTGCCCCTCCCCCAGAAAAGTGGGACTTGCCGCTAAAGGTGAAAGACCAAGGCAGGCGTCCCTGCATGGTCTGACACCTCTGAAACCTGGGTGAATAATCAGAAAGTCATCCCTGCAATGATTAAACACCAAGGGAAGGCTGCCTTCCCTAGTCCACGACTGGCGCCGGAGTTTTTGGTCCACGGATAAAACGTGTCTCCTTTGTCTCTACCAGAAAATGAAAGGAATTGAAATTAAGAGAAGGGAGAGATTGAAGTGTGGTGCCAAGATTGAAAGGAGAAAGAGGTTGAGGGATAGTGAGGGAGGTTGGAGAAGAGAGTAAAAAGAGGCCGCTTACCAGATTTGAAATTGGTGAGATATTTCTTGGGCTGGTCGGTCTGAGGACCTGAGGTCGTAGGTGGATCTTTCTCACAGAGAAAAGAGCAAGAGGACAGGGGATTGATCTCCCAAGGGAGGACCCCCGATCCGAGTCACGGCACCAAACTTCACTCGTGTCCACGTGAAGAGACCACTAAACAGGCTTTGTGTGAGCAACACACAAAGGCTGTTTATTTCACCTGGGTGCAGGCGGGCTGAGTCTGAAAAGAGAGTCAGCTAAGGGAGATAGGGGTGGGGCCGTTTTATAGGATTTGGGTAGGTAAAGGAAAAAGGGGGGTTCTCTGGCAGGCAGGAGTTGGGGTCACAAGGTGCTCAGTAGGGGAGCTTTTGAGCCAGGATGAGCCAGGAGAAGGAATTTTACAAGATAATCTCATCAGTTAAGGCAGGAACAGGCCATTTTCATTTCTTTTGTGGTGGAATGTCATCAGTTAAGGCAGGAACTGACCATCTGGATGTGTACGTGAAGGTCACAGGGGATATAATGGCTTAGCTTGGGCTCAGAGGCCTGACACTTATTATTCCCATTTTGCAGATAAGAAAAGTGAGGCTCAGCTACTTGAGGGTGAGGGGGCTGAGGTGGGAAGATCACCTGAGCCTGAGAGGTTGAAGCTGCAGTGAGTCATGATTGTGCCACTGCATTCCAGCCTGGGTGACAGAGTGAGACCCTGTCTGAAAGAAAAAAAAGAGAGAGAAAGAAAGAAAGATGGAAAGAACGAAGAAAGAAAGCAAGAATGAAAGAAAGAAAGAAAAAAGAAAGAGAAGAGAAGGAGAGAGAAAGAAAGTGAGAGAGAAAGAAAGTGAGAAAGAGAGAAAGAAAGAAAGAAAAAATAAAGAAAAAAGAAAATAAATAAATAGAAAAAGAAAAGTGAGCCTTTCTGAATTTGCATGACTTGTCTAAGGTCACACAGCTTGTAAGTGTCAGGGCCAGGGTTTAAACACAGATGATTTGACTCTGGTATCCTTTACTGCTCTATTATATTTTCCATAAGATATATACTACATAACCCTTCTGTATCTTATTCTTTAACTTCATAATATATTTTGATCATGTTCCTATATGAATAAATATCTATCTACATTATCTTAATGGCTGCACCAATAATGGGGTAAGAATACAAAGGGTGGAATCCAAATTCTTCTGCTTAATACTCACATGATCTTGTTGCTTTATGCCTTTGTAAAATAAAAACAATAGTAATAGTACCCATCACACGGTGTTGAGAGACTTAATGTACATAAATACAATTTGTAAATCAAAACATTCTATGTAAGTGTAAGTCATGGTGGTCACTGTTATTACTAACTGAATATAAGTTACAGGAACAGGAGAATCCCCACAGGTAGGGGTATTGCAGGTAATTGACCCACTGTTACATGAATGTGCTTACCTTCTGGAAATTCACCTGTCATTTGTGCCCTTATTTTATATGTTATACTTTAATGTAAAGTTTACATTCAAAAACCTGTTCATGGCTCCTCCTCTCCCATGGATTTCCGTACGTACCAGTTTCTGACTCTGGCACTCAGAGCTCTCCACAATATGACCGACCCTACCTTCTCAGCCTAAACACCCCAGCCCAACCCCACCAGGAGGTGAGCCATTCTTTTCGCCCATCCTCCCCTTCCCCGCTTCCATGTCCTCCCCGCTGCTACTCTTCTCAAGATCACCTTCTCTGTGTGTTTTTCTGTCCTCTTGGCTCAGCCCTCTCTCCAAGTGCCCTTCTTACTTAAGTTCCCATGCTGGGCCCTACTCATCAGAGGCATTCTGCCAACATATACTGCCTGGATGGGACCTGCCAGGGTCACAAGGCAAGGCCTGCAGTCCTGGAAGCTCTCCTTCGTGGTTTCCTCTTTCATGGAGGACACTGACTTCACAGAGTTTTGACCTGGGATGGTAAATGTTTGAACACATTCCTGAACTGATTTGAGAAAAGCCCCACAGCTTGAAATGGAGCCACCACTATTTTTGCCCTGCCTAGAAGTCCTCTGTGTTTTCTTCTCAGCTAAAGTATAAGTTCCAGGGGGGCAGGGGTCATGAGATGTGTGTGTTTGCATCCACTTCCCACTGACCCTGCCATGGGCATGCACATGCTGTGGACGGAGTCAACGCTCCATGGATCATGGCACAATGGTTACTGGTTGGGGTGGGTTGCAGCATATCACTAAGAAACACACCACTACCTGCTCTAGTCGTCATCTCTCTAGGGCTCTTTTGCACTCAGAAAGACACCTGGCCATTGTTTTCAGTCCTTGAGCCAAATGACATAAAGCTGCAGACTATTACTAAGGCTGCAAGGCTCTGATGTGGTCAGTGGCTCAGAACTAACTCATTGGAAGCCCTCCTGCCAGGGAATTGAGAGATAATGGAACATGTTAGACCAGGGGTTGTCAGACTTTTTCCATAAAGGGCCAGATAGTAAATATTTCAGGCTTTGCAGGCCATATGATCTCCATCACAATGACTCAACTCTGCTGCTATAGTGTGAGGGCAGCCACAAACATGACATAATCAGAGTGTGGCTGTGTTCCAATAAAACTTTATTTAGAAACACTGAAATTTGAAATTTGCATGATTTTAATATTACAAGATAATCTTTTGACTTCTTTAACCATTCAAAGCTATAAAAGCCTTTCTTAGCTAGTGTGCTGCAGTTTGCCAACTTCTGGATTAGACCACCAAAGGGAACATTTTATTCCCATTCATGGAAGGGCTTCTCAGACAACTTGCCTCAGAGTCACTGAGAGGTGGGGTCAGGGGTGGCGGAGAATGCCTGCTAAAAGTGCAGGTTTCTGGTCCCAGCACCCTAACTATTGAACCAGATTACCAGAAGAACAGCCCAGGAAACTGCCATCTTAGCAGACTCTCCTAGGTGACTGTGATGCCCACTAAGTGTGGAGAATCATTTTAGCTGAAAAGAAATCAAAAGCTTCTTAGAGAAGTTTTTTAATTTTGGTAGAAAAATGAAGCCAGTTGGGCTTGGTGGTGTGTACCTGTAGTCCCAGCTACTTGGGCGGTGAGGTGGGAGGATTGCTTGAGCGCAGAAAATCAAGGCTGCAGCGAGCCATGATCTTGCCACTGCACTCCAGCCTGGGTGACAGAGCCAGACCCTATCTCAAAACAAAAACAACAGCAACAAAAATGAAAGAAAGAAAAATGAAGCCAACCAACAAGACAAGTGCTTCCTACTTGAGCAGGCTCTTTTAGGACACTTTTGAGGGTACTTTGGGTTCTCCCATTTGTAAGTTGCTTCAGTCTTCCTCAGACTGCGAGTGCTATGTTTCCAAAGAGAATGAGCAGAGGGCAACCCAAGCCTTTCTGGGGGAGATGTTGTCTCCCCCAGAAAAAAAAAAAAAAGAGTTCTCCCACCAAGAACTTTATCCTTGTTTGGCCAAACCTTCTCCTCCAGGAGAAAGAGGGGGAGACACATTGCTGTGGGAATGGGAGAAGGGGAAACATCTGATATTGTTCCAGGAACCACTTCTATCAGGGGCTCCTCTGCCCTCCATGCCCACCATTCACCCATCACTGGTTGGCATTGGGTGGGGGGAGTCACCCCCTGTAACCTACTTTCCAAGGCTTGGTGATTTTCTGTCTCCCATCAAAATGGGCAGGAAGGGTGTGTGTGCTTGGAGAGGGGCAACTGTGTGTATTCTTGTGTGTTAGAAGTGGGGGTCTACCAAGTGCAATATCTGTAACTAAGTGGGTATAAAAGCTATGCAACCCTGCTTTCAGGGAGGTAACACATCAGGAGTGCAGAACCCATGGAGATGGGTGTGTATGGGGAGGCAGGGCTGTGAAGAGCACAGATGCTTTTCTTTTTCTTTCTTTCTTTTTTTTTAAAGCCAGATTTTATTTGTATTTAAAAACAATGCTCAGGAGACTTAAAAGTTCCAAAGCCGTGAAGATATCCAGTTTCAATGTACAGCTACAACAAGGTGCTGTTGATCAGCGACTGAGTCATGGAAGGCTCTGTAGTGCCTTGGGGACCTCTGCTCCTTCGTATCACTCCTAGTCTTGGCCTCATGGTTTTCTGCAAGTTCTTGTTGACTATAACTTTATACAGGGCTGTCATTGCAGTAAGGACAACAAAAAAGCACCTATGGCTATCATTGTTAATCCAGTAGAGAAAACCACAAAGTCAGAGGGGTCATGTATAACAAAAATGATTTCCAGAATCACGGTCAATAACCCTAAGCAGGTGACAAGCAGACATTCAGAGCAAGACAAACATCAGAATGGTAGTCCCATCCATGGATAAGCTTGGTCAGGTTGGTACATGAATTTTTGCTGGCACAGCAGACAGCTTTTTAGTCAAAAGAAGGTCAGGAATAGTTTCCCCTGTCTACTGCACATTCTGAATGTCCTTACCATTTTTCTCTCTTGCTAGAAGAACCCTGGTTTTATTCTGGCATCCAGCCATAAGGAAGGTGACCTTGTCACAGTGATATGCAGGTAAATGTTTGCCAACTGGCTTTTCAGGAGAAAAAGCCCTGCTATGTAGTGTTTGCCAATTCCTGTGGTGTTGCCCATCATGCCCAATTTCAAGCTACCAACATGAAGTCACTAAACGCAAAGCTGGGAGGAGATGTGCACTATCAGCTTGCATGAGCTGGTGGGAGCTGGCTTTGAACCAACACTGCCCCATTGCCACTCAGAGATAATAGTCAATCATGGTGATCCCATCTGTATTAGTCCATTTTCATGCTGTTGATAAAGATGTACCCAAGACCGGGCAATTTACAAAGGAAAGCTATTGGACTTACAGTTCCACATGGCTGGGGAAGCCTCACAATCATGGCAGAAGGCAAAGGAGAGCAAGTCACGTGTTACATGGATGGCAGTAGGTGAAGAGAGAGATTGTGTAGGGGAACTCCCCTTTATAAAACCATCAGGTCTCATGAGACTTATTCACTATCATGAGAACAGCACAGGAAAGACTTGCCCCCATGATTCAATTACCTCCCACCAGGTCCCTCCCACAATACATGGGAAATCATGTTGAGATTTGGGACACAGCTAAACCATATTATTCTGCCCCTGTCCCCTCCTAAATCTCATGTCCTCACATTTCAAAACCAATCATGCCTTCCCAACAGTCCCCAAAGTCTTAACTCATTTCAGCATTAACTCAAAAGTCTGAAGTGTAAAGTCTCATCTGAGACAAAGCAAGTCCCTTCCACCTATGAGCCTATAAAATCAACAGCAGGTTAGTTACTTCCTAGATACAGTGGGGGTACAGGCCTTGGGTAAATACAGCCATTCCAAATGGGAGAAATTGGCCAAAACAAAGGGGCTACAGTCCCTATGCAAGTCTGAAATCTAGCAGGGCTGTAAAATCCTAAAGCTCCAAAATGATCTCCTTTGACTCCATGGCATCCAGGTCATGCTGATGCCAGAGGTGGGTTCCCATGGTCTTGGGCAGCCCAGCCCCTGTGGCTTTGCAGGGTACAGCCTCCCTCCTGGCTGCTTTTATGGGCTGGCATTAAGTGTCTGCAGCTTTTCCAGGCACACGGTGCAAACTATCAGTGGCTCTACCATTCTGGGGTCTGGAGGACAGTGGCTCACTTCTCATGGCTCCACTAGGCAGTGCCCCAGTAGGAACTCTATGTTGGGGCTCTGACCCCACATTTCCCTTTCGCACTGCCCTAGCAGAGGTTCTCCATGAGGGCCCCACCCCTGACACAAACTTCTGCCTGGACATCCAGGCATTTCCATACATCTGAAATGTAGGTGGAGGTTCCCAAATCTCAATTCTCGACTTCTGTGTAGAAGTTCCAAACTGTCCCACATTTTCCTGTCTTCTTCTGAGCCCTCCAAACTGTTCCAACCTCTGCCTGTTACCCAATTCCAAAGTTGCTTCCACATTTTCAGGTATCTTTTCAGCAACACCCCGCTCTCAGCACCAATTTACTGTATTAGTTTGTTTTCACACTACTGATAAAGACATACCCGAGACCGGGCAATTTACAAAGGAAAATTGGACTTACAGTTCCACGTGGCTGGGGAAGCCTCACAATCATAGCATAAGGCAAGGCAAGTCATGTCTTACATGGATGGCAGCAGGCAAAGAGAGAGATTTTAAAACCATCAGATCTCATGAAGCTTACTCACTATCACAAGAACAGCACAGGAAAGACTTGCCCCCATGATTCAATTACCTTGCACTGTGTCCCTCCCACAACACATGGGAATTCAAGATGAGATTTGGGTGGGGACACACCCAAACCATATCACCATATCACTGGCAGTCATTGGCCTATGAGCAGAAAATATTCTGGACTGGGACCACAACTGACCACATCATGAGGTACAGCACAGAGATAGGGAAAGGACCAGAGGCCTTGAGGATATGCTCAAGCTGCTGAAATAACCAGGTCTCACAGCACTTTATATTAGGACTTCTGGTAATATGTATTCAGAAAAATTCCAGATTGTTCAAGCTAGTGGAGTTGAGGTTTCTGTTACTTGCAGCAGAAAGCTTCCTGATGGGTACACCTTCTCTGCATCAATCACTCAGAAAGGAAGAAGCAAGCATGTGTGAGTTATTACCCTGCCATTAGCACCTCACCATGGCCACGTACAGAGGGGAGCTCCAAGGACTCAGAGGCAATGGCCTAACAAGTCAGCCCCCCATGGCTCATTATCTTTCCCCTGCAGACCCTCCAAAGCCTATTTACCCTGTGAAATGCCACAATTTTCTTTGTCACCTGTCTTGCTCCAGTGCTGCCAGCACGAGTGATGTAGGGTATTATCAGGGCTTCAGCAACAGCGTGTGTGGCTGGAGTTTAAATGAATTTCATCAGCATGATTAAATACTTATTACATGAGTCAAACATACGGGCTTCATTAAGCTAGTGAACTCCCAGGAACCTCCTCTTCTGTTTATACAACCCATCTGGACTCTCAGATTACTTTAAAGAAATGGGATAAATGGAGTTCGATATGACAGCCAGCTCATCTTTCAGCGTTGTACTCTCAGAGGAAACTCATCTTCCATTGCTAAATCTGGCCTCCCTACAATTGGGTGCAGAGGTTTTTTTCCATCTGCTTCTGGCCTCCGTGAAAGCCTGACATGATGCTGAAATTGAGACTTTAAGAGTAACTTGCCAGGACATGACAGACATACTTTTCTCATTGAAGCATGGAACATTGTCTAAAGTCATTTGCAAGCACAAAACTTGGGCTTTTACGAGGAGGCACACCTTGAAAGCAAAATAAAGGGCAAGGTTTAATTAACTTACCAGGCCCTCTGTTAGTCGTTATTAGAAGCTCTTTATCAAATTAAAGGCCTGCTGGGAAGCCAGCTGAGTGCCGAGAAGCAGTGACATGCGTTAAGTGCCAAAGTGGGTTTTAATTGGCTGTTTAAATGAAGGAAAGCTCCCTGCAGTGTGACAGACACACATCATGGGGTGTGTGCCAACACACACACACACACACGGAGCCCCAGGCAGTCTGGAAATCACAGGAACCACATTTTTGGAAAGCTGACATATCCAAAGCATGACCACAGCCTACCAGGAAGGGAGCCCTAAAGCATGTGGCATTCCAGGCTCAATAAATGCCATAGTTATTATTTCTGATAATAATAAAAGAGCTGTAGCAGTAAGACTTTTGAATGCTGCCAAATTTGCACTGTACATCGTCCAGCTGAATTGCCAAGGTCTCTTACTCCTGGATTGAGCCCAGGATTTTGTTTTGTCTTTGGTGTCATCAAGCCACTAACATGTAAAATGGGAACGTGAATACCTACCCTATGAGAATGTTACAAGAGATTTACACAAAGCTCCTAGCAGTTCCCACCATGTACTGAAGGCCCAACGAATGGTAGTTATTTTGACGAAAGCATTTCTACTGTGCTCTTTAAAAAATTATTGGAGAGTATTTATTCCTCATAGTCCCAGTTATGCTAGGAGGCCCTACAGGGTGGTGGCTAAGAGTACAATCTTTGGAGTCAGATTGATATGGACTTGTGTGCTCGCTCCACCATATCAGGGGGCCTTTCTGAGCCTCGGGCACCTTTTCTATAAAATGGGATACATTCTACAAAATAGGTTATAACATACCTACTTCATAAAATGGTGGAAAAAGTACACGACTGTGCCTGAAAAGAACTTAGCACAATGTATGTACATAGTAGTTGTGATCATCAATATGCTTCCTAGGGGAATGAGTGTGTTTCCTGTTGAGAGATGGAGACATGAAATTACAGAGTGGCTGTGGGACAGGCCCCAAGGACACTGTACCTTTTCACATAGGCTGCGAGCAAAAGCTCATTGAGTCAATCATTTGTGGAGGTGATGGGGTGGAATCTTAACAGAAGGCAGCAAGGACAGGGTTTTTAGGGATTGGGGACACATTCAGGACACATAGGAGAGCTCTGCAGTCAGTCTTTTGCTGGTGATCACCCCTTCAGAAAGCTGGGGCTTCCCCATCATCTGACTATGAACATATTTGATGCAGAATAACTCCATGATACAGCTGTGACAAGAGGCCAGGCCTCCAGTTTCCAGTCTACAGCTTATTTTACTGAGAAAGTTTCTTGTCAGGGTGAGATTTTCAACTGGTGGGGAGAAAATTATTCCAAAACCACTGTTTTTTAATTTCAAAAGCAAGTTTTTTTTTTTGTTTTTTGTTTTAAGAATTGTATTGGTACTCTGAGCTTGTTATTTTAAAAGAAGCTGTCAATTGAAGTTTTTATTATATGATCAATATCACCCAGGATTCTTTACAAGGATGATGTGCAGCAGCTGCTGTAACTCTTGGCTTCTTGTCAGCATTATAATTTGGCGTAAAGTTATGGGGAGGTGACAGAGAGGGAGGGGAAGGAGTCATGTGACAAGAGAGGGTGGTGAGATCTTTTGAAGAAGTTAGAAGCGGTAAAGAATCTCAGCCTACAGCAGCTGGTGAGAAACTTAAAATACAGGACTGTGGGTCCTTGGAGCCATTTTGAATTGGAGGATGTTTTCATAAAGGCTGCAAAAATAAACCTTCCTGGATGAAAGCATGTGGCTACGTGCATTTAAACACACGCCCTCTGTTCCAATAACACCGCGATTCTGAGCTATCCCTGATGCACCAGCAAGGAAGAGAATAAACTCCTTCGTTTCCCAACATCCTTGCTGAGGGCTTGGAGGGACAGCTCTCACTCAATTTTCCAGCCTGGTAAGGCTTTGAACATGAAACAGACGTGTCCCCGGGGCTCTTACAAAATGAGCCACAGCAGGCTGATGTCAGGGCATGGATTCATGGGCTGCCGGGGGGTTAACATCTCTTGCAATTCCAAATAAGAAAAAAGCCTGCATTCTTCTTCATTCCTCCCATTTCACACATCCCTGGCAGCTGGGTTTCCCAATGCTTCATTGAGGCCAATGTGCGTGAAGGAATGGATCAGCAGGAGCAGGCCATCAGGCGGCCATTTTAAGCCCTTGGCCTCCATCCCCACTCCCCACGCTGGGGCGAGACAGACAGGCCTTTGTGTGCCTGGAGCCGGCTAAGCCAGGATGTGACTGTGAGCTGGAATCTGACCTTTCATGGGCTCCAGCACCTGTCAGAAAAACGAACAAGCTTGGGGTGTTTTTTCCGCTCCGGACTTAAATGCCAGTTTTGTGACTCCCTCACAGTGGAACTGTGCCAAGGCAGTTGTGGTCAACTCCAGCTCTCCGAGGAGCAGACCTGAGACGTAAGTGATGGACGGCCCCGCGTTTCTGAGGCCTGGCCAGCTCTCGGCTCAGGTTGAATTCAAGCCGAGCCCAGGACTTCAGTGCTTGAGTTAGGAACCTCAGAGCAGATCAAAACAGCCACATTACTCCGGCACCCTGTGGTGCATGTGAGTGTGTGTGTGTGCACGTGTGTGGGTGTGTGTGCATGCATTCAGCACTGGAACAAAGACCCAGTCACGGTGACCCTGACATAGATGGCTGTCCATTCATCAGGAGTGGGATTATGGAGCAGTGTTGGCACCCCCTCTGCCCACCCCGTCTTGGCCTGCTGCGGCAGTCTGATTATGAACATTCTAGTCATTCTTGGGTTGGACCCTGCCACTTGTGATCCACAGGACCTCAGTCAAATGACTTAACGTTTCTGAACCTCAACTTTGTCAGCCATGAAATGGGGATTAAAATGCCTTATTCCAATGGTGGTTGTGATTTAAATGAGATAATATATACAAAGCACCAAGCATCTTGTGAAAGCACCTTGGAGACACTTAGTCAATAGCCACCCTTTCCTCCCCTGTTGCAGAGCATGCTTGGGCTAGAAGGAAATGGGAGTTTCAGTCACTATTGATATTTGATTGCCCAATAGACACACACAGTTTTGATCATAGAAGAGGGGCTAGCTCAGCCTATCAATGGCTTCAGCTGTGGGAAGACAACTTTCCTCCTAAGTGTGGCCCCAGAGGATGTGGTGTTCAGGGCTCCTTAGTGGCCTGGCCTTTGGCTGGGAGTGGCTGTAGCTGTCTAAAGGGGCGGAGGGCTTTAGTGTGGACCTGTGGTTGGTGCACTCCCCTCCACCCCAAACAGGTTCAGAACCCTATAGGTGGAAGGAGGCTAAAGCGCACCCATGCTCCAGCCGAAGGAGCTTGTCCATTTGAGGTGAATATGGCCACTGCCCCTGCGTCTTTGGCTCCAGGGATCCTGCCTCTGCCCTCTCATTTCACAGGATAGTGGTCCAAGGCTAAGAAGTAGCAGCTGAAGTGGAAGGCAATGTCTGCAGTTACACAGATGGCTGGCCCAGAGCTCGAGACATGCAGGAGATGTCAAAGAAAAAAAATAAAAATCGAATCCTCATTCTCAAGGCTATCGATAATTTAAAAGTTCATAAATATTGATCCCATAAAATCTGATTTTGGAATCACATGGATTCCAAAATAAACAAAATTGTATTTTAGATGTGAAGTTTATGTTTCTTTGACTTTACCACATCTTGTGAAAATGGATGTATAGATTTTTACCAATTTTGGAGGGTGTGATGAGGGTGACAGAAAATGTAGGCTCTGCCCTGGGAGAGAGCTTGAAGAGATAAGTAATCATTTGCCAGAGGGAATGAAACTGAAATCTAGTGACAGGTAGCTGTGCCTGGCAGGCAGGGAGGAGTGGCCCTCGAACTAAGAGGCTGGGCCAAGAAAACAAATGGCGGTGGATGAGCCCCACATTGGAACGTGGTTGTTGATTTGCAACATGCTGCTTCCTGTAGAGCAACTCTGGGTAGTCAGCTGCAAAGTGAGGAAAACAGATTTATTCCTTTAACTATTCTGAAGAATACAAACTAAACCAGTTAGTACACACAAATAGCCTGTAATGCTATAATGTCCATTATCTTTATTTAGTTTGTTTAATTTCCTTCCTTCCTACCTTCCTTCCCTCCCTTCCTTCTTTCCTTCCTTTCTCTCTGTTTTTTCCTTTCTTTCTTTCTTTCTCTTTCTTTTCTTTCTTTCTTTTTCTTTCTTCTTTTCTTCCTTCCTTTCCCTCTCTTTCTTTTTCTTTCTTCTTTCTTTCCTTCCTTCCTTTCCCTCTCTTTCTTTCTTTTTTCTCCTTCCTTCCTTCCTTCCCTCCTTCTTTTTCTTTTCTTTTTTCTTTTCTTTCTGTAGAGCTGAAGGTCTTTTCTTTCTGTAGAGATGAGGGTCTTGCTATCCTCAGCAAGTGCTTGCGATCCCCCCAAAGTGCTGGGATTATAGGTGTGAGCCACTGCACCCAGCCTAGTTTAACTTTTTAAAGGATGCTGTTGCTTGTCTAGACTATACATTTTGTAGCCTTTCTGTTACTAGTGTTTGAAACATAGTCTGCAGTGTGCCAAACACTTCCCTTCAAATGCTTATCATAAGGATTCTTCTACAAGGAAGCTTCTGTTGCCCCCATTTCACAGATGAGGCTCAAGGAAGTTGGGTAACTTGCCCCGCATCACCCAGCTAGTAAATGGCAGAGTTGGGGCATAAACTTGTGTGTGTTTATTCCAGAACCCAAATTCTTGACCAGAATGGGATGTTGCCTTTTCCTGTGGTTTCTTAAAACGCCATTCATTTACTACAAAGATATTCAGATGGTCAAAATTTGATTTTGTTGATACATAGTTACTTTAGTCAATCAAATTGCACGCTGAAAATGTATTTCTTTGTACCTATCAAAAAGTCTGGGTTTTGAAAATTCAAATGAAACATTTTTAAAGCTCTAAATTAGATTTTCACTGGTAAGCATGTTATCTGATCATGTTATTATTTGATGTTTGATAAATACTCACCGCTACTGTTTGGTGCTCAGTTGGACAGTTAAAAGGTGGCTTGTTTCAGTCTTAATCTGAAATACATTAAGAAGGGTCACCCAAGCCCAGGCAGGCTTTGCTAAAGGTTTTTTGCATTGGTCACAGTTTTGACTTATAGATCAACAATTAGTTGCAGATGTCGACAGTAATAAGGAGTGTAGAAAGGGTCAGGAGAACACTTCGTTCCCATTTGAGAGGAATTTAGAACTTAAAAAAATACTCTGTTAATTCTGAGCTGCCAACATATACACATTTATGCATGTATGTAACTCACTGGAAAAACAGTCAAATTTTTGAAAGTAGTAGACCATAGTTCTATGGACTTTAAAATGCAATTCAATAAAAACTCGGTTTTTAAAAGTAACCATTAATAAGAAGAATAACAAGAATCATTTTCACATTTCTTTCATCTCTGTAACTCAACAAACATGTAAGTTTCAAAAATTACAATAATGACTCATATAAAAATGTTAACAATAATAATGAGAAGCACACCATGTTCAGAGTAAAGTACTAAGTGCTCCATTTGTCTATTTTTGCGTTCATCATCACACTCACTCTCTGAGTGAGACTCTGTCATTTGCTCCACTTAGAAGTAAGGAAAATGGAAGGTCATGGAGGGCAAGGTCAAGACCCTGCCACAGCTTGGGCGCCTCACCCCTGTATGCTACCGCCTCCCTCATCAGGCCATGCTTGGTGTGAGGCATCATGCCAGTCTCTCTGGAGGATCCACATTGGGAAAGACTATATCAACTTTTTTTTTTTTTTTTTTTGAGACGGAGTCTCGCTCTGTCTCCCAGGCTGGAGTGCAGTGGCTCGATCGTGGCTCACTGCAAGCTCCGCCTCCTGGGTTCACGCCATTCTCCTGCTTCAGCCTCCCAAGTAGCTGGGACTACAGGCGCCCGCCACCATGCCTGGCTAAGTTTTTGTATTTTTAGTAGAGACAGGGTTTCACCGTGTTAGCCAGGATGGTCTCGATCTCCTGACCTCGTGATCCACCCGCCTCAGCCTCCCAAAGTGCAGGGATTACAGGTGTGAGCCACTGCCCGGCCTGGAAAGACTATATCAACTTCTAGGAGCCAAGGATTAAGAAAGGGCTGAGATGCAGATACCAGACTTGATGGGAGGAAGGACGCAGTGAAGTCCAAGTAGCCCACTGTGAAAGGACAGGAGGGAAGGGTTGCTTCAGGAGCTCACTGACCTCCACAGGGCCATGAGCTATGAACTGTGACCCACCGTCTGAATCTGGGGCCAAGGTCTGTTTTTTATATGGCCCTCAAACTGAGAATGTTTCTTTTGTGTTTTTAAAAGGTTTTATATTTTTAAAAAGTTTAAGAGGGTTTTGTATTTTTTAAAAGGTTTATATTTTGGCCAGGCACAGTGGTTCATGACTGTAATCCCAGCACTCTGGGAAACCAAGGTGGGAGGATTGCTTGAGGCCAAGCGTTCAAGACCAGACTGGGCGATGTAGTGAGGCACTGTCTCAAAAAAAAAAAAAAAAAGTTTGTATTTTTAAAAGGTGGAGGAGAAAGAGGAGGAGGAGGAGAAATGGGACAGAGGCCTACAAAGCCTAAATTATTTCCTATCTGACCTTTTACAGAAAAAGTTTGTCAATCCCTGTTCTAGACCAGTGTTAATAACATTACAATTCTGCTATATCTGTAATTTACAATTTTCTAGTAGCTACTTTAATAAAGTAAAAAAAAAGGTAAAATTAATTTTGATGGTGTATTTTATTTAACCCAGAATATCCAAAATATTATAATCTCAGCATGTAATCAACATAAAAATTATCAATGGAACAATAACATTCCATTTTTCATATGAAGTCTTTGAAATCTGATTAACATTTGACACAACACATCGAGTTTGGACAAACTACGTTTCAAGCGCTCAACAGCCACATGTGATAAGTGGCTAGTGTCCTGGACAATGCAGGTTTCACTGTGGTGAATACACAAGGTTCATCAATGAATCAATGAATACACAAGATGTAGACAGTGGGGAGACAGCTGGGCATAGTCTCAGTCCTGCTGCCATGCTGGGCTGAATAACTCTTTGTTGTCAGGGCCTGGCCTGTGCATTGTATGATGTTTAGCGATATCCCTGGACTCTACCTACCAGATGCTAGTAGCACCCCTGGCCCTGCGTAATAACCAAAAATGTCTCTAGACATTGCCAAATGTCCCCCGAGGGGCAAGAACAGCCTGTGTTGGGAACTACTGGTCTACAGCATGAAAAAGCTGTGTGTGGGAGGATACCTGGAACTGCCCAGAAAATGTCCTCTGAGTCATGCAATTTGATGGAAGAAGGATAATTGAAGGAGAGTAATGAAAGGTTTGGTAGGAAAAGCTGAGGCCAGATCTCAGGCTAAAGCATTTGAAATATATTCCCTAGGCAATGATAGCCATCAAAGAGTTTTGAGCAGCAGAATGAAATTAGCAAAGTTACAAATTAAAAACATTTTTTTCTTCCATCTTTGAATAACTAGATTCTTTCTCTTCTTTCTTTTACTGGCACAGATAGATTTTTTTCCCCCTTAAAGAAAAGCATCATTTAAAGAGCCAATGCCCCCACCCTGTGTCTGGTGGGTGGTTTTTATTAAATTCCAGTAGAGGGATGGGTTTCCTAAGCAATCAGCCAGCCCCTTGGTGAGCAGGCTCCCTGCCACTTAGCTGACATTCCACCCTGCAGGAGCTGAGGAGAGAGGAAAATCAACACTGAGCAGGCAGAATGACTGTAGCTTATGCTGTTGGAATTTCCAGTGGGGCCACCTGGTCACAGATGGGGCACAGGCACCAAAGCACGGAGGCGGAGGGAGCCTGACAACAGCCTCGGGGGCTGACAGTTGCTACATTGTTCTATTTGCTTAGTCCCTGACATCTAATGGCTAGGTTTCTAATTCCAATAACAACAACCATAGTAATAAATTGGAATATGTGTAGGTCTTTACAGTTGGTTGTGTGATTTTATGTACATCATTGTGTTTAACAGTGAGCATCAGGACCCAACCTTGAAGGAGGTGCGTACATTGTAGATGCATATTTGGAGACTTGTTATTGGGGTGGGGGGTTATGGGGCTGTTTGTCCAGCTCTAGGGGATATTCTCCTTTTGCCCTATGGGATTCACTTTCTTTCTCCACCCTGTTCTGTGACCCCGAGGCTGACCTCTTTGGGCTGCAGCAGCTGGGCTCTCTTGCCTTCTGGTTTCCTGCTGGGTTTAGCCAAAGGGAGGCACAGTAGGAGATCAGAGGGGGGCGTTGAGTGAGTTTGGGGTATTTACTCCCCAAGCCCTCCCTGCTGGGTGGTGGGTTGGCAGGGGCTGCATCTCTACTGAAGACCACAGCTCCTACGATGACAAGTCTCACCAGATTCCTAAAACCAGTTTCTCTTCCTGTCCTTTCAGGCCTGGGGATGGGAAGGCCACAGTGCTGTCGTTAGCCCCAGGACACTTCCTCATTTCTCGTAGGTTTACCCACACATCCGTAAATCATCTATTCAAAAACTCTCTTCCAAGTGTGCCATCTGCTCCTGCCGGGACTTGACTGACATTCCAGCTCAGGTTAGCTTCTACTTAGGAGAGGACACATCTTTGTCAACCATCCCAACAAGCTATCAGGAAAATTCAAGCAAGGCTAGAATGAGTAGCTCGGCCTTCGAAGCCAATGTGTTGACCCCATTTTATAGCCAAAGAAAGGTAGGCATGAAGATTTTCTGGCTATTCGTGGGCTACCAAGTACTTGGTATACAAGAATTTCAATCATGAACCCAAGAATCCATACACCCAGTTCTCATCCAGAGAGGAATGTATGTAATGCTTAATTCAGTGTTTTTCTTTCTGGAATTTCTAACAATAATAAAGGAAAAGGAACTCAGGGAAAGTGTCAGAGAAAATCACGTTGTTGTTTTCCCTTCCTTATGTGTAGGTGGTTTGAAAGAATCCAAATCCCAGCTTGAGCTACAATGTCTGAACCAGACCCGTCAGCTGTCAGCCAGCCAGCCCTGTAATTGAACATCAGCAGAGGGAAATGTGTGCTCTCAGCTCCTCTCTGCTCTCAGCCTGGTTCTGCACCATGGAGAATAGGCCTGGAAGTCACATCACCTGCACTTCCTCATGGAGTCTCACTGATTATAAAAAAGAACAAGCACCCCTCTGGGTTTTGTCTCAGCCAGTTTAACCAAAGGAAATGATTAATGCCGATTAGTCGAAAAAGGCTGTGTCTTTCTTAAGACCCTTCCCAGCTATTCATGAGCACACGTTTAGCTTGATAGCGTAAAGATTAGTAAGGGCCGTAACAGCAGAGATGTTACTGGCAGGTAAAGTACCTAAAAACTACATCAAAAGAGAAGAAAGGGCTGGGTGCAGTGGCTCACACCTGTAATCCCAGCACTTTGGGAGGCCAAGGCAGGTGGATCACCTGAGGTTAGCAGTTCAAGACCAGCCTGGCCAACATGGTGAAACCCCATCTCTACTAAAAATACAAAAACTAGCTGGGCGTTGTGGTGTGCACCTGTAATCCCAGCTACTCCAGGAGGCTGAGGCAGGAGAATTGCTTGAACCAGGGAGGTGGAGCTTGCAGTGAGCCAAAATCGTGCCATTGCACTCCATCCTGGGCAACACAGCAAGACTCCATCTCAAACCAAAAACAAAAAAAAAAAGAGCGAGAGAGAAGAAAGGAGTACTTAAATCGTGCTAGGTGGAAGGAACTGAGCAGCCTAGACACTCAGCCTCTTAAGGCAAGTAGGGAGTGGGGTGTGGGTACATGCAGGATATTAGGGCTGTAGTCTTGGCCCACTGGGTGGCTTGGGGCCAGTTCCTTCAATATTATAATCTCAATTTCCCAGGAAGGGAGATGCAAGGATTTTAAACACTATTAAGTTGAATGCTCTCAACTCTGACTCCGTGGTAAAAAAAAATCCCCTGGACAGTTTCTGAAAGAGGTATGGGGTAGTGGAGCGGTGAGGGGGAGGCGGGGATGGTTAATGGGTTAAAAAAAAAAAAAAAGTTAAAATGAATAAGGCCTAGTATTTGATAGCACAACAGGGTGACAATAGTCAATAATAATCTAATTATACACTTAAAAATAACTATAATTGGATCATTTGTACACAAAGGATAAATGCCTGAGGGGATGGATACCCTAATCCTCCATGATGTGATTATTACACATTGCATGCCTGTATCAAAACATCTTATGTACCCCCATAAATATATACAACTACTATGTACCCACAAAAATTAAAAACTAAAAATTAAATAAATAAAATCCCATAAGCTAGGCCACTGTTAACAAATAAAATAATAATAAAAGAGATATGTGTGCTTTGCACCATACCAATTTGATTAGCATCGCGGGATATGAGATCCTGGCATTGGTTTACACAGCTTTGTTAGCAGATATGGTACCATCCTTAGACTGATAAACAGTGCCCTATACTGGGCCCCATGACTCATCCTTGCCCCACTCCCCAGCTTTACGTACCTTTCTCCAAGGAAGTCTTCTTTGGTGTCCAGGACCAGACAAGACCAGCAGGGATGTCCAAGTGGAGCGCTTGGCCCATGTTTCTCCTTTTTTTGGGATACCCTGACCCTGTGCCACTCCCTATTCTGGGTGTTGGGAGTCAACCAGATGCTCCAGGGAGCTGCAGAACTTGTGTTTATGGGGTTATCCTGGTTGGACTCCAGGTTTAGGAGTGTTCCTGCTGCCTGGCAAGGATTTTTTTCATGGGATTGTTCAACACTGGGCAGCTAGGATGGTGCTGACCTGCTGATTTGGGGTGACTCAGATATTTCTTATAGACAGAAGTTTTGCAAAAAATCTGTACCTAGTGTCCCACACAACCTAGGGGGCAGTCCTGAATGAATTATACCAATCTGTTGACAATGTTTATCTCTGTCTAGGTGAAAGGATTAGGGTTTTATTCTTTATATTTTTAAAATTTAATTGGGAGGAAAATGAGTTTATATGCTGGTAGAATTTCTTTTATAGATAAAAAGCGTTTTGGTCATCAAAACGCTGAGATGAGCCATTTTATGAGCAAAAATGATAGAAACTCCAAACTAGAGGGAGCTGGTATGACAATGGAAGCTAAGATTCTTTGCATAGTAAAGTGAGAAGCTTGGATTTGCGAGTGGGAAGGAAGAGATGTGGGTATTTGAGGAAGGAGCACAGCAAGCCCAGGGCATCTAGAGGCCAGGGCTCTGGCACTGAGAATTCCTTGCTGGGGGCTGGAGGCCAGGGGCTGCTGTTGTCTGCTATTCCTCTGAAGCTTGTGGACTCTTGCTGTGTGAATGTGACCCCTCTACTGCCACAGCCTTCAGTAACGTCAGCTCCATATACAGCTTTGGATTGTGGTTATTTAGATCAGAAAGACATGGATGTGTTCAGAGTGAAGGAGATGCTTCATGGAGGGCAGGGGCACAGGCAGGCACCATGGATTCAGCTAGAATAGTAACTCGAAGCATGGCATGACAAAAAGAGTTGGGCAAACCCTCCCATGATTACCTGGAGATACTGGGAAGGAAGGGTCCTGAATTTCTCACGTGAGGACTAGCCATTAAATATTTAAGGGCAAAACAATTCTAGGAAAAGGGATTGCTGAGAATTTCAGAGTGTGCCTTTTCCCCAAAAATGTCTAAAAATAACACATATTGTTTCTCTAAGAAGGAAAAAATTATTTTAAAAATTTGCTTGACAAAAATTTGAAAATTTGAAAACATATTTCTTGGGAAGACTGTGGGGACATAGTAGTGCAAAATGCTACAACTTCCATGGAAGGGGCTTTGGCAAGATCGAGCAAAAACATGTCTACATTTCCCTCTTGACCTAGCAGGCCTACTTTCAGGGATCTATTTCAAAATACACTGGAAAATATATGAAAAGTTGTATGCACAAAGCTAATCACTGCAGCATCATCTGTAAAGCAAAGACTGGAATCCCCTGTATGTCCATCAATGGGAATGAGTTGAATAAACTATGATACAGGCACACGATGGAGTACTCTGCAACTGAAGCAAATAATGGGGGTTTGGGTATGATCTCAGAAGGTAAATATTGGTAAGTAAAAAACAAAAAGCAAAGTGGGAAAAAAAATACATATATATATTTTGGACAGCCTGCCACTGTTTATCGAAGAATAGGAGTACAGTCGGCCCTCCTTATCCATGGGTTTTGCATCCCTGCGTTCAAACAACCAAGGAACAAAAATATTCAGGAAAAAAACAAAAATGTTTGTTTGCATCTGTATGGAACATGTACAGAGTTTTTTCCCTTGTTATTATTCTGTAAACAACACAGTATGACAACTATTTACATAGCATTTACATTGTCTTAGGTATTATAAGTAATCTAGAGATGATTTGAAGTACATAGGAGGATGTGCACAGGTTATACGCCATTTGATATTGGGGACTTGAGCATCCTCCAATGTTGGTATCTGTGGGGGTCCTGGAACCAAACTCTCTCATAGAACCAAACTCCCTACCATAGAACAATCATATTATATATGTATACATATAAACACATATACCTATACATACAATACATGCTTATAGATTTTTTAAAGAAAAAGAGAAACAGTCTTATTTTATTTGTGTGGTTTTTTTTTTTTTTTTTTTTTGAGACAGAGTCTCACTTTGTCATCCAGGCTGGAGTGCGGTGGCACCATCCTTGCTCACTGCAACTTCCCAGGCTCAAGAGATCTTCTCACCTCAGCCTCCCTAGTAGCTGGGACCACAGACACATGCCACCACACCTGGATAATTTTTTGTATTTTTTGGTAGAGATGGGGTTTCCCCATATTGCCCAGGCAGGTCTCAAGCTCCTGAGCTCAAGCAATCCACCTGCCTCAGCCTCTCAAAGTGTTGGAATGACAGGCGTGAGCCACTGCACCTGGCCTGAAAAACAATTTTAAAAAACAGTTGTCTATATAGGAAGGACAAGAATAGGATGGAAGAGACAGGGACAGAAGTTAAATTTGTGTACATTTGACTCTGGATCCATGTGAATATTTTATATAACCATAAAACAAAATCATCTGCATTTACAATGCTTAAAACCATCACCATCACTTTTCAAACCCAACTTTGTCATTCACCAGCTGCTTGCTGTTGGGAAGTTATTTACATTTTCTAGATCCTAGTTTCTTTTTCTTTCAGATAATAATATTACCTCATAGTGTTGATGTGAGGATCAAATCAAATAACATATCTCAGGCAATTAGCATGGTAGCCAATATAAAAAGGATTTAATAAACGGTGATGGTGGCTTTAGTTAACATACTATTTCATACTGTGTATTATGCCAGACACTGTTCTAACCACCTTACAGATGCTAATTCAGCCCATTCTCAAATGACCCTATGAGGCTGGGGCTGATACTACCCTATCTTACAGATGAGAAATGAGGAATGACAGGGCGTCTTGCCCAAAGTCTCTCAACTGTGCTGGAGTTGCGATTCAAACCCATAGTTGTTGATCTTACTGTTTTCGACACCACACATTTTCTGAGTGGGGCTGTTCTCAGCCCGAACCTGTTACTCGTGTCAAAATTGTCCTGAATTGGATGGTGCTCTGAGGCTCTGTCCTTGCAATGTCCACAGGTAGGTGAAGATGAGGCCCATAAATTCACTTGCCCCACTTGTAGCCCTGGCAGTATAACTTCAGTCTCCTGAGATGAAAGTCGTAGGAACTTTTGAACACCACTCCACTGGACAGTTATGAGGCTCTGACAGGCTCCCCCGCAGGCTGGCCAGGTTGGCAGGGCTATCTGATTCCCACCACTCAGGTAGCTGCCTCCAGGCAGGGGACACGCTGCTTACTAAGGTAGGAAGGCCAACATCCATTCCTTTCACATTATTATTATTATTATTTTTCAGACGGAGTCTCACTCTGTTGCCTAGGCTGGAGTGCAATGGCACTATCTCGGCTCACTGCAACCTTCACCTCCCGGGTTCAAGCGATTCCCCTGCCTCAGCCTCCTGAGTAGCTGGGATTACAGGTATGTGCCACCATGCCCAGCTAATTTTTGTATTTTTAGTAGAGACAGGGTTTCACCATGTTAGTCAGGCTGGTCTTAAACTCCTGACCTCATGATCTGCCCACCTCGGCCTCCCAAAGTGCTGGGATTCCAGGCATGAGCCACCACGCCCGGCCTCCTTTCACATTTATCAGGGCTCTGAGGGTCTGCAGATGTAGGGCAGGCATCCTGAAGACGTGCATCCCGTGGCAAACTGTCCAAAGGACATGGTTTTAATGTGGGTCCTGGTCTATCCACCCACCAGGACCTGACTCAAACCCCACCTCCTCCACTCAGTATCTCCATGTCACCCCAGGCAAACTCTGCTCTGCTCTTTTTTTTTTTTTTTTTTTGAGATGGAGTCTCACTCTGTCGCCCAGGCTGGAGTGCAGTGGTGCGATCTCCGCTCACTGTAAGCTCCACCTCCTGGGTTCATGCCATTCTCCTGCCTCAGCCTCCTGAGTAACTGGGACTACAGGCACCCGCCACCACACCCGGCTAATTTTTTTGTACTTTCAGTAGAGACAGGGTTTCACCATGTTAGCCAGGATGGTCTCGATCTCCTGACCTCGTGATCCATCTGCCTCGGCCTCCCAAAGTGCTGGGATTACAGGCGTGAGCCACTGCGCCCAGCCTGCTCTGCTCTTGATAAACACATGTCTCATAGTGCCACAGGTTGCTGCAATTGGAGGCCATGCCCTACTCTCCCAATTAGAATGTAAGCCTCTACAAGGTAGGAACTTTGCCTTTTAACTCCTTATATTCTTCCCAGCAGCATTTTTCAAATATAGGCCCTGACCCAGTAGCAAATCATGAAATTAGTTTAGTAAGTGTCACCAACATTAAATTAAAATAATCAGAATGAAATAGAACAGAAAATTTCTGATTGCAAAATATCTAGTGTTATTTAGTGCATGTATATTTCCCTCACCCCCAAATTCATAGTTTGAAGCCCTAACCCCCAGTGTAGCTCTATTTGGAGTAAGGAAGTAATTAAGATTAAATGAAGTAATAGGGGTGGATCTGATAGGATTAGTGTCATTCTAAGAAGAAACACCAGAGAGCATGCTCTCTCTCTTTCCCTCTTATATACACACATGTGAAGATAGTGAGAAGGTGGCCGTCTGCAAGCCAGAAGAGAGCCCTCACCAGAAGCCTACCCTGAAGGATCTGGGTCTTGGACTTCTAGCCTCCAGAACTGTGAGATAATACATTTCTGTTTAAGCCACCCAGTCTACGATATTTTGTTATGGCAGCCTGAGCAGACTAATGTGCCTACAGGAGAGTTGTTCAGTGAAATGTGTGTGGTTGTGTGTGTGTGTGTGTGTGTGTGCATATGAGAGAGAGCTGGGTTTTGGGTTTTGATATAAAAATGTGTTTCTTAGTATTGATCATGAACAAAAAAGTTTGAGAGCAACTGTACTACCAGACTTTATGCATAGTGGGCAATCGATAAATAAATGTTTAATAACGAGGAAAGCAAAAAGAGATTGAGAAAAGAGGAAAAGAAAGAGGCAGGGAGGAACGGAGGAAGGAATGACAGAAGGGCATTAGGACAGTTTTCTGTCCTCAATATGAGCAGAAATCATGGGCCCCACCAGGCATGATTTACATAATTTGGGAAAAGTTTTGACGAAACTGAGACAGACAGAAAAAGACAGATAGGGAGTAACCAAACAGTTCACAAACCAAAACCTCATAAATCAGTCCTGACATTTCATCATCTCATTTTTTACTCATTCTGGTTTGTGAGCCTTGATATAGGAGTTTGCAATAAATTTTAATTTCCTGTTGGTTTGAGAAAATTCAAGACTGTGATATTTGAAAATACTTTTAGGCAATCCAGCTCCTTATTGCCAACTGGATTTCTCCTTGATAGGTCTGATCCGATGGTGATTCAAGCATTGCTTTGTAGCCCTAGACTGAAATAACCAGGATAACCCCGATCAGAGCAAAAGATCTTCCAGAAACCTCCTGGGTTTTTGTTTTATTTTTAATCAGACTACCCATGAACTCAATGTATATTGATGCACACAGAAGAAATAATACCAGAGACAAACAGAAACATTTCTTAATGAGAGAGGAATAAATTCAGTAGGAGAAAATAACAGTCCTAAACATGTATGCACCTCATAAGAGAACTTCAAAAAACATGAAGCAAAACCTGACAGAATTGGAGCCAAGCTGAAAAAGCTCCCAATGGCCAAAGTTGGAACATTCTGAGCAACAAAATAAATAATGTGGTATTGGATTATATCCTAAAGTATAAAATACATGGCCTTAAATCAACATGGATATAAAAATGATAGAATAGATAAAAAAGAAGACACAAATCTCCTTGTAGAAGTATCCCAAATAATATATATTTCACCCTCCCATTGAGTGTGGCTGTGCTTAGTGACTTACCTACAAAGAGTGAAGTACGGAAAGGAGAGAAAAAGTAACTTTACAGTGCAGAAACCTGGCAAATGCCGCCTTGGCCTAGTAGTCAAGGTTAACTTCATCAATAATAATTCATTGACAGCATGTACCTTTGATATGACATGATAAGAATGGCACTTCACCTCTGTGATCTTCCTTCTCCAAACCCATAGCATCAGTCTAACCATTAGAAAAACATCAGACAAACCCACATTGAGGAATAGTGTACACAATATTGGACCAGAACTCCTCAAAACTGTCAAGGTCCTTAAAAATAAGGGAAGTCTGGAGAAACTGTCATAGACAAGAAGAGGCTAAGGAGATTTAATGGCTAAATGGTATGTAATATCCTGGATTAGATCTTAGAACAAAAAACGGATACTAAGAAAGAAAGAATGACATTGAATAAACTATAGGGTCTGGTTAAAAGGCATGTTGGTTCCTTTGTGCAACAAATTAACTATAGTAATGTAAGATATTAACAGCAGGGGAAACTGGGTTCAGTGCATGTGGGAATGCTCTGTACTCTCTTTGTATACCCAAAACTATTATAAAAATAAGAGTAAAGAATCAGAACTAAAAGGAAAAAGACAAATATAGGAGATTTCAATATTTATCTCTCAATAAATTGACAGAATAAGTAGACAAAAATTAGTAAAAATATAGAAGCCTTGCACAACACTATTCATCAATCTACCTAATTGACATTTAGAGAACACTCTATCCAACAAGAGCAAAATACATACTCTTTTCAAGAGAACATGAAATATCTACAAAGACAGACCATATCCTAGGCTGTAAAACATATCTCAGTAAGTTTTAAAAGATTTAAATCATATACTATGTATTATTCTCTGACCACAAAAATTAAGCTCTAAACAAAAAGATATTGGAAAATTCCCAAATATTTGGAAATTTAAAAGCTCACTTCTGGCCAGGGGGAGTGGATCATGCCTATAATACTAGCACTTTGTGAGGCTGAGCTGGGAGGATTGCTTGAGTCCAGGAGTTTGAGAGACAGCTTCGGCAACATAGCAAAAACTCATCTCTACAAAAAATAAATAAATACATTTCTTAATTAGCCAGGTGTGGTGGTGCATGCCTGTGGTCTCAGCTACTCGGCAGGCTGAAGTGGGGGGATCACTTGAGCCCATCAGGTTGAGGCTATAGTGAGCTATGATCACACCACTGCCATCTAGCTTGGTTGACAGAGTGAGACCCTGTCTCAAAAACAAACAAACAAACAAGAAACAAAACAAAACAAAATCAAAACTCTCCTCACTTCTAAATATTTCATGGATCCAAGAAGAAATTGTAAGGAAAATTAGAAAGTATTTTTAAATGAATGGTAATGAAAACAAAATGTATCAAATCTTGTGAAATCAACCAGTACAATGATTCGAGAGAAATTTGTAATATTTAATGCTTAAATTAGAAAAGAAGGAAGATCTCACATCAATGACCTCAGTTTTCTCCTTATGAAACTAGACAAAGAAAAGCAAACTAAACCCCTAAAAAATAAAAACGAAAGAAATAATAAAAATGAGAGCATAAATAAATGAAACAAAATGGACGAAAAAGAGATAAAACTAAAAGCTTTGACAGAATTAATAAAATGGATCTACCTCTGGTGAGACTGATTTTAAAAAATAGAAGACCAAAATCACCAATATCTGGCATGAATGAGAAGACAGCACTACAGATCCAACAGACATTAAAAGAAATACAAGAGGGCTGGGTGTGGTGGCTCACACCTGTAATCCCAGCACTTTGGGAGGCTGAGGTGGGTGGATTGCCTGAGGCCAGGAGTTTGAGACCAACCTGGCCAACATGGCAAAACCCCATCTCTACTAAAAATACAAAAAATTAGCTGGGGATGATGGTGCATGCCTGTGATCCCAGCTACTCAGGAGGCTGAGACATGAGAATCGCTTGAACTGGGAGGCAGAGGTTGCAGTGAGTTGAGATCACAACACTGTAGCTGCACTCCAGCCTGTGTGACAGAGCAAGACCCTGTCTCAAATAAAAAAAAAAAAAAAAAAAAAAAAGAAAAGAAAAGAAATATAAGGGGAAAGAGCCCAATAAAAAGAAAAGAATAGGCAAATGATTTGAACAAACACTTTACCAACAGTGAGATATGGGTGGTTAAAAACGGAACAGAACAAAACAGAAACAGACCAAAAAACAAAAATTACTTACTATCATTAATCATTAGGAAAAAACAAATTAAAACCCCAATCAGATACCATTACACACCTGTTTAAATGGCTTAAATAGTTCTTTATATATTCTGGCTACAATCTTTTATAATATATACGTTTCACAAGTATTTTCTCCAACTCAGTGGCTTGCTTTTCATTTTCTTAACAGTGAATTTTGAAGAGCTAAAGTTTATGATTTTAAAGAAATCCAGTTAATTAATTTTTATCTTTCAAGGTTTGCACTTTTTATATCCTGTATAATAAAGTCTTTGTGTTAACCCAGTTCAATTTTTTAAAAACATATTTTCTTCTAGAAGCTTTATAGTTCGGCTCTTACAGTTAGTTCTATTATCCATTTATGTAAATAAATTGTGTATAACATGTGAGATTAGGGTAAAGAATCATTTTATTTTCTTATGGACATCCAGTGGCTTTTTGAAAAGACTTTCCTTTCCCTATGGCATTACATTGGCACCTTCACTGAAAATCAATTGACAATATATGTGTGGATCTATTTCTAGGCCCCCATTCTGTTCCACAGATCTATCTGTCTATCCAACACCACATTGCCCTAATTATGTAGCTTTGTGATAAATCTTAAAATCAGGCAGTGTAATTCCTCCAACTTTTATCTTTTTCAAAATAATTTTGCATTTTAATAAAAACATTTAAATAACTATTGATTTCTATAAAAAATCTGTTAGAATATTGATTTGGATTGTGTTGAGTCTATACATTAATTTGGGAAGAACTGAGATTTTAACATTATTGAGTTTTCTGACTCATAAATGTGGAATATCTCTCTATTAACCTGTCTTTCTTTAATTTCATTCCATGAAGTTTTATGTTTTAGTATCCAGGTGTTGCACACATTTTGTTAAATTTATACCTAGGTATTTTCATGTTTTTAGATGCCATTGTGTTACATTTTATTTTATTTTATTTTTCTTTTGAAACAGAATCTCACTCTGTTGCCCAGGTTGGAGTGCAGTGGTGCAATCTTGGCTCACTACAACCTCCGCCTCCCGGGTTCATGCCATTCTCCTACCTCAGCCTCCCGAGTAGCTGGGACTACAGGTGCCCGCCACCATGCCCAGCTAATTTTTTTTATTTTTAGTAGAGACGGGGTTTCACCATGTTAGCCAGGATGGTCTCGATCTCCTGACCTCGTGATCTGCTTGCCTCGGCCTCCCAAAGTGCTGGGATTACAGGCGTGAGCCACCACGTCCAGCCCAAATGTTATATTTTAAATTCTCAAGTCCTAACTCTTTGTGACTGTGATGGTTAATACTGAGTGGCAACTTGTTTGGATTGAAGGATGCAAAGTATTTTTCCTGGGTGTGTCTGTGAGGGTGCTGCCAAAGGAGATTAATATTTGAGTCAGTGGACTGGGAAAGGCAGATCCACCCTTAATCTGGGCGGTAACAATCTAATCAGCTAATCTAATCAGCTAATCTAATCAGCGGCCAGTGTAGCCAGAATAAAAGCAGGCAGAGGAACGTGAAAACATTAGACTGGCTTAGCCTCCCAGACTACACCTTCCTCCCGTGCCAGATGCTTCCTGCCCTTGAACATTGGACTCCAAGTTCTTCAGCTTTGGGACTCGGACTGGCTTCCTTGCTCCTCAGCTTGCAGATGGCCTATTGTGGGACCTTGTGATCGTGTAAGCCAATACTCCTTAATAAACTCCCCTTTATATATGCATCTATCCTATTAGTTCTGTCCTTCTAGAGAACCCTAATATAGTGACCAAAAAAAGATACAATTGATCTTTGTTTAATAAACTTGCATATTTCAACTTTTCTAATCTTACTTATTCATTCTTGTAACCTATTTGAGAATTCTTTAGGATTTTCCATGTAGATAATCATGTTGCCTACAAAGGAAGAAAGTTTTACTTCCTCTTGTCCACTGGCCATGCTTCCTCTACCCCCTGCCTCCACCCTACCCAACCTCCGCCCCATTTCCAGGATCTCCAGTACAGTGATGAATATAAGTAGTAAGAGTAATAAGATAGGACATAATCCTAGAGGAAAGCATTCAGTCTTTTACAACTAACTATAATGTTACCTGTAGGTCTTCCATGCCTGATTTTTGATCAGAATGAAGAAATTCCCATCTATTCCTGGTTTGCTGAGCTTTTATCATGAATCGAAATTGAATTTTGTCAAATGCTTTATGTGCATCTATTGAGATAATTAGTCAATTTTACTTTTTCAGTCTGTTAATATGGTGAATTACACTAACAGTTTTTAGTATTAAACCAAACTTACATTCTGAGACAAATACCAACCACTTGGTCATGATGTATTACCTTTTTTATATATTACTGGATTTGATTTGTTCAAATCTGTTAAATTTGGGTGTGGGGGCTATGTCATGAGAGAAATTTATTTTTAGTTTTCTTTTTCTGTAATGTCTTTGGTTTTGGTATCAGGGTAAAGCTGGACTCATAAAATGAACTGGGAAGTATTCCCAGTTGAATTGGTAATAGTTATACCTTAATGTTAAGTTCACCACTGAAGTCATCAGATCCTTCTTTGTGAGAAGGATAAGTACAAATCTAATTTCCTTAACTGATAATGGATTACTATCTATTTCTTTTTGAATGAGTTTCAAATAGTAAATGAGAAACAAATGGGCAAAAGATTTGAACTGCCAGTTCACCAAAGAAGATATCCAAATGCTAAATAAGGACATGAAAAATGCTCATTCATCATTAGGGAAACACAAATTAAAAACACAATGAGGTACCATTACATGCATTAGAATGGCTAAAATTAAAAATATTTATAATACTACACATTGGTGAGGACATGGAGCACCTGGAACTCTCTTACATTACTAATGGGAAATGTGATATGGTGCAGTCCTTTGAATAACAATTTAAAAGCTTTTTATAAAATTTAATATATACTTATCATATGACCCAGTAATTCAATTCTTAGATATTTACATTAGAGAAATAAAAACATGTGTTCACCCAAAGATATGTACATAAATGTTCATAGCAATTTCATCTCCAGTAGCTAAAAGCTGAAAATAATTCAAATAAAAAATTTGTTTATTCATGTACACACAAATTATAGTATTTCCTTATAATGGAATACTTCTCAATAACAAAAAGAAGTAAACTACTGATACATGTAATAACATGGTGAATCTCAAAGGCATTATGTTAAATGAAAAAGAAGCCAGATATGGAAGACTGCGTGCTGTATGTTTCAATTTTTATGAAATTCTAGGAAAAGCAAAGCTATAGTAACAGAAACCAGATTAGTCTTTGCCTGAGGCTGGAGATGATGAAATGAGATTAGCTGCACAGGGTCATATGAATACCTTTTTGAGTGATGGAAATGTTCTATATCTTGATTGTGGTGGTGACTATACAACTGTATACACTCATCAAACTATACATTTAAAAATGGGTGGATTTTATTGTATACAGATTATAACTCAATAAAATTATAAATTTTTATAACTGAAAAAAAAAAAAACAAAACCAGGTATGGTACTTCATCCCAGAGTGGTAAGGCCCTACAAAGCCACATGACACGACACTCTGTGGATGCAGGGAAATGTGAAGAATTTGAGCGGTTAAGATTAATGAAATCAATCTGCTATAAAGGGTTTGATTATAATAGAACCTATCAATTGTTGGAGCTAAAAAGAATTCCTTCAATAAAGAATTTGTTACTTCACACCCGCATTTATGTTGTCTTTTGTTCCCAACTTTTGGCTGGTACTCTGATGTCATTCCATATTACCACTTGAACTTAAGTCTAATGTTTTTGTGCTTGGATCCCTTTTAGTGACTAAGAGACTAATAATTTAAAAGTTTTGGTCATCTGGCCAATCTTAGGTGATCTTTACTTAAACTCCTGGGTACTTGCAATGCCAGCATTTCATATATTATTCTTTCTCAGTAGAAAAGCTGAATGACTAAAGACAAAAAAAGTTAATAAGCTATCATGAAAAACCATTTAGGGATTTTATACACTTTCTCTTTAAACGTAACAAGCCATTCACATGATCACTACAATTTATGGAAAAATAAATTATTGCCATTGCAGACACTGTAGTCAATGAATAAAACCCTTCACCCTATTCCTCTAAGAGTGCCATATGCAGGACTATCTCTTCCTCAAGAGGCCTGAGTTCTAGTAATGAGAAAATTGGTTCTGTCCCGTAGAATCCCATGAGAAATTGAGATTGGAACCACAACACAGAGAACAGAAACTTTTCATACTTTTAAAGTTTCTTCTCCAGTTTGGTATGAACAAAGCTTTGTATGCAAATCAAGAATACATTAAAAAATATTCTCCCGCTGGGCGTGGTGGTTCACGCCTGTAATGCCAGCACTTTGGGAGGCTGAGTCGGGTGGATCCTCTGAGGTTGGGAGTTTGAGAGCAGCCTGACCAACATGGAGAAACCCCGTCTCTACTAAAAATACAAAATTAGCCAGGTGTGGTGGCTCATGCCTGTAATCTCAGCTACTCAGGGGGCTGAGGCAGGAGAATCACTTGAACTCGGGAGGCAGAGTTTGCGGTGAACTGAGATTGCGCCATTGCACTTTAGCCTGGACAACAAGAGTGAAACTCCGTCTCAAAACAAAACAAAACAAAACAAAACAAACAAACAAAATATATATATATATATACACACACATATATATACATATATATATATATATTCTCCCAAGAGCACAACTTTGTGACCTTCTGCAAATGACAGAGTCAGTCTGGTACAGAGGTGGGGGGTTGTATTTTGCCAAGTTTAGAATTAATTCAGTCTCTTTAGTCTAGGCAAATCCCACCAATAAGAACAGTTTGATGTTCAAATTTGTTTACGCTTTGTAAAATAGAACTTCCTGGTTTTTAATTCTGTAAAGATTTTTTGAAATGAAGTGGCATCTAAATATTGGTTTGATGAGTTAAATGCAAATGAATCAGAAATATATGGATACACCTTCCCTCAAATTTACCCAAAATTTTAATAAGGAAGTACTAGCCAAACATACTTTGGGTTGTGTTTAAATATCTGGCAAAGCATTTCAAAACATCTGGGGAACCCAGACTGCATTCCAAATGGAAATTTTTTTTCTGTTTGGGTGTTTTGTTTAAATTTTACATGGGAAACAAAACACTTGGATTTATCTCCACAAATATGAATCTATTTTCAGTATTTATACCTCACCTGTCACACTGACAGGAAAGTTTTCATAATTTTTTTCCTGGAAATGAAATCAATTTTCAGAGTGATGAGAGATTCTGTTGAGCTGAGAGTAGTTCAAATCTAGGTTGGGCAAGTCTCCAAGCCTTCTTTTGACACCTGGTTCTTCTCCGCCACCCCAACCAAGCCCAGTGTCCTCTAGCTGAGTTAGGAACCTCTACTTGACATCATTGTGCATGAATCCCATTCTTGAATGTAGCAAATGGATCCCTTTTCAGCTCCACTTATTCTTCTAGACCTCAGGGTTCTCATCTTCAATTTCTGTCCTGTTTCCAGACTTTGCTCCAACTCAGCTCTCTGGCTCTTTCTACTCTGGGACCCCTCGGTAGGGTATCTCCACTCTAATTCAGGATTTTTGGGACAAACTCTTTCTCTCCCCTCACGCAGCTCCCTATGAAGGGAAGCCTCTCTCTGAGTCTGGACTGTTCTGGTCATGGAAGGGGATGGAGGCCACCGGAGGACCTCAATGAACTCAGTGAAGAACTCAATGAATGTAAGGCCAAGGTCTTAGGAGGAGAAATTCCTACTGATTTGGGATGAATGGCTACAGAAACTTCCAGAGGTAGTTGTCAATGGAAATAGGACAGTAAAATTTGGTTTGGGGTGCCCTGGTCCAATGACATGTAAGTTACTGGGAAGTATGAGAATCTCTCTGTCTGTCCAGCCAAGGGCAGACGGTGAAGGACAGTTATAAGGCAATGATTCAAACAGTCAATTAATTGGGTCTTCAAAATTTTTTTCTACTGTTTTCTACTGGTTCTCTTTGTTTTTGTTTGTTTTTTCTTAGGCTCCTCTCATGCTTATCTACTGGTTCTCTTCGTAATTTTGATAATTAGGACCTCAAAGGGGGAAAAGTCAAGACGAGAGATAAAACTCAAACTGATCAGCTGTGCTACCTTTTAGCAGTTACAAAGTTTGAGTTTATGTCTGAATCACTAGGTAAAGCAGAAAGATTAATGACCAAGTGAACTGTGCATGTTGGAAGGACTGGTAATTTATGTCTTCTCCTTCCCACCTGACACTTCAATCAGAGGAGGACTACTGAATCAAAGGAATTTTTAAAAGACCAATTCTTTGACATGAGAACAAAGGCCCAATTCTGAGACCAAGCCTGCTGATTAGGGAACTGCTCGTTCCCCACCGTGGATTTAGACTGGTGGTTTCCAAACCTGGCTGCGCATTAGATTCACCTGGGAAACCTTAAAAAATAACAATGGCTGGGCCAAAACCCAATGCTGGGTGTAGCCCAGGCATCAGCATTTAAAAAAAAAAAACAACTCCCTGGTTGATTCTTAGGTACAATCAGAGTTGAGAATCATTGGTTTAGATTGTATTATTAGGTTGGTGCAATCTGAGAAAATTAATGTTTGTCTTGTGGAGGTGTACTTACTTTAAGAGGTCAACTAGTACAGAAACTGGGAATGGTGCAAAATAAACTTGAACTCGAGGATCCATGTCCACCCTCATCCATGAAATTACAGACACTCCTTCATGTTCTCATTGTCTCCCAAGCTAAAAGTGTCAATAAACACTCATGTTCACCCTGCTAAAGATTGCAGGGGAGGGATTCCTTAAACTGCAGCTTTCGGTAAGCATTCCAGGAGTAAGATCTCTTCCCATGAGTACAGGTAGGTGTGGAGTTTTCCCAGAGGAGGGGATGTCATTTTCTCTCTGGGAATGGGTTCTGGACCCATTAAGTACAAATTTATTTCAGTTTCAGCCTTTGTCCCTCCTGTGCTACAGTTTCTTTCTGAAAGTATACCAACCCACCAGTAAAGAAATCTGCCTGTGTCTTTGCAGTTTGTGTGATGATATTGTGGTGACTGAGGGGGTAAAGTGGCAAAAAGAAGCGGGTCCTCCTGCCTCCTTCTTTCCTGGAGAAAAGGTGGACAGCCCATCGGGAGGAACAGCACTGCAGAGGACCAGATAATAGGCTCCCACAGATAAGCCAGCAGCTGAGGAGGCAGACAGTTCCTAGTCTCTAGAGGATCTCTGGAAAAAGGATTTGTTCAAGAAGAAACAAATTTTCTGACACCATCACACAGTATGTGCTAAAAAATCTTGTATAAATGACTTCAAAAAAATTCCTGATTCATAGCCTTGGCCAATTTTCATCAAGTAAATACTCCTACCATTGCCAATTTCAGGCTACCGACCCGTAAAATGTGTCACTGAAAGAGGAGTTGGGAAGAAATGTGCAAAATCAATTCTGGCAGCCTGCTAGGAGCAGACTTTAGCACATTCTTGTCCCCATGAGTGAGGGGTGCTGGCCCCTTGCAGAAGGAGGGGACCAGCAAATTCTTAGAGGTTCTGGTGTATTTTCTATAATTTTGTGCACTCTGTGTGTTTTTTCTCCTCTTTTAACACAATCAACCAGCATTCAGCTCTGATTCTTTCAAGTATGACCTCATGAACTCAGGCTAAAATAAGTCATTTATCAGAACCAAAATCTGTACTTGGATCCAAATAGGCAGAAAAGGCCGAGGACTGCACCTTTCATAAAATAAGAACGACAAATATTTTTGAATGTTTTCCCACATTATTCTAGTCACAAACAGTTTGAGATGGTCGATAACAGGTACCATTTACTGAGTGCCCACTATGTACCAGGTCCATGTATTAACTCATTTTATCTTTATAACCCTATTAGGAAGTTACTATTATTAGGACTACTGTACCTTTTAAACAAATAAGAAGGGATTCACCATGTCTATTATAATAATAATAGTAATAATGTATAGTTTCATTCAGAGTATTCACCATGGTGATTACTCTGAATGAAACTATACATCATTCTAGACTATTCAAAAGGCAGTTTGATATGGTTAAAAATAGCTGACATTCATTGAGTGCATACTATATACCTGGTGATTTCATGAACTCTCCATTGGATTTTTATAGTTATCTATGAATCAGATGTTACTATGTTTATTTTACAGTTAAGGAAAGAGAGGACAGAAAGTGACTTCATGACAGTCAGGTAATTTGTTGATGTCAAGGCCAAGTATAAAACCCAGGCAGCCTGGCAGCAAAGCTCACTCTTACATATAGGACCCCACTACTTTTCCAAGCAAGAACATCACTAGGTGATATGTTTTAGCTGTGTCCCCACCCAAATCTCATGTTAAATTGTGATCCTGTGTGTTGCAGGTGGGGCCTGGTAAGAGATGATTAGATCATAGGGCTGGTTTCTAATGGTTGAGCACCATCCCTCTAGTGCTGTCTTGTGATAGAGTTCTCATGAGATCTGGTTGTTTGAAAGTGAGTAGCACCTTCCCCTTTGCTCTCTGATGGCCATGTGAAGATGTAGCTGCTTCCTCTTCACTTTCCCTTCACCTTCTACCATGATTGTAAGTTTCCTGAGGTCTCCCCAGAAGCAGAAGACTATACAGCCTGCAGAATCGTGAGCCAATTAAACATTTTTTTTAATTAATTACCCAGTCTCAGGTAGTTGTTTATAGCAATGTAAGAATGGACTAATACACTAGGCAAATCCCTAACCTTTGATGTGGATGTCTGGCCTCATTTTAAAAGACTGCACTTCTTACTTAAATGTGTCTCCACAATCACCCTTCTCAATACACACACATTCTTCAGGGTATAAATGGTGTACTATGGTTGGAATGTGTTACGTGTTGGAAACTTGGTTGCCACCGTAGCAGAGTTAAGGGGTAGGGCCTTTGGTAGACAATTGGCAATGAATGGATCAATGCCATTTTTGAATGAATGGGTTAGTTATCATGGGAATGGGTTCCTGACAAAGTCAGTCCCCTTCCTCTCTTTGTCTCATAGGCTCACTTCTGCCTTCTGCTCTTCCACCACGGGATGACTCCTCAGATGCTGATACCATGTTTTTGGATTTTCCAGCCTCCAGAATCATGAGCTGAATAAGCTATTTTCCTTTTTTTTTTTTTGAGACAGAGTCTCACTCTGTCACCCAGGCTGGAGTGCAGTGGCGCGATCTCAGCTCACTGCAAGCTCCGCTTCCCGATAGCTGGGACTACAGGCGCCTGCCACCACACCCAGCTAATTTTTTTGTATTTTTAGTAGAGACAGGGTTTCACTGTGTTGGCCAGGATGGTCTCGATCTCCTGACCTTGTGATCCACCTGCCTCGGCCTCCCAAAGTGTTGGCATTACAGGCATGAACCACGGCGCCTGGCCTAAACTATTTTCTTGACTCAGTCTGTGGAATTGTTACACCAACAGAAAATGACTAAAACACACTGTGTTTTCACTTTGGTGTTAGATACTGTTTAGCATTATGTTATTGAGGTCTGTAATTTAGAGCTGAAATATTCAGATGCCAACATGTCAGGAGATGAATTTGGAATCAAGTGCAATTCTCCTAATTGCTAATCAAATTCAATGTTATCCCCTTAAAAACCATTCCTAAGCCATACACACTTCAGCTGAACTTAAAGGGTTAAAGGACGTCTGCCAGATTTCAGGAGAATTCTGTTGATCTCAACCTTTAGACTCTTTAGTACTAAAATATTTTGGAAGTTTCTACTTCACTGAGTGACATAATTTACACCTTTCATTCTAGGGTTGTCTTTACTGAACCACACAGTGGTGTTCTTATGTAGACAAAGCTACTGGAGTTTAGAAACAGGAAGAGCTAGAAACTCGCATTTTAAAGCTTACCCAGTGGGGTATTTCCTTAACTTTCCAAATTCTGACATGTGTTAGGTAGTCAGGAAAGAATAATGAAATTCCCCAGGAAAAGCGTTCCATAAATGGCAGCTGTTAAAATGTGGTTTTCTAGGTAGCTATGGGCCTGATTTCCATCCCATTCTTCTTACCTCATGCAGGGCTGGTCTTAGGTTGCTTTTGCAGAGACAGATCTAGGGTCCTGCAGGAAAGCCAAAGCCTTCCAGAACAGCTCAACAATAGCTCAGCGGCTCTCCAGCACACCGCTGAGTCTCCTTCTGAGAGTGTGTGTCGGTGTCACACAAGAGCTATGCTAGTTTTCAATCGCTGCTCTCATCGGAAATAATGCCAGCTTCAATTAAGTCCTGTCAGCTCAGTCAGCACCATCTGATGAGGGGAAGGGGAGGAGGTACTTCTTCAGTGGAAAGAAAACACTAGGAACCACAACAGAGATACAAGGCCTAGCAAGGAGCCTTAAGTAAGAAAGGATAAGATCAGTGGTGTTGAAGATGAAAAAGGACAAGCGATTTCCGGAGGGTCCATCAAAAGTAGCTGCACAGTGTAGAGTTGTCAAGAAATTTGATTCGGCCCTGAAGGCCTGCAGGGGTGAAGAGGAGTTTGAGAGGTTCTGGTCCTGGGGCCCAGAGGGGAGTGGCAGATTTGAATTATGGGTTCACACCTGTAGCCTGTGGTCGCCAAACCATGGCTGAGGGAGAGATGTGTGGGAATTAAAAGATCCAGATAGTTCTGCTATAACATGATACATGCATTCCTAAAACTCACTGTGTTATGCAAAATTGCACAATAAAAACCACAGGCTTAGAGAAAAGACAGGGTCAGGGGCACAGTACCTAAACACTTTGTTGGTAATATAAAAAAGATAGGAACTTAATAAAAATGATAGCACAGTTTTGTGCATGTTAAATAATGAAAAAAATGTAAATACTACAATAAATATGGCACTTTATCTTTAAAAATACCTGCCATTTGCTGATGGAAGAGGGAGCTGAGAGGGTTGCTGCTTGTGTTAGGATGAAGTAGTAGAAGAAAGATCACCAACATTTTTGATTTTTTGCAGCCTTAAAATTCTGAAATGTGGGCCATTTGAAGCATGCATTTATAATGGATATCCGTTTCATCAAAATTGAAAATTTGAAAATGTAGCATTTTCTTCTTTAGTTAATTTCTGTATCCCTGCTGGAAATTCCTTTGCAGTTTTCTCATCCACACTTGAGGACTTCACTCAATAGCTGAAGTCTTTGGAAATTGTGGTGATATTTGAAATCACCAAATCAGCCCCTCATAGAACAAAAGGTGTCATTTCTGCAGAATGTGGTAATTTCCATTAAGGTTTTTGCACGTAGATAGTGCTTTCTCTTTGTGAGCGAGGTTGCCCTTATTTTTCACCACCTAGTTTTCGGTTTCAACAATGCTCATCTTTCCATCTCTTCTATGTCTTCATGCCTTTTTTTTTTTTTTTTTTTTTTTTTTTTTTTTTTTGAGACGGAGTCTTGCTCTGTCACCAGGCTGGAGGGGTGCAGTGGTGCAATCTCAGCTCACTGCAACCTCCGCCTCCCAGGTTCAAGCGATTCTCCTGCCTCAGCCTCCCCAAGTAGCTGGGACTACAGGCACTTGCCACCATGCCCAGCTAATTTTTGTATTTTTAGTAGAGATGGGGTTTCACCATGTTGGCCAGGATGGTCTCGATCTCTTGACCTCGCCTATAATCCCAGCACTTTGGGTGTCCAAGGTGGGTGGATCATGCCTTATTCTTATTGATTTCTCAGCACTTGAACTTATTCCATCCACAGACATTTCTTTTATTTCTATGGTCTGTTGCTTGGGAGATAGCATAGGTTCTCTTGATTCTCTCAAAATGCTTTACTTCAATTTCCCCCCTCAATACACAAAGCTTTTCTTTCCCATGCCCTGCTTGTGATGCTTAGACATGTTGGAGATGTTGAATGAATTCTTTTTAATACACAACACTTTACAAATGTGAAAGAATAGGAAAATATAACCTCGTAGGATGACCCAGTTGGTTGTGATAAGTAGATTAGTTAGAATAACACATCTGCAAGGTAGTAGGGCAGATGCGTGGAATATGTGCATGTGGCATTTTGTGAATCCTGACAAGACTCAGTTCAGCTGGGTGCCATCTTCTATGTTAATCTAGTTTTCTCTTGCAGATAAAATTGCCTATGAGAAACTTGAATTATGTTCACATTGTCCCCAATACTTTAATTCAATCACAATAAATTCACATTTTAAAAACAAGTGTTAATAACCAACTGTATATGTACCTCTGTTCATGTATTTTCTCATTTGATCATGTTAATAATTCTGGGAGGTAGATAGGAAAGTTAATATTCCCATTACACGGATGGAAAAAACTGACTCTGAGGAATGTCCCACAGCTTGGAAATGAGTCTGGAAATACCAGAAGTTAAGATAAGAGCTCTGACCACGTTTAAGTCCCTGTTCCTACTAGTTCCTAAAGCCAGTTCAACTCACTGTCTTCTGCAAGTTGGGTGTTGTGAGCCAAGGAATTTTCTTCTTTTGCTTAAAGTAGTTTGAGGTGGGTTTTTGGGTTGTTTTGTTTTGTTTTGTTTTGTTTGAGACAGAGTTTCACTCTTGTCACCCAGGCTGGAGTGCAGTGGCACTATCTCGGCTCACTGCAACCTCTACCTCCCGGGTTCAAGTGATTCTCCTGCCTCAGCCTCCCAAGTAGCTGGTATTACAGGCGCCCACCAGCACGCCCGGCTGATTTTTGTATTTTTAGTAGAGACAGGGTTTCACCATGTTGGCCAGGCTAGTCTCGAACTCCTGACCTCAGGTGATCCACCCGCCTCAGCCTCCCAAAGTGCTGGAATTACAGGCATGAGCCACCGCGCCTGGCCTCCAGGTGGGTTTTTTGAGTAATGCAGAGCCTCAGTGAATATGGGGTTACCTAGGTAATATTCAAATTCTCTACCAGCTCTGACTTTCTGCCACGTTTTGATTTTTAAACTAACTCTCTTCAGGTAGAGGGCACTGTAAACTTCAAGGTTTGCCTTTGAAACAGGAGGCTCTGCCTGTGCCGTGCTGTGCTGCAGGCACAGGATAAAGGAAAATTGTTCCTTCATCCCCTGGGTGCTGGCGGAGAAAGTCCCCGGTCAGAGAAGCTGGGAACTTTCTTTTGGAGGGGATTGGCTAGGTTTGCACCCATTTAGACATGGCCTTTTCTAAAGACAGTGACCCTTCACTGTTCCTGTCACTGCCATTGCGATCTGTGTCATCAGCCTTGCTCACCGGCAGAGCAGATGCTCTGGGTGTAGTGGATCCTCCTCTTTCCCCTAGTCCTGTGGTGTCCCGACTGCTCCCAGTCAAACCCAGCCGAGTGACAGGAAGGGATTCCAACATTGGGCTCAAGCATGACTACTCCTGCTGCTGCTCTTCAGTGAGCACCCCTCCGTGCCCTGGGCCTCTGAGAAGCACTTCACATATTCATTCATTACTTTCACTGGTATTTGTTGAGAGCCCATCATGTGCCAGGATGATTCTTTTTTGTGTGGTTTATTTCATTTACTTCCTACAATTGGAATGCCCAAACAGACTGGCTCCAAGCCCACGCGCCTACCCCTGTGCCTTTCTGCTTCTCTCATTCAAGGTTGCTAGACACTCAGTCTGCCCCAATCATTTTCCTACTTACTGGAGACCTGAAAAACTTGTCAATGACCTTCCCATGACCGGGATAACAATTTCTAAACTTGTCACTGCCTGTTATGTGTGGGTACAGATGTATTTCCCTTCCACTTTGATAGCATATGCATGAGTGTCACCTTTGTGCAGGTTTTGATGAGCTTTAGGCTCCCTTCCTCCCCCCGCCCCTTCCTGTCTTTCTTTCTTTCTTATTTTCAAATTCATGCACTGGGACCTGCTCTACAAACTTGAGAGAAAAAGTGAAAGAACAAAGAAGGCAGAGCAATCTAAATACCGAAAGTGTTTTTTTTTTTTTTAAACTTCATGAATGGGGCCTTTGAACTCGCCAGCCATAGCTCCTTCCTAACCTGTACCTTTCATGTCCTGTTTCCAGCTGGCATGGAAAATCTGAGGTGCCCTGGTCCTGAGCCTGTGCTGAAACCTGGCCGTGGGTTGTGTCTCTCATTCCTCCATCAGCAGTGGCAGCCACAGTTGCTGGAGCGGAGGTGAGCCAGGCACTTCCTGCCAGGCGCTAAAGTCCATTGCAACAGTCACAGAACCAAGCTGGGAAGGGAAACAAGCCTGCATGAGCCTTTGCCCAATGTGCCCAAGGACAGCCACAACAAAAAAGGACGAGGAGAAATTCTTGCATCCAGTGGGCATGGGGCTGGGGAGGAAGGGGGTGTTTCTGGGTGCTGGGACTTTCTGCCATGACTATAACCCAGGTTCTCAGCACAAGGGATGTGATTCATGGCCAAGAAATTCCCCATGGCCTTGGATGACATTTACATTGATTACTTCTGAGTCACATTTCTGGGAGAATATTTTTTTTTTCTCACCAAAGGCAAACTGAAGGGAAAATGGCATGGATAGTGGTTTGGAGACAACAGAGGAAATGGGGTCACTTGTGTTATTAGTAGAAGAGTTAAAGACATGCAAGAATGGAAAGAAAAACAAGGCCAAAAAGAAAGGACATTAAGAGGTGGGAATCATCTCCGAGTGGAATGAGGAGAATTGAGGTCTCAGGATTTGTAGTTTCATAACTCTGGGGATGAAGGGATGGGGGCAGCCGAAATGGACTCTGCCCTTTTGTCTCTTGTAACGACAGAAATTTAGAATGTAAGAGTTGGGGCCATCACTCACGCATTTATTTCACAAGTATTTGTTGAGCACCTTTGGTCTTCCAGATTCTAGGCACGGGAGATGTAGTGGGGGAACAATGTAAAGTCCTGCCCTGGTGGCATTTATCTCAGTGGAAGAGAAAGACAACAAAGGAATGGCCAATCAAATGGTACATTTTAATTCGACCCTTTTGACTTATTAACAGAAATGCAACAGATCCAGGATGGTGAGAACATGCACACTTTGCTGCACCAGGGGGGAGGACAAAGGAATGTGACTCGTCAGTGGCACTGGACTTCAGCAGTTCAAAGGGTTGTCTTGGAGTCCTGACTCTCCCCTTTCCTGGAAGAATAGGCAGGGGTGTGGGCCTGCTTGGAAGGGGAAAAATAGAGGGTGTCCCTGATCCCCCTATTATGTATGTTCTAAGCCTCATCCAAGTAAAAGCCTTCTTAATGCAAATGTAGAAGATGTCAGTTAAACCATGAACTCCAGAAGTGTGTCTGAAAACAAGAAAGCAATGTCCCAAGTCCAGTAAGATTTTAATTTTTTTTTTTTTCAGACAGGGTCTCACTTTGTTGCCCAGGCTGGTCTCAAACTCCTGGCTTCAAGCGATCCTCCCACCTTGGCCTCCCAAAGTGCCAAGATTATAAGCATGAGCCACTGTGTCCAGCCTTCCAGTAGGATCTTAAACCACCAACAGAAAAACAAAACAAACAGAAAACACTTTTCACCAGATTAGCATGACTTCTGCTTGACTTGGAATAATAAATCTCAGGCTATGTCTTACAAAGCATTATTTGTGGCCAACAGGCAGGAATTTGCAAAGCAAAGGAAAGCAATATTGAGGAGTACAATGCGCCAAGCATCAGTTATCAAAGATCTGGGTTCCCATCTGGGCTTGCCACTCACTGGCCCCCGGAGGGAGTCCTATAAGCTGGGTAGATGGAAAACAGAACATCAAGAGACCCAGGGAAGGACTCAACCAGGATGGGAACAGGCATGGCTAGAGAGAAGGTGGGCACCCGAAAAGACGAGATCAACTGGACCAACATCAAGAGCTGCAGTGAGCGGCTGGGACCCCAGCATCTCCCAAACCTCCAAGAAGCCAGAGTGAAGGACAAGGACTGAGATGCTTCCAGAACCTGAGTGACCCGGATTCAAGGAGGGCTGGGAGGGTGCAGGGGTGTCCAATCTTTTGGCTTCCCTGGGCCACACTGGAAGAAGATTCGTCTTGGGCCGCAGATAAAATACACTAACGATAGCTGATGAGAAAAAAAAAAAAACCTTAAAAATAATCTCATAATGTTTTAAGAAAGTTTATGAGTTTGTGTCAGGCTGCGGGTTGGACAAACTTGGTCTAGAGGAAGAGCTGAAGGCTGCCTGGCTACCCTGCTGCTGAGAGGAAGGCAGTTTTGCCTGACTGGAGCCTGTATTTTCTAAACCCAGGGCAGAACTCCCCAACACCCTTGGGCCACACACCCTCTCTGGCCATCTGCCTGCTGTCTTGACCCTACCTTCTGGACCACCCTTCAAGGCTCTGTCCTCCCAACTGACCTCCCAGGAACTGCTACACAGCAATTCATCCAGGACAGGTAGCCTCAGAGTGAAGTCTTTATTAAAGCCAGTAACAACTTTGGGAGGCCGAGGCGGGCGGATCACGAGGTCAGGAGATTGAGACCACGGTGAAACCCCGTCTCTACTAAAAATACAAAAAAAAAAAAAAAAAAAAATTAGCCGGGCGTGGTGGCAGGCGCCTGTAGTCCCAGCTACTCAGGAGGCTGAGGCAGGAGAATGGCTTGAACACAGGAGGCAGAGCTTGCAGTGAGCCGAGATCGTGCCACTGCACTCCAGCCTGGGCGATAGAGCGAGAGCGAGACGACGTCTCAAAAAAAAAAGCCGATAACAAAACATGACAATAACGAGAGAGGGAGGGAGAGATAGAGAAAGAGAGATAGAGAGAGAGAGAGGAAAGGTAGGAATGGAGGGGAAGGGAAGAAAAGGAAAAGTGGAAGGAGAGAGACAGCCATGGGAAGTCTTCAGCTAAAGGCTGGCTGAGGCTGGAGCCAGAAGAGCCAGCAGCAGGTGAGAGTGGGTAACGCTAACCAAAGAGAGAGTTGGAACCAGCCCAGCGCTTCCTGATAATCTCCAGGGACCACCAAGGTGCAGCTCGACCAGACTCTCCCCAGCAACTCTCTTCTTTTTTTTTTTTTTTTTTTTTTTTTTTTTTGAGACGGAGTCTCACTCTATCACCAGGCTGGAGTGTGGTGGCACGGTCTCAGCTCACTGAAACCTCCGTCTCATGGGTTCAAGTGATTCTCCTGCCTCAGCCTCCTGAGTAGCTGGGATTACAGGTGTGCGCCACCACGCCCAGCTAATTTTTGTGTTTTTAGTAAAGACAGGGTTTCACCGTGTTGGTCAGGCTTGTCTCAAACTCCTGACCTCCTGATCTGCCTGCCTCGGCCTCCCAAAGTGCTGGGATTACAAGCGTGAGCCAACGCACCTGGCCGCAACTCTCTTCTTAATCACTGTCATCCCTCTTGCTTGGTTCTCAGAGTTCTGCTCTTACTCCCAGCACCCAATCCCCCACTCAATAAGAGACGGGAGGGGAGCTCAGCTCAGATTCTGCCTCCTGTTCCTACACATTCCCAAGAAGCCTCATCCTGCTGGAAAGGCCTCAGCTACTCCTTCTGAAGCCTGTTTCTTTCTTTCTTTCTTTTCTTTCTTTCTTTTTTTTTTTTTTGTTGAGACAGAGTCTCACTCTGTCACCCAGGCTGAAGTGCAGTGGTGTGATCTTGGCTCACTGCAACCTCCGCCCTCTGGCTTCAAGCAATTCTCCTGCCTCAGCCTCCCGAGTAGCTGGGATTATAGGTGTGCGCCACCACACCCGGCTAATTTTTGTATTTTTAGTAGAGACGGGGTTTCACCATGTTGACCAAGCTGGTCTTGAACTCCTGACTTGAGGTAATCCGCCTGCCTCAGCCTCCCAAAGTGCTGAGATTACAGCGTGAGCCACCGTGCTCGGCCCCTAAGGCTTCTTTCTATCTGTCTGGCTTCAGGCCACCCACCAAAGCCAATCAGAAGTGGCAGATCAAAGCTTTGTTGGTTGCAGAGAATATGATTTTGACGTGTGTGTGTGTGTGTGTGTGTGTGTGTGTGTGTGTGTGTGTGTAGGAGAAATGTAGATGTTGTACTTATAGCTCCAAGAAAAGGGATTTGTGTTTCATAGGTCAGGGCTAAAAAGGGTCTCTTAGCTTGGTGGCCATCCAACAATATGAATTAAGCCAGACCCAGCAGAATCTGTGATTGAGTAAATACCCATAATGTACTCCCGTATATGCTGTGTGCTCTACAGTTCCTTACCTGGAAATGAGATAAATTACTATTATTGTTGTTACTATTACTTTTTCTTGAAAAAGGAGACAGAGCATGTGATGTGCTGCTGGCTTAAATCAGTGAGGGGTGTTATGAGAGACATTCAGGGTGAACCTCTGAGCCCATCATGTCTCTGGTTAAAGAAACAGAGAATCTGTACCCTGGCTGGCAGCCTGGTGATTGCTGAGAGACAGAGGGGAATGCCTAGGACGAAAATGTCCCAGAAGTGGTGGTCTAGCCTTACCAGGGACCAGCGGAAGCCCATTATCAACATGAATTGCATTTCTTTGTCATTTTTAAATAATTGTTTTATTTCAGAAATGATATTAAAATAACAGAAGGCCAAAACAAAAATATCCCCAATCCCATCCTGAAATCAAATCAATGACAAGTATGCATGATATACATCAAATATAAAATTCTGTCCATGATGTTATTGAGAATACCAAGCCTGCATGTGGACATCCCCAGGCAGGTGACACCAGCAAATCACTGTGGGTTTTCTCAGACTCAAGCCCACCCATCCTATCCTCCACCAAGTTTTCAGACACTTATCAAGATGCTGTGGCTTTGAAACCATGAAGGAAGGAAACCCAAAGCTCAGCCAAACTCCAACTATTCTCATTCTTCCTCTCCCATGTGCCAGTCTACCCCTTTGAAACATTTCCAAAGTTCTCCTTGGGAGGCAGAGCTGCTACATTGTGTCTTGGCCCCTTGATTTGATGGCAGTGAATGAATCAAGTTTATACGTTTGCCACCAAACAAATGGAGCTTCATCTGTGGTTGTTTGTACATGTGTATGCTTTTGCATTTCAATGGCTTCTTCCTTCCCTAACCTAATCTGCTAAATGCAACATTTACAACCAGCCTTGCAGGCATTATTTGCCCCCGACTGGGCCCTGATCACCTCAAATAAAGGCTGCCAGCTTCCCCTGCCAGAAGCAAGAGGCACCGGGAAAAATGGAAATTGGACGATAGTCTTGTATACTCTCTGCTCTGCCATGAATGGCCTTCAACAGGAAACCAATCAATGGAATCAAAAGAACACAGTTTCCTGTTAACATAGAGCGATGCCAAATCCACCAGACTTATCGTTTCATGCCCTGTGCCAGTCATTGTCAACTATAGTGTAAGTAATAACATATGACTGGAGTTGTGGTTTTAGTAGAAGATTCTTTTGCTTTTGGCACTGTGCACACACCTTCATATGCTTTATTGCCCTTGCCCAAACCTAGGGAGCTTTCTTTTCTTTTGAGATTTCTTTTCCCCTAAAGAACTATTTCTGGCTGTTTTGCTGCATACCAGTTCTTAAAACCCTAGCCAGCCGACTCTTAATTCTCGACAGTCTTTTCTTAAGCAACACTTTATATATATATATGTATACATATACATATATATAAAATAATAATAATTATTATTATTATTGCATCACATGGGGCTAAAATAAACCCACTGTGTATTGGCTCTTCCACAATCCTGCTTTTCCTCTGAAAATGGCTAGTTCCCTAAGACTGGCTTTGGGAGAGAAAACCTCTCACATAATATTTTTCTTACTTTCCAGGCTGATCTTGAAGGTGATGATAGGTCATAAGCCGCAGCCTCTGCAAGGATGTTACAACCCCTGGAGCAGGCGGAAAGTACATGTGTGCTTGGAATGCAACAAAAGGGAAAAGTCACTAGTGTGGTTTGGACAGGGCCTTGCATTTTTAACCCTTTACCCAAACCTAAAGAAAACACAACTCTGTTAGCAACTTAGAAGTTTTTTCCTAGAGTGACATGATTAAGGTGGGGGTGTGACTAGTTATCTGAGTCATTTTTTTCAGACAGTTTGGCTTAGTGGTTAAGAGCTTTGGTACCAGATGGAATGGGTTCAAATCCCAACTCTCTCCCTTAACATCTGCATGATTCTGGGAAAGTTGATAAAGTTTCTGATGCTCACATTCCTCGTCTATAAAACAGAGAAAACACTTGTGTTCTGGGGTTGTCCTCAAGAATATGAGTAAAGAACTGGGGTTTTCCTCTCTGCCTTTAGCAGTAAGGACGCCTTTAGCAGTAAGTGTACCTGGTAAGTGCTCAGTGAGTGGCATCATGATTATGAGGCAAGCACTGACCCCTGCTCCAATCCTGCTGGCGTTCAAGGCTTTGACTCAAGTCACCTCTCGTTTTGTATGGTTTAGTCAGGTGAACCAATAACCAATGTATTAGCAATGCATTTCTTGGTTCTCAGAAGATGGTATTAAGCCTCTGATGCTAGCACATTAGGAAGTGATCATGTGGAAATGTGGAATTATCAGACACACGGCTACCTGGGAGAGAGAGTAGGGGGTTGGAGATGAAAAATAATTGGTGGAAAGGTCTTCATTTTTCTCCCATTCCCTCATGGGCATGCAGGAACAACTGATTACTGTGTGTGTGTGTATGTGTGTGTGTGTGTGTGCATATGTGGTCTTTGTATTCCTTTCTTTGGTTGAGCCCTAAGAAAACTTTCAGTACAGTGTCCCAGGAAGCTACCACCAATAGATAGAAATTAACCTTTTATATGAAACTTTCTTTCCATCCCATCTAAGGCTGGCTGGTGAAGGTGGAAGCCTTTTTTGTTTCAAAAAAAGGTCTGTGTGTGCTGGTTTCTACTTGAAGCTAAAAGTTTTAAGTGCTTTTGTCTTCTGTACCCAGGTCTGTTGGCAGAAAATCTCGTATGACTTCCCCCAAGTCCATCTAAGAGAGAAGTTGCTTGCTTGCCATATTATCTTGGCTTCTTCCTACTACCAACCCCAGCACCAAGGACCATTTCACAAAAGAATCCCTCTCCTCGAGACTCAGTTTCCCTTTGGTGTGTCAGGACCTTAGCTTGAGAATGAGAAGAAATCCCTGCAAAATAGAAAAGTTGAAGTCTACAGTCTGATTGGTTTGGATTGAGAGAAAGAAAGCAAGTAACTACTTTGGGTATACAAGTTTAACCCAGAGAAATTATGTTTCCTTATTTGGGGTGGTGGTAGTGGTGGTAACGGTAGTAATGGTAGTACTGGTGATAGTAGAAATGGTAGTGATGATGGAGGTAGTGGTGGTGGTAATAACGGCAATAATAATGGTAGTGATGTTGCTGGTGTTGGTGGCAGTGGTGTTTTTGTTGGTAGTGCTGGTTGTGGTGGTGATGTTATTGGTAGTGGTTGGTGTTGGTGGTGGTAGTGGTGAAGGTAGTGATGATAGTGGTGGTAGTGGTGGTGGTGGTGGAGGTAGTGGTGATAGTGGCAGTAGTGGTGGTGGTGGTGGTGGTGACATTGAGCATACAGTAGAGGGTAGTTTTTCTCACCACATCTTCCATACCTGAGGCATTATCACCAACAGGTTCTATTTTTTCTCACTGTAATGCACCTCAGCCAAATATGCCTTTAGAATATAAAGAATATGAGATGAAAACCCACACACACAGATTTACTCGATTTTCTCCTGCCCCTTGGCTAAGTAAAAATCACCTACCAAGTTGCCAGTCCCTCTCCCTTACTTTCCAGGAGAGCATCTGATAGCTTCTCTTCTTTTTTTTCTCCTTCTCCACCCCCACTTCCTTCTCCTCTTTGTCATCCTCCTCTTTTTCCTTCTTCTTCCCTGTCTCCAAATTAATCTTAGCAGGGAGTCCTGAAGCAAATTATCATGTTACAAGCCTAAATGTGATAGCTTGTCATCTTTCATTATTTTTGACATAAACAAAACTGTCAGAATTCTCTGAGACCTGTCTTTGGTTCAGGGTGTTCTCTTTGAGGCCAGGGGATATATAAGGATTACAAAAAGGAGAGTTGCTCCAACATAATGAAAAGAATGTAATGGAAGGTTGGCAATGATCTCCAATTCCAGACTAGTGTGCACTTTTAGACCATTGCATTTGAAGGGGCTACTGATTAAGGCTGTAAAATGTTTGCATAATTGTGGTTTATTTTATAGAGTAGAGGTCCAGGGTCACTTCATTACCCAGATTCATTATTTTGTGTATTCCCACCCCCACCCCACCCCACTGCAATTTCCTTGAATACTTAGATTTGATAAGCAATTAAAAAATAACTGTCTGGCTTGTTTTCTGAAGATTGGTGCTTTCCACGGACTGAGTTGCCGAAGACCGGGAGAGTGTGTTTTCATATGGAAGGTCACATCTATGCATCAGAGGCTATTTATCTTTTTCTGGCCATTCATTTAGAGCAGCCGCAGTTTTCTGAAGAAGCCACATGCACCACACTCCAACAGCAGAGAATGATTCGGTTCAGAGTGGGTAATGGCAGGGCCATGGTCTTGGTTTAGGGATATTTCAGAACTTTAATATTTTGGTAACCCATGCTCTATAAATCATTGAATTACATCAAGTCTATTTAAAACCCCTCTGGGCAGCTGTTTAAAATGCTGTCACTGCAGTAAGCAATGTCCTTAGAGTCACATGGCAGGTTGGGGCCAAGAAGGGGATGGGTTTTGTTTGTGTTTCTTTAACTCCAGTTAGGTTTACCCTTTGACTCTCCACTTCTGTGAATAGTCCCTCCATTTCCAGTTATTTTAAAGTCAGAATATGAAGGCCGCTTAGTCCATCGGGGTTAAGCCTTCCCATCAAATCAAATTCTTCTTCCTTGCATTCTTCTCTTCAAGCCATTTAGTGAAACAAGCACAAATTGTTAACTTCAGATTAATATGTTTAATAAGTGAAATCTGGACTATTTCAGGAAGGCAGGCAGGCCAGCAGTCTGGAGGATTGGTTGCAGCTGAGGGTTCCCGTGGGCTTCTCCTGGGTCATTGCTGGGAGCTGAGACCACCTGTGGAGCACCTGTGGGCAAGGCGGGCCTAATTACCCCAGAGATCCTGGCTTTGCTGGTCTTGCTCTCTGGCCTCCAGATTTGCTCTGATTCTGACAATGCAGTGGGTATCAGAGCTCAGGTCCAGAGGAAAAGCCTGGAGTGAGTGAGGCTGCGAGCTTCCTCTTCAGAACTCTGCATGCTTATCGGGGTGTAATGCCTGCCTCCTGCTGCTGCTCCAAGCTCCTCCAGGAGAAGGACGCTGCTTCTGCCTGGTCCAGGATCGTATCAGGGTCTGGGTAAGCATGTGCTTGAGTGCACAAAAAGAAAAATGTAGCGTCAGCAATCTTGTTCAGAGTTTTTCGATCCGAAAAAAATACAAATTAAGAATGGAATGTGCTACTTTAATTTTAGCAGACATAAATATTGTAACCTTAACAAAATCAAATTTCATTTTGAATTCCACACTGCATGCGGGGTGGGAAGAGGACATCCTTATCTTTTCAGAGCCTTGGGCCCCACAGTGGTCTTTATCCTTCTCTGGCACATAGTGGGCACTTAATAAATTATCCAATCAGTTCATGAATACTACAAACTAAAAACAGGGGCTTTGAAGTCAAGATCTGAGTCTGACTCTTAGCATCCCACTAACTCGCTGTATGACCTTGGACAGATAGGACAACCCTTTTGAGTTTCAGGTTAATTTGTTGGGAGGATTAGGTGAGATAACGCATGCTATATATTATATATGTGGTCTCTATTAATAAGGAATGGTATATATCTAGCATAAAGTATGCCCTCCATTGGATGTGCCCCCGGGGCACCCATAACTGTCCTGTCTTGAGAGACAAGTGCTGGCTTTACCTCTGCCTTTGCAGGTTAAGGAAAGAGGGCAGAGGGGAGGGGAGGCGGCCCAACTTTCTGTGCCTGTCAAGGCAGGGTTGGGTAGCTGCGGGCTAGGAGGAGGATGCAGGCTCAGCTTCTGCCCCCGCCCACAGCCTGCAAACCGAGGAAGGCTGGCCCGCGGCTCTCAGGCAGTTCTGGCTCCGGCTCTGGCTCCGGCTCCGGCTCCGGGTCGGGCTCCCAGGCAGCGGCTCGGGCAGGCGGCCTTGTGGCTCCGCAACCCAACCTCTTCCCCTCCGGGCGCCTCCCGGCTCCGGGGTCCTGCTGCCTCTGGGACCTCCTCACCCCCAGACGTTGCTGTAGTGTGTGTGTGTGTCGGGGGGGTGGGGGGGTGGTGTGGTGTGTGTGTGTGTGTGTGTGTGTGTGTGTGTGTGTGTGTGTGTCCGGGGTCCTGCTGCCTCTGGGACCTCCTCACCCCCAGACGTTGCTGTAGTGTGTGTGTGTGTGTGTGTGTGTGTGTGTGTGTGATGGAGTTTTGCTCTTGTTGCCCAGGCTGGAGTGCAGTGGCAGCAATCTCGACTCACTGCAACCTCCGCCTCCGGGTTCAAGCGATTCTCCTGCCTCAGCCTCCCGAGCAACTGAGATTACAGGCGCCTGCCACCACGCCCGGCTAATTTTTGTATTTTTAGTGGGGACGGGATTTCACCATGTTGATCAGGCTGGTCTCGAACTACTGACCTCAGATGATCCACCCGCCTCGGGCTCCCAAAGTGCTGAGATTACAGTCGTGAGCCACCGCGCCAGCCCGTTGCTGTATTTGAACAGAAAAAAGCAATAGTACATAAAACAAAAGGACAGCACTGGGATCGAAAGACGATCTGCTCCTTCGGAAGAAAACACAGGGTGCGGCGGTGACTCGCAGAGCTCCCAGCGCCCCAGCGCCCCCGCGAGGCCCGGGCAGCGTCCGCGCTCCCTACAGGGGGAAGCCCGCCGGTGTTTGGGAATCCCAGCGGGGTCCCCAGCTTGCCGATCTCCCAGCCCTGACCTTACTGAGATTTCTCACTAGGTCACTGTTTGTTAAGAAAACAGAGTAACAGAAACGAGGCAAAGTCCATAATTTTCTTCTTGCAAAATTCTCAAGTTTAGGGCAAAGGCAAAGGGGGGATGGAAGTGTGCCCCGACTCTGTAAGATATTCCCCTTCTCGGAGTTGTCTCCAGTGCAGGGCCTTTCCCTTGTCTGCCTGCCTTGAGATGCTTCCTTTATTGCTAACAGACTGCACTGAAATGTTATCTCTCTCTCTCTCTCTCTCCCCTTCCTCTCTCTCTTGCTTCTGTTTCTTCCTGAGAGTAGGGGAGGCACATTTTCCTCTCCCCTCCGTCCCTCCCTCCTTCCCTTCCCTTCCTTTCTTCCTCCCTTTCTCTCTGTCTTCCTACCTTCCTTTCTTTTTGGTTGAGTGTATGTTACTTGATTTTTTTTTTTCTGATAATGACCACACTTTTTAACCTGTTGCTTTCTTTTAGGAAGTTTGACCTTTTTTTTTTCCTCTCTCATCACTCGCACTCTGCCAAAATGTAAAGCAAATGTTCAGAATTAATTTCTAATATATGGGTAGAGTCCTCCTCCCAAGCCAGGTCAGTGAAACCCCTGAGATATTTTTTATATGGTCTTTGTTGTAATGGTACTACCAGTTTTCTACCTGATAGCCCTGTTTCTTTCTCTCTCCCTTTCATTTTCTCCTTCCTTCTCTCTCTCTTTTTCTTTCTGGGACAGCACAAGGACTTGTTCAATTTCATCTTCATCAATTGCTAGCTTTGTGACCTTGGATAAATCATTTAGCCATTCTATGCCTCCACTTCTTTATCTGCAAAACAGAGTTAATAATGTCCAACCTATAGGGTCATTGGGCTGATAAAATATATTACATATCATAATGTACTCTCCACATAGAATACACTCAATGGGGACTGTTATAATAATAAGTTATGGTGCTGCTCTTCTGAATAAAACAATTTTTCTCATCCTCACCACCCACCTCTGCCCCCAACCCTTTAAGAAAAGTTTGGTTAATGGGTTCCAGGCTCTGGGATCTTAGGTTAGTCAGGTCTTCACAGTCCTTCGACTTAAATATTCATATCATTGTCCCCAAAAGAGAGACCAGTAGTTGCTTCCCACCCGAACATCTGTATCAACCTTCTAGTCTCTCTGCCTCTACTCATGCCCTATTTAGTCCATTCTCTAAACAGCAGTCAGTATGGTCTTTTAAAAGCAAAAATTCAAGAGAAAACAAGCAAACAAAAACCCCAGGAATTCCAGATTATGTCATTCCCTTTCTGGAAATCCTTCAGTGGTTTTTCTCTTGTACTTAATGTGAAATCTAAACCGTGTTCTCCAAGACGAAGGCTTGCCCGTGTGGTCCCACTCCAGCCTGTCTCCCACCACCCTGCCTCTTGCTGTGTTTCCACTCTAGGACCACTCTCCCACCTTTCTATTCTCTTGAAGGCAGGACGCTCCCCGCTCTGAGGCTCTGCACTCACTGTTCCTGGCCTGAAACTCTCTTCCCCGATGGACTCCCAGCTCATATGTCACTTCCTCAGAGATGCCATCCCACTACCTGATCTAAAGTAGCACCCACACCCCACCCCCAGTTACTTGCTATTTACTTTACCTTATTTCCATAGCACTGAAATTATTTATTCATCTATTGATCAAATGAATGAACCCACAATTTAGGGTGAAAAAAATAACTTGTAAACAACCAGCTCAAGCCAAAAGACCACAGAAACAAATGCAATAATAGCTTTCAATGAAAGGAGAGTCACAGGATTAACTAATTTCTAAAATCAAAACAATGAAAAAGATTATTATTAATAAGAAATCTGATTCTGTGGCCTGTGGTCAGGACTTGGGTGAATATAATTCTGCACAAAAGAGAGAAAATCTGACTTCTCTCAGCCTGAAGAAGGTGGAAAAATTTTCTCCAAGCAGCTTCCGTGAAAGTGAGAGGAGGGAATGGGTTTGTTATTGTAGCTATGACAATCTCCTATGTATTCTACACTTACACTGACTGAGTTTGTTAAGGTAACCAGATTTTGCTCACCTATTTTTTTCTCAGGCTCTCCCGAAAGGCCTGTTTTCTTGACTTAAAATAAATGTTTGGCTTCTGTGGAGAAAATTCCAGGCTGGGTACAGTGGCTAACGCCTGTAATCCCAGCATTTTAGGAGGCTGAGGTGGGCGGATCACTTGAGGCCAGGGGTTGGAGACCAGCCTGGCCAACATGGCAAAACCCCATCTCTACTAAAGATACAAAAGTTAGCTGGGTATGGTGGTGCACACCTGTAATCCCAGCTACTCAGGAGGCTGAGGCAGGGGAATCTCTTGAAGCTGGGAGGCGGAGGTTGCGGTAAGCTGAGATGGAGCCACTGCACTGCAGCCCTGTCTCAAAAAAAAAAAAAATTCTAGAAACAACATATACTAAGCAATTGGGTCAGAATTTTTCACGTCTCAACTTACTCCTTCTGAATTGCCTGGCTTGTATTGTTTAGAGCCTTTGGCTTTGATGGCTTTGGGAGTTTGTTGAACTATTGCAGATTTTGTATGCTTTTTCCTTGAGTAATTTGGTTTTGATCAAATCCCCAAATAAACTTTTTCCTAAGTTCTTTCCCCCTTAGTTTACAAGCTCATACGTATTCCAGAAGAATGTAATCCACATGCTTAAATTCATGTACACTCAGCTCATCCCAGGGTCATTGGCAGGGAGATGGATATTCAAAGCATATGAAGAATAAGAAATGTTTCCTAAAACATTGTGTGTGTGTGTGTGTGTGTGTGTGTGCCTGAAATAAAGACATATTGGCTCAGAACCCTAAGTAGGCAACTCCACCAGTTAGGTGTTACTCTGATGTGTGAAATAGGAAGGTTTTAAGCAGTAGATGATACAGGTACATATTATTCAAATTTAATTTTTAAAAAGATTATTTCTATTTTCCTGTTGTCATTTCTGGATTTTCCCTCTCTATTCAATTCCTGAGCAGATACTCCCAGACTAGATTAATTTTCCTATGTGAAAAGCCAGGTCAGAAAGATAAAATAGCCATGTGATTTGGGGCAAGTTAACAGTTAACAACTCTGAGCCTAGGTTTCTTCATCTGTTAAATACAGATAAAGGTGTTCATTCTGAAAAGTTATTGCAAGAATTAGAGATGGTGTAGGTAAATCTCCTAGAATAACATATGATCTGTACTAGAATGTTAACAAATAGTAAATGGTCTGAAAACTCCAGGCTTAGTAACATTTTATGAAGTTTTATGCTATTATCACCAAAGTCGGTTATCAGGTAGGTGTGTGTAGAGGAGTGTGCAAAAAGGAAACGGCTGCAGTGTGGCCAGGTGGTCAGGGTAGTGCCCTTGGTAGGGTGCTTTCAGAAGGGCTTCTTCAGGAGCAGCAGAGCTTTCTGACCTAAATGTTCAGGCAACAAGACACTACTGAGCTTAGCATCTATAGTAGATGGTCAATTGGCCATTTGGCTAAGGCCAACCAAATGTTGATAAGGGTAACAATGGGTTTGGGGCCACACTTTGGAAGACATTGTCATAAATAATGTTGGACTTGATGACTTTTGGACTTCACCTTCCCTTCCTTTTAAAATATTGGCTTTCTGCAGTGCAGTTCTGTGAACAGAGCAACCACTTCTAAACTGGGATGTGAAGAGTCTCTTTGTCCCAGCATGCATCTAAAATGTGCATGAAGTCACCATGAACATGAGGTGTCTCCAGGTTCTAGGATCTGCAGACCACAGGTTATGTTTTTTCTGTTAAGAGGGAGTATTTAGAGGGAATAATTAAAGGCAAGGGAAGCCATCCTAGGCAATCATGGGAAAGATGGTGTCAGATGGCAGGGCAAACCACTGTGGTAACCTCTAGAAGTAATTATGGACATCTGGATTGATGAAAAGACCTAAAGGGTGGCAGGCATTCTGCATTTGGGACTAGGCTTTCCCAAAGGAAGATAAATGGAAAAAACATGTTTGCCTTAACTGCTGACTCATGGTACAAAGTTTTAATTCAGAGACTTTAATTGAAAATGCAGCAAGAATGTAACAGATTTACATTAAAAATATTTTAGTATATTGGCAAGACATTAATTACAAAACCAGATGGTCATGGTAGAAAAATCAACCAAGAGGCCTTTGTTTTTCTTTTGCTTTCTTAGCATGAAAAATTTTTACTTTGCAAATTTCAATCTCCTGTTAATTATAAACAACATCACCTTTGTATTAAGATTAATGTAAAGAGTGATTATCTGTTGTTTTAGAATATTAAAAAAAAAACAGAAATCATCCTGATCAAAACCTAGAATATGAAAGCATTCTTGTGATAAATGTTTCATGACCAAGACACTAGTTCTTTCTCCCCAGAGGCTGGACTAATGAGACCATATTTCTTGGCTCTTATTGACCATGACCACTGTCTCAGTCAGGGGTCATTTGTTTACAACAGAAGGTTGGAACAGAACAGCCTGAAATCTGCTCAAAAAGGAGGGTTTATTGTAGGGATACAAGAGACTTTCAGAGAATCCATATTCAGGGGATATATTGGGCCAGAAAGCTCGCCTGATAATACATCCCTCCCTGTTTCTCTTAAGGCACAAAGTATCTTCTTTCTGTCTTCCTCTGCACACCTGCTCTAGGATAAACACATTGCTTTCCCAGGCTGGCTTTTCCTGCTTTTCTGAAATTAGTGCTCTGAACAATAGGCCCACCATGGCTGTCTATTTGGGTTTAGATCTACCACTGTTCTTTTCATTTACTATGTGTCCCATCTGTCTTTTATCCCTCTTTCTCTCCTTTCTTGTCTTCTGTCCTTTCTTAAATTAATTTAGTTTTTTAAAAGGTGTTCCATTTCCTACTCTCTATTTGCTTGTTGTTATATATTCTTTAGTTATTCTTTTGTGGTTACCACAGAGATTATAAATATGCATCCTTGATGTATTAGAGTCTACTATAAATTAGTACCATTAATACTTCTAGGACAATGAAAGAAACTTCCAGCATTTAAGCCCATTGCTATGGTTTGAATATATGAATATTTACATCACCTTCAAATTCATATGTTGAAATCCTCATCTTCAAGGGCATGACATTTGGAGATGGGACTTTTGGGGGGCAATTAGGTCAGGGTGATAGCACTCTCATGAGTGGGATTAACGCTCTTATAAAAGAGACCCCTGGAGAGATCCTGCACCCGTTCTACCATGTGAAGACACAGCAAGAAGGTATCATCTATAAGCCAGAAAGCAGGCCCTCACCAGACACCAAATTTGCCTTCATCTTGGACATCCCAATCTCTAGAACTGTGAGAAATAAATTTTTATTGTTTATAAGCCACCCAGTTTATGATATATTGTTATAGCAGCCCAAACAGACTAAGACATCCATTTACCCTATTTTGGCTATTGTTATTGTTGTCATATATTTTGTTTCTACATAGTTGTATTCTCACAAAACATCGTCATTATCATTTTATTTATTTATTTATTTAGAGATGGAGTCTTGCTCTCATCGCCCAGGCTTGAGTGCAATGGGGCGACCTCGGCTCACTGCAACCTCCGCCTCCCAGGTTCAAGTGATTCTCCTGCCTCACCCTCCTGAGTAGCTGGGATCACAGGCATGTGCCACCATGCCCGGATAATTTTTGTATTTCTAGTCGAGACAGGGTTTCACCATGTCGGCCAGGCTGGTCTCGAACTCCTGACCTCAGGTGATCCGCCTGCCTTTGCCTCTCAAAGTGCTGAGATTACAGGCGTGAGCCACTGCGCCTGGCCATCATTATCATTTTAAACAGTCAATATTCATTATGTTTTACCTGCATATTTACTTTTTCCATTTCTCTATATTCTTCCTGGTATTACCATGTTTCCATTTAGGATCATTTTTCTTTTGCCTAAATAACTTGCTTTAGTATATCTTTTACATAGATATCCTATCAACACATTCTGTTTTTATTTTGAACTCTACTCTGTGGTCTCTCAATGAGTTTATCTTCTATCTGTGGTACTTTCTGTGCCCAAATTTATGCAAATAAATTGTTTTCCCACCTTCAAGGATAGATTACCATAATTATGATAAGTTTTTATAGTGTATGGTTTAAAAATGTATCTTTTACCAAAAAGAGAGGATTCAAAGTGCATTTTATAACTGAAGACCTATCACATGTTAGGTTTTGAAGGCCTACTCTGTGTCAGGCAATGTGCTAGTCACTGGAACTGTAAAATTAAATGAGGCATGTTCTTCATAAAATCAAATGGGCATATACTATTGGAGAAGACAGATGAGTAAATGGTTACATTAAATGTGATAAGAATTATGCATAGGATATTTTAGGAACCAAAGGAAGAACATCCAAATTAGAATTAAGAATCAGGGCATATCTCCCGGGAAGACACCTTGGACTGAATTTTAAAGGAGTAGGAGTTGTTGAAGACCCACGTGTCAGTTAAGAGTTTGGTGAGGGGTTGCTTCCTGGCTTGTAGATGGCCACCTTCTTACTATGTTGTCACATGGACTTCCCTCAGTGGACATGGAGGAGAGAGAGAGAGCAAACTTCTGGTGTCTCTTCTTATAAGGACACTAATCCTATAGGATCAAGGCCCCACCCTTACGACCATATTTAATCTTAATTACTTCTGTAGAAGCACCCTGGGGGTTAGGGCTTCGGCATATAAATTTTGGGGGGCATGGAAACATTCAGTCCTTTATAGATAGATGGGTTTTATGAAAAAGACAGAAAAGCTATTTTTGTGCTGAAGTAGAAGAGGCAGTAAGAAGGGCAATATTAAAGATACAGGAGAGAGAGACAACATGGGTTGTTGAAATGATGGCCACCAAAAGCCAATGCATAAAGTCCTTAAAATAGCCTATTAAAAAAAGATGCTAAAGCATAACATTGGATCCTGGAGGGAAGGAGAAAGGAATTGGTGCCAGTGACGACATCTATAGATGTTTTGGGAGGAAATTGCCACCTAGTGTTAAGAAGCAAAGCCATCTGAGAATGTGGTGATGGTCAGGAGTAAGGAGCTTAGGGTAAAAGGTGGAAATATGATTGCTGAAGGGACAGCTGTACCAAGAGACAATGGATTGATAATGGCCCAGTTTCCGCCTTTGGATGATGATACTAGTTTAGGTAATTGCTTTACATATATTTGAGGTTGCTAATCTGCTCAGCCGTCACTACCATTTTGCAACAGCTCTCATCTGAAGACGGCAAATTGAAACTTGAGTTTAAAATCCTACCTTTGAGTCCAGAAGTACAGGATAGGGAACAATACAGTAGCAGATTACATTAAAACTAAAAGTAATTTTAGTTGACAGGACTATAAAAGTTAGTGCTGCTAAATGACTTTTTGGCTGCATAAATACAATATCTATACCAAAGAAGGTGAAAGCCCCTTTCCAATCTGTGCCTGTCAGGACATAACTGGAGAATTCTGACCAGTACACGTTAAGAACACAGATAAACTATGTTATAGTTACACAGAACAACAGACAGGACTCATGCTTTGCTATGTGACACGTGAACATAGACTCCCAGGGACATTTAAACTGGAAAAAAGAAGATTCAGCAATAAGAAGATCATTGTCCATTTAATCAGTCTATTCATCTTTTTTATTAAGTGCTATCACTTCAAAAGATCTTTCACACCTGCAGGCTTATTGCATCCCTATGACTTCTCTCAGACATAGGGACATTATTGCCCAGACTTCACGGACAGGGAGACTAGGACACCTAGAGGATAAATACAGGAGACAGTTTGGGCAACTGACATTCAACAACTTGCTCAGCCGTCTCACTTCTGACTTTCATGATAAATGTTTTCTTTTCTGTTCTCCTTTCGTAGCAATCCTCCCATCCTTCAGAGCTCAGCTTAAGGTCCCTATACAAAGGCTTCCTCTGCCTCATTGAGCCCTCACTGATTTTCATCTCCTTTGAAATTTGACAATGTTCAAAACAATATAAATAAAAGGACATATTTTGCCATGGGAATGTAATACTTGCTGATATATTATTTTTTGTTGTTTGCTCTAGTTTTAGATGTGTTTGTCACCTCTCCCTACATATAGTGAGAGTTGGGGTTATGTTTTATTCTTTTTTCTTATGTCCCATAGGGCTTAGCCCAGTACTAATTTGTTTCTTACAGTTATGAAGGCTGAGAAGTCCAAGGTTGAGGAGCCATGTCTGGTGAGGGCCTTCTGGCTGATGAGGACTCTCTGCAGAGTCCCAAGGCAGTGCAGGGCATCACATGGTGAGCGGGCTGAGTGTGCTAGCATGTACTCAGGTCTCTCTTCCTCTGCTTCTAGAGCCACCAGTTCCCCTCCCATGATAACTCATTAAACTATTAACCCATTAGTCCATTCATCCATGAATGAATTAATCCATTCATGAGAGCAGAGCCCTCATGACCGTATCATCTCTTAAAGGCCCCATCTCTCAATATTGCCACGTTGGGGATTAAGTTTCAACATGAGTGTTGGAGGGGAGAAACACAAACCAACACTATATCTCCAAGGCTGTTCACTATGCACACTTGCTTGAAAAGGTGATCGGAAACAAAAGACAGTGCCTCCACTTGTGAGGTGCGTAGAGATGTGAGAGACCCATGGAGAATTGTCTTCCAACTGTAGATAATTCTCATATATTCCCATGTTAACATTTTAGTAGCTAATCAGAATTGCCAATCAAATCCTTGACATTCTTCTGATCAATAGAGTAGGTCATCAAAACTGGAATCCCGTGAGGTTTAAAGTAATTGTTTTGTTTGTAAAATACATCCTGCAAATATTTTTATTTTTCTGAATTGATCCTTAAAAAAAAAAGTTATTCTTGACTGGTCTGAAGCATCTATTGTCCATTTTAAGCTTTACATCTGGACAACTAGTTTCCGAGACTTCATGTATTTAAGTGTATTTAAGGGCAATGCTTTTTATTTTCTCTGCATTAGCCATCCACTGGCTATTTATTTAACAACAATCCCATTGCACTGAATACATTGTCCTTCATGATGTAGCCTCAGCCTTCTTCAAACTCATTCACCCATGTATGCTCTGCCCCAGCCTAATTACTGGAAGCTCCCCAAACATGACCGGTTCTTCCATCCTCCATGCCTTATGTACACTGTTTCCTCTGTTGGAAAGCCTGACTCGTCAAGCAAACTCCTACTTGTCCTTCAAAACTAGACTTGTGCTTTACCTCCCCTCCTTCCCTATGTCCCCTAAGTGGAATTATTGACCTCTTCGTTCGTGACATTTGTTCATTTCTATAATAGTGTATATTATATTGCATTGTAATTATTTGTTTACATAATGATCTCCCCACAGTTAGCGTGTGGGCAGAAACTATGTCTCTATATTCCCAGTGTGAAACATAGTAGATGTTCAACAAACCTTTTTCTTTGAATGAAGGAGTACATTAGTCAGACTTCCTAGTTAGGAGTTACTGAAACAGACTCAAATGGTCTCAGGAAAAAGTAAAGGATTTGCTAAGTAGCTACTGCAGACAGATCAAAAGGCTGGAAGGCTATGTTTGGAAAATGGGCAGGATGTAAGGAAACTAAGGAGGCCAATCAGCAGAAATAAACAGATTTTCACTATCATCTTATATTTGTGCATCATTCCCATGAGATCCTCAGGCTGGGGAGGGTGTTTTATTGACTGAGCCTGTGTCACTCATGGACAAACTGGGATAAGGTTGACCTACCCCCTTAAGCTTGCAAGGCTGAGGGATGGGGGAAGACGCTACTTCCCACCAAGCTTACACACAATGGGGGAAAAGCAATTATCTGAAAGGAAACTGGAATGTCATCAGTAGGGGAAAGAAATGTGTCTAACTCCAAAAAATGACCAATATGTACTACTAATAACTGAAACTTTCCAAAAAAAAGAGACTATGATTTAAAAATCAATTTAACATTGAATGGTTTGATTATCAGCAAAATCACCATGACATTTAGCACCTTTCTTTTCCTTGATGAACTAAGAACTCTTGCATAGATTTAATAATGTGTTATGTACCCCCTGGGTGTCTGATTTACTGACTTGAGCTGAATGATTGGACTCAATACAAATAAAAAGAGCTTGCAAACTTCGCCCATGGTTTCCCAGACATCAAGGAACTAAGCTCTTTTGCTCCCTGGAGAGGCTAAAAATTCTAAAATGAAGTGCCCTCTGCTCTGGTTTCTGCTTTTCAGCATTTCTCTTCTGTTTTCACATACTTTTGCTGCTTTAAAATTAAATCTAAGAAACTCATTCCATATTTTTCATCATCTGCTTTTGAAAGTGAATGTTATGGATTTATGGTTTGGGATTCTTTGATGTTAGAGCAGCAACTATGCTTGCTTCACTTGTTTTTGTTTCATTTTTTTTTTTACATTTATGAGGCTTTGATAATTTGATTTATTAAAATGCCACAGTCAATGTAGGGGAACTGACACCATTCGCATTGTTGGAAAGCGTCATGAAACATCAGGCGCTAGTTCCCCATGGAGCGCTTACCTCTATTATTATATCTCCCCCTCCCCTTTGGTCTTCAGGAAAGTTTGGCATTAAACTTAAGCTGCACGCAAAGAATATTCATTCCTAGAACATTTCAGTATTTTTGGATTGGATTCCATCCCCCAATTTTGATTTTGTATCTGCCAAGATGTACAGAGTGGTACATCTAAAGCTAGTTATGATACACAAGCTAGCTTTCCTTATCAAGGAACAGAAATATTCCTTCCTCTTACCCTGTAATCATTGCATATCTGGTATATTAAAAATTGAATTTCATATCGTATCCCTTTAAATGTATTAACAAGTGCAGGTTGGAACTTTACATTATGAATCCCTAAGGATGAGTAATGACTAAAGGACAAGACTGACCCTTTCTGCAAGTGGAGGGTGTTTTTTTCTTTTCCATTTCTATAGGAAGAGACAGATGAAGAGAGAGGGAGAGAAAACAGGACAAGTTTACCCAGAATGAAAACCTGGATAAGAAGATTACCATAAGAGCTTAAAACCATAGAAAAAAATGTCAGGGTTGGAAAAGTCCCTAGACTCTTCATTCATTATAATTCCCTCTACCAGTCCACTGGGTTTCAGGAAAACAGGAACACTCATATGCTACTGTTTAAGTGAGTGAGTGAGTGTGTGTGTGTGTGTGTGTGTTTGTGTGTTACAGGATATTATAAGAATAGAATAGGGAATCTTCCAGGTATCTGAGGAATAGAAAAAAGCCAGGTCACATGGGAACCAGGACTGGAAAGTCAGAAACCAACAGGATTCTATCTCTTTCCATTTGTCAGGGACTACACAGTCTCTTTCTTCTCCTCAAAATTGACCATTCAGCTCACAGTGGAATATAGCCTTATTACAGTAGTCAATCCTTATCCAAGGCTTAATTTTTTTGTGGTTTTAGTTACCCACGATTAACCATGGTCTGAAAATATTACATACAATAAGATATTTTGAGAGAGAGAGAGAGAGACTATATTTATACAACTTTCATTACAATATATTGTTAAGTGTTCTATTTTATTATTATTATTGTTAATCTCTTACTGTGACTAATTTATAAATTAAACTTCATCATAGGTATGTATGTACAGGAGAAAACATAGTAAATGTAGGATTCAATACTACCGGAGGTTTCGGGCATCCATTGAATGTCATGAAACATATTTCCCACTTATAAGAGGGGACTAGTGTATATTTTTTCATTCAACAAGAAAATAGGCAATTAGAAAAGTCAGAAAATACAAAAAATCATGGTTTAAACATGAAGCAAACTAATCTATGGGATTATTTTGAACTGATGAAGTGTCAAGAGAGAGAATCCGTTTAACTGTGGTACTCGGAATATTCTTAGCGTGATGCAAGTTTGATAACAAGAATTACAACACCTTCCTAATGGATTCATTCACGTGACCTAATAATAATAACAATAATGAACACTTATTGACATTTTACTATGTGTCAGGTACTGTGCTAATGCTTTATAGATTATTTAATCTTCAAACAATTATTTGAGGGTAGGTATTATTATCTCATTTTTTTCAGATGAAAAATTGAGGCATAGAGAGATTGAGTAACTCTACCAAGTCACACGGCTCTTCAGTGGCAGAGCTATTCTAAGCCGCATGATTTACTTCTATGATATATTGCTTCTGGCTAAGCTATGTTATCCAATCAGCAATAAATTATTTACACAATCATTATTATAAACGCTTTTTTGATTTTTTAAAGAATTATTCTATAAATAAAGCATGTGACTTGATTATAATAACAAGAGAATATAAACATTATCAACCTTGATCACATAAAAATAGTAATATAAAGTTAGGGGAAAGAGAGGGGAACAAAAGGAAAAGAACACTGACTTCCTCATATTTCTCAGTAAAAGATATTATTTAACATTACTACATCAAAAAGCTGTGTTTTTAAAGTTATAAACATAGCCAATAGAACTAAAAATAAAAACAGGTTAACAAAAGTTGGAAGGGTGGTTAATATATGTGAGTCAAATTCGTAATTTTTTAAAGCACTATTCAAGAAATCCTTGAAGTTGATAAGCAAAGAAACAGTATAAACATGTTATTTGAATTATGTAGATGACTACCAGGAAAAAAAAACTATAAGCAAGTGAAAACCAGTTACCTACAAAAAGTGAGCCTGGGGTGCTGATTATGGAGTGAGATTTTTACTCTTTATTTTATTTCTTTCCATTTAAGTGATTATTTCCATGTGCACACATTACTTTTTATAATAAGAACCATGCCCATATTATTCACTTCGGTAAATCTACATCTAGGTTTCCATCCCAGAGAAATGCACATCATATACATGTAAGTGGCACCAAGTGGGATGAGGGGCTTCTTCCAAAGGCTGGAACCACAGCCCCCCAGGGGGCTCTGGGTAAACATTCCTAGCCCCAGTGGTCTTGGGTTCTTTTGTACCTATCTGAATGCTATTACACGCCCACCCATCCCAAGGTTCAGCCCAGAGATGGGAGAAAACAAGGACACTTCTGAACTTTTCACTCACTCTTCTCTTTTACATAGTCCCAGGTGGGAGTTCCACTTCCTCTTCCGGTCTGTGTCTTACCATTCTAATCCCAGGGCACAAAAAGCCTCAAGGTTTCGCCTTAAGGGTGGATGGGGTACATGAAGGAAAAGTAGCTTACAGAAATGGGTACACAATTTTGGGAGGTATTTGAAAGGTATTGTCTCCTGTACATATATAGATGCATGGAAAATGGTCTGCAAGGATACAGGCCACTTCAAAAGCAGTTGGCACCTCTAGGGAGAGCAGTGGGGGAGGGGAGGATGCATTCATGTAGGACACAGGTAATTGTGGGTTTTTTTGGTGCTATGGACATTTATTTAGTGCTTTTGTATGTTTTACCCATTTTAATCATCACAATAGCCAAGTGAGGTTAGTTTTTATCTCCACTTACAAAAAAATTAATAGACTATTCTTTGAAAAGTTTTAGGTTTACAGAAAAATCGTATGGGAAGTATAGAGAGTTCCTATATACTTATCCTCACGCCCTCCTCCCCAATTTCGCCTATTATTAATATCTTGCATTAGTGTCATACATTTGTTATATTGATGAGCCAATATGAATACATTATCATGAACCAAAGTTCATGGCTTACACCAGGTTTCACTCTTGGTGTACATCCTATGGGTTTTGACAAATGCACAATGTCATGCGTCCACCATGACAGTATCATACAGAATAGTTTCACCACCCTAAGACTCCCTGCGCTCCACCTGTTCATCTCTCCCCCTAATTGATTTTTTTAAAATCCCTGATTATCCTGCTTGCCCTGCATGCATTTCCCTCTTACCCACGAAGTGAAACCTGGTCCACTGCACCTGTTCCTTCAGTTACTGACTGCTGCCTGTGATAATAGTAGCATGAGTGGTCTTCAAGCACCTCATATCCTGCCACTACCGCCACTTGTCAGGGGAAAACCCAGACAGGATGAGATCCACATTCCCAGCTGTCCCTGTCTTCCAAGGAAGAGAAACCCTAAACCAGAAGCTAAAGAGTGAAACCAGATATCCCAGGGAAGGGGTGGGGGACGTTAGGTCCCCAGTGGTCTGCGAAAGAGGTGCCAAGCCAGAAGCCCCAAAGTGCTGGGAAAGCCAGCACAGAGAAGCAGATAATGCCAGGAAACATCTCAGGCATGGTGGAGGGGCTTGGGGGGTACTCAAATGACAGGACTGAAGATTTGTGAGGATTTGTGAGGCACTCAAAAATTGCAGAGCGATTATGAACACTAGGGAGCTCTCCTGCTTCCTGGAAAAAATCAAAGCCTGACTCCCAAGGTTGGCATTGGGGGCATCTCTTGTGGAGACAGCTCAGAGTGAGGTTGGGAGATACTTTTCTAGGAAGTGTTTTTCAAATATTTTTTACCGTGACCTACGGTAAGAACATATTTCAGGTTGAGCACGGTGGCTCACATACGTAATCCCAGCACTTTGGAAGGCTGAGGCGGGAGAATCACTTGATCCCAGGAGGTTGAGGCTGCAGTAAACCATGTTCACACCACTGCACTCCAGCCTGGGAGACAAAGAGAGACCCCGTCTCAAAATAATAATAATAATAATATATTTCATATTGGCATCTAGTGCACACATGTGGTGCACACACAAATACCCACACACTTTCAGCATTAGCTGGGAACTTACTAGAAATGCTAGCAATAATCAGAATCTGCATTTTAATAAGATTCCCAAGTAATTATGATGCATAGAAAAGTTTAAGAAACTGCTTCGGGGTCCCCAAGCTAAAGATGAGTAAATTATAATGTATTTAACTAATGTTAAATACATTAGTTAATCTCACTCCTTAAGTTTCCTCCCTTGGCAACCAGAGCCCTTTATAAATTGTCTAAATACTGCAGGCTGGGATTCTGTTTTCCATCCCTCTAAAAACCTCACCACATAATAACTAAAACTAATAACTTACTTGTATTATCAAGCTAACCATGTGCCAAGACCTGTTCTAATGCTTTACTTCTATTAACTCTTAATCCTCTTTGTTACTTTAGTAAGGTAAATTCCATTATTTTGCATTTTATGTATGAGGAAATTGAGGGATAGAAAGTTTAAATAACTTTCCCAGGTCACGTAACTAATAAATGGAGAAATAAAAGTATAAAAATACAAAAGGGAAAGAGTAAGAGCAGGAAGTGTATAAGGGATAGAAAATGGTCAACAGGCCAGGTGCAGTGGCTCACACCTGTAAACCCAGAACTTTGGGAGGCCAAGGCAGGAGGATTGCTTGCACTCAGGAGTTAGAGACCAGTCTGGGCAATATAGGGAGACCACATCTCTACAAAAATAAGAAACAAAAATATTAGTCAAACGTGCTGGCACATGTCTGTGGCCGCAGCCACTCAGGAGGCTGAGATGGGAGGATCACTTGAGCACAGGAGGTCAAGGCTGCAGTGAGCCATGTTCATGCCACTGCACTCTAGCCTGGACAATAGAGTGAGACCCTTTCTCAAGAAAAAAAAAAAAAAAGAAAAGAAATAAATAGAGGTATAGGGCATTCTATCTAGAATTATGGAGGTTACCACCAAAAGAACTAAAAACAAGTTTAAATGAATTATTTCTAGAGAATGAAACTGAGTAAGCTCTTCCATACTATTTTATTTGTTACCATGTATTATTTGTTACTGAGTAAGCTCTTCCATACTTAGTAAGTTCTTCCATACTATTTTATTTCTTACCATATGCTTTGTATTATTTTGATGACATTTTAATTCTAATTTAAGCTTAATATAGTATTTAAAAAGTCCTGGGTTCTCCTTGGGACCAGAACTTTAAAAGATAAGAAACACTCATGACCAGTGTCACCAACATTGGAGCAACAGTGAAGTCTAAGCACATGATCTTCAAGAGGAAAGCAACTCGTCCGTGAGCCTGGAGGTCCTCCTGCACCTGGAATAATTATTTCCATGGCCAACAGTGACAGATGGGCTTCATTGTGTTTAAAGAGCCCATGGGTTTCCTTATAGAGGACCAAAGGCCTTCAAGAGAGCCCTGGCCCTGCCCCACTCTGTCAGTCAGGATTCTGACAGGAAACAGAAGTAGTTGAGATTCTGAAGGCAATTCCATAAAGTGATGAGTTACTGAGGCATGGGAAGGGTAGACAAGCCACAGGGGATGCTGAGCAACCAGGGACTAGCAACCTTGGAAGCCCCATTACCACTCCTGGGCTTCCAGGGGAGAGGCAAGGAAGCCCAGTGGGAGCTGTAGATGTGATTGTTGCTTTATCCTGAATTCCCTTAGCCCACATCTGAGTTGACCTGTGTGAGGTGAGCACTTCCTGCCGTGCTGACAGCTTCCCACCTCCTCTTCCCACCTTTCCCAGGTGTCTCTCCTCTCTGCTTCCCTACCTGAGGGCTTTCCCCAGTTCAAGGAAACTGGTTCGGCCCTTGCACAGGACAGAGCTAAAATACAGGTAAAACACCCCCAGAGGCAACAAGCTAACTAGGAATGGTAGTCGGTGGTGAATATGCAACATTCCTTGGTCGGGAGATTCTGAGAGGAATTCCGTACTGTTCCTCAAAGCCCAGTAGGACTGATCCTCTGATGCCCACAGTGGCAAATGTTCATCAAAGCTCCCTCTTTTGGGTTTTCTTCCTTCTCTGTCCCATTTCTCCTTTTCCTCACATGTGCTTCCTGGCATCACCTCTCTAATACATCATCTTCAGCCAGCACTTTTCTCAGCATCCACTTTTGGGGAAAAGGTACCAAACAATGACACCATGGAAAGGAGGCTGCCCATTAGAGTCTGTAATTGGAGGGAGAAGGGAGGAGTTAAGATAGGAAGGTCAAGTTCAGTTTATTGGTTTATTTCTATAGTTAAGATAGGAAGGCCAAGTTCAGTTTATTTCTATAGCTGCTGTAACAAATTATGAAAAACTTGGGGGCTTAGCTTAAAGCAACTGAATTTATCTTCTCACAGTTCTAGAAGCCAGAAGTCTGAAATCAAGGTGTCATCCGGGCTGCAGTTCCTCTGAAGGCTCTAGGGAAGAAGGCTTCCTTGCCTCTTCCTAGCTCCCAGCAGTTCTTGGCTTCTAGCTGCATCACTCTAATCCCTGCCTCCATCTTGACATTGCCTTTTTCTCTGTGTGCCCTCTCCTCTTCTTATAGGAAACCAATCATTGGATTTGGGGCCTGCCCAAATTCACTGTGACTTCGTCTTAACTAATTACTTTCACAAGACCCTATCTCCAAATAAGGTCACATTTTGAGTTTCCAGGTAGATATGAATTTTAGGGGACACTAATGAACCCACTATAGGGGGGAACATGGAGAAAGATAGGGGAGTACTCAGACTTCCATGTCTTTCCATCCAACAATCTCTTTCAAGAGAACAAACCCAATTAGAAGCAAGAGGGCAAATGAGATTGGGATATGCAATATGCAGATTCAGCATCCTGGGGTCCAGAGAAAGGTGAAGGTGACCTGGAGACAGGAGGGGAGCAATGGGGAGTAATCTGCCTCTTTTGCAAAGGCTTTATTTCTCCTGTGATTAGAAAAAGAAAAAAAAAAGATGTTGGTGGGGCACGGTGGCTCATGCCTGCAATCCCAGCACTTTAGGAGGCCAAGGCAGATGGATCACCTGAGGTCAGGAGTTCAAGACTAGCCTGACCAACATGAAGAAACCCCGTCTCTACTAAAAATACAAAATTAGCCAGACGTGGTGGTGCATGCCTTTAATCCCAGCTACTCGGGAGGCCGAGGCAGGAGAATCGCTTGAACCCAGCAGGTGCAGGTTGCAGTGAGCCGAGATCATGCCATTGCACTCCAGCCTGGGCAACCAGAGTGAAACTCCATCTCAAAAAAAAAAAAAAAAAAAAAAAAAAAAGATGTACTGACATCCCCTAAGGGCCCATGAGATTCTGCATCTTCCTGGGGTAGCACTACCTGCCCACAATAGAAAGGATGCTTATATGGCAGGGTGGGAGGGAGGGGCAACAACTGCCCTGGCATCTGAGGTCTGACTGGGTTTGCACATCATGTGGAACCCTGTCCCTGTCCAAGATGGAGCATACTGCTTTCTACTTCCTGTCCCTGCTCTGGTTTCTCCTTGTTTCCTTGTGCATGTCTGGATTGGCACACCCCAATACATTCGGAAGACTCAATCCACTTGCACATGAGCTCCTGGACATTAAGTCCCCTTTGGTTTATGCTTTTGATGTTTTCTGCCCATACCACCCAATTCCCTAGGCCCAGGTTCTTAGCTGCAGTTTTTTATTTTGCCTAACTCAGGAATTCTTACAGCAGATAGATGTTTTCAATTTACTAGTGATGAACATAAACCTCTCTTTTAACATAATAATTATGGATCCATTAAGAGCTACTATTTATTGGGTACCTAGTGTCTGCTAAGGGCTATGCTAAGTTTTCTTTATAATATTACTTTATTCATGCATCAACATGATCTAACTTAATCCTCTCTACACTTGAAAAAGTAGGCATTATCAATACAGATAAGGAAGGTGAGATGAAGCTATTTGCTCCAGGTCACATAGCTGGTTTAGTGGCAGAGCCAGAATTCAAATTCAGTGGTGACAGACTAAAGACATGCTCTTCTCACTCATGTTTCTTCCCATGAAACTGCCTGGCCCGGCAGCGAAGGCAGCTCCAGCCTTTGATTTCTGTGTTGTCCCCAGCCTGACATGGACATTAGTCCGGTAAAGAACAAGCAAATACCAAATGTATGGCTGTTTGAATGTGAAATGGGGTTTACATTAGAAGCACAGAAACCAAGCGCAAATCAAATGTGATTATGAAGTGACAACTGATTTTTTTTTTGAAATGTCCCTTCTTTGAAATGTTACCTGGAGAGATGAAATGTTTGATTTAATCAGTGTTTAATTACAAAGTATTTACTGAATTCTCTTATTTAAAAGAATTGCCTTTAAATACTGTGATCCCTTTCATTTATTTTTTAATTTTAAAACCATTTTTAAGTGTATGGTTCAGTAGTGGCAGGTATTTATTTATTTTTTTATTCAGTGAATATTTATTGACATTTTCCAGATTTGTGGCACTGGGGAAAGTACTATAAGGGACAAAAAAAATTATAAGACAGTCTTCACATTCAGTCAGTTCTCAGTGACTTTGTAATAATTGTTTAATTTTGAAAGTGTGCTTAACTTTTTGTAAGCAACTAAAAATTATTCAGCAACATGTTTGAGTAAATGAGGTGAGAATCCAAGCTGGATATTACCATTTTCTATCAAAGGTGAGACATAATCCCCAAGTTATGAGATTGAATTCCTTGACTAGTTCTGAATATAATTTTAAAGGTGAAAGTCTTAAGATTCTCAATGATTCCAAAAATCATAGAGTCCTGAAGAGCGCGTCTTTAAGCGAACCAGGCATTTTCTATAGCTTAAATAAGGTTTCACACACATATATACCCATATTTTTAACAACGATTGATAAAGTAAACAATAATCTTAAAGCACTATTGACTTTATAGCAGCCTTTTGTTCATTAAGAATACACAAAGTTCAATTACCATTGCTATGATCTGAATTGTGTCCCTACAAAATTCACTTGTTGAAGACCTAACCCCAATATGATGGTATTTGTAGTTGTGGCCTTTGGGGGATAATTAGGTCGTTAGATGGGATTAGTACCTGCTATGGTTTGAATGTGTCCCCTAAAGTTCATAAGTTGGAAACTTAATTCCCAATGCAGCGGTGTTGAGAGGTGGGATCGTTAAGAGTTGATTAAATCATGCATGCTCCACCTTCATGAACGGATTAATGCCATTATCAAGGGAATGGCTTTGCTATTGAGAGAGTGGGTTTGTTATAAAACCCTCCTCTTGCTCTCTCATGCTCTCTTGCCCTTCCATCTTCCGCCATGGGATGATGTAGCCCAAAGGCCCTTGCCAGATACCGGTGCTATGCTCTTGGACTTCTCAGCCTCAAAAACTGTAAGAAATGAATTTTTTTTCTTTATAAATTACCCAGCCTGTGGTATTCTGTTACAACAATACAAAATGGACTAAGACAGTGCCTTTATTTAAAAAAAAAAAAAAAAAAAAAAAAGCTACTCATCCACCCAGGAAGAAGGCCCTCATCAGCAACTCAACTATACTGGCACCAAGATCTTGGATTCCAGCTTCCAGAACGGTAAGAAATAAATGTCTGTTCTTTAAGTCACCCAGTCTATCGTATTTTATCATAGCATCCCGAGCTGACTGAGACAACCACCAAGAGTAACTATCATGAAGCAATGAGTAGGGACAAGCCTCATTTTAGGATCATTAAAGGATCCTTATACAGCTTCAAATTACAGAATGTCAGACATAGACTGGACCATAGTGATCATATGATCCAACAGTTTCCAAACTCAGGGTGCCATAAGCCTTTGTGCAAACTTTTCATTTTTTCTTTTAGATGCAGGGGATTTGTTACATGGGTATATAGCTTAATGGTGGGGATTGGGTTTCTACCGTACCCATCACCCAAATGTTGAACATTGTACCCAACAGGTAATTTTTGAGCCATCATCCCCCTGCTTCCCTCCCTCCTTTTGAACTCCCTGGTGTCTATTATTTCCATCTTTATGTCCATGTGCACCCATTGTTTAGCACCCACTTATAAATGAGAACATGCAGTATTTGATTTTCTGAGTTAGTTCACTGCAAATGTTTAAAATGCATCTTAGGGCCAGGTGTGGTGGCTCACGCTTATAATCCCAGCACTTTGGGAGGCCGAGGAGGGTGGATCACGAGGTCAGGAGTTCAAGACCAGCCTGGCCAACACCGTGAAACCCTGTCTCTACTAAAACAAAAACAAAAAACAAAACAAACAAACAAACAAATATATATATATATATATATATATATATATATATATATATATATATATATAAATTAGCTTGGCATAGTGGCAGGCACCTGTAATCCCAGCTTTTCAGGAGGCTGAGGCAGGAGAACTGCTTGAACCCGGGAGGCGGAGGTTACAGTAAGCCGAGATCGTGCCACTGCACTCCAGCCTGAGTGACAGAGCTAGACTCGGTCTCAGAAAAAATAAATAAATAAAATGCCTCTTGGACACCAGGACGTACAGCTTGGTGAGTAAAGCACATGTTGCATTCCAGCTTCCACTTGCCCTCTTGGGCACCAACTACCCACCCATATCTATCAGCCTTTCCCCAACTTTACCTGATGATACAAATTACCTGGGGCCCTGGTGTAAAACAAAGATTTGCTGATCACTCCCCTGAAGATTTTGATTCAGTAAGTCTGAACTGTGACTTTGGGATTCTGTACTTATCATGATAACCTTCGTGATTTAATAACCAGACAAAATGAAAAACATTGATTTAGACCCAGCCCTCATTTTACAGATGAGGTCAAGGGGGATGAAGTGACTTTCCAAGTCCCATAATGAGTCAGTGAACATCATTGGAATAAATGTATAGGGGTCCCAAGTGATCACATTAAATAGGCCAAGAGTCCTTTCTCTCTCTCTCTCTCTCTCTCTCTCTCTCTCTCTCTGTGTGTGTGTGTGTGTGTGTGTGCGTGCACGCGTGCATTCCATATTGCCTGGGTTGAATTAGAGAAGCAGAAGCACTATGAATGATATGGAAGGAGGCATTGCATATAGGGATTAGACCACATGCAATTGTGGGAGTGAGAGGAGGAATCTAGCGTTAACCCAAAAGTCCAAGTAAATGCCATGCTGCTGTCTCTGCATCTTGTGTTGGGGCAGCAGTTGGGAATGAAAGCTGAACATGGAGGAAGGCAAACTGGAGCCCACCTGGACAACTGGAACCCATGAGGACAAACTGGAACCTGTCTTTGTCTCTAAACACTTCCAGGCTTGATACTGAATTGCCCTGCAGAAGAAGCTGGTGCCCTTTGCCAGGGAGTGGCCATGATACATGGCCCAGGACTTGGAGAAGCTGAAGGAAGAGCTCGAGGAACTGTGGGTTGCAGTGATATGCCCCTGTGTGAGGTAAGCTAGAAGAACAGTGACAGCGTGCACAGTGCCGCAGTGCATGGCACCTACGCCAACCTTCGGAGCCTCAACATGGACACTCCATCACTTCCACAAACTTCTCTCGTGACCATCCCTATCCCAGAAACAAGAAGAGAAAGAAATCCTTAGAAAGGCAGTTCCAGCCTGGCTAAATGAACACAGTACAAAACCACCACGTGTTCTTGTATAGCTTTTACTGGATTGAAAGTGCCAAGAAAGTTCTGTTAATTGTTATAATTCTACACAACATCTAGTAGGATGCTTTGCATATAGTAGGTACTCTGTAAATATGCTCCATTTGGATGAAATAACCTAAATATTAGTCTTGTTGGTTTGCAGTCACACATGAGTAGGCAAGCCAAACACAGCTGTGCAGCCATCAGAGTGCAGAAGTGATCTCTAATGACTGCAGCCCGCTCCTCACCCGCTTAATTGCTTCTCCGCTGTGGCTCCTAAACTGCCAAGTGCACCATGCATTTAATATCCCTCCACACTTAAGATTGCTCATGATCTGAAATCGTGTCAAGAAGACTTGAACAAAAGTGGGAAATTAAGATCCACAGTAAAATCCCTTGAAACTCAGAGTGGAAAAAATGACAAAAAATAACCTGCCACAGTCCTAGCCAAGAGGGCAGTTATTATAACTGGAGAGGCGGGAGTGAAGCGATTCAGCCCAGGTGAAGAGGCCGCCAGCAGCCCCCATATCCACAGCACCAGAGATTTTTTCCAAATCCCACTTCAAATCTCATAATCCCTCCATCCTTAACTGCTGAGGATGAAGTCACCCTTTCCTTCGTTTCAGACAGAGGCTCACCACTTCTGCTTTAGGGCACTGCTGTGGTCTAGCAAGCCTGTGGCTTTCAGGCTGGCTTAGAAAATCCAATCGCACATGGAAAAACACAATATAAAGAATTATGGTCTCTTTTCCTCCTTTATAAATAGATGTCATTAACTTTGGATCAAGCAAGGGCATAACTGTTCTAGATCACTGAAAGAATTGCAGAGTGTTTTTCAATACTGTCGAATGGATGGACTTTCCTGTTGCAGAGCGGTTGTAACTATGCTATCATTGGAAGGCTGAGAAGTATCAATTTTCAGAGATTTGTCACTCTAAAAAACCTACAGAAAATGGAACAGAAAATAGAATCAGTAATACATAGACATGCTCACATCTGCATATTGCTGATACTTGCCTGAGTTATCTAAAATTCTCTGGTTCCACTCAAAGGATTTTCAAGAAATAGGAGGTTTTTCTTTTCTATGTTTCTTCTTCATTCTGTCTTATGTCTGTCTGTCTCCTTATATCCATCTAAGTATTTATCTTTCTGTATCTATGTGGTGATACAGTCATCTGAAAGCCCTGGTTAATGTAGAGGTAGTAAGTCATTCATTCATTCATCAGACATTTTATGAGCAACCACTATTTGGCAGGCACTGTGCTAAGTGCTGAGTATACAAGGGTAAATAAGTTGCAACTCCTGTCCTTGGATCTTACCAGTCTATTGGTGGGAACAGGCTTTTAAACAGATAAATTGCAAGATGCTAAGAGTAAAGGCAGCACTGAGTGCTCCGTGAGCAGAGGAGGGAGCAACTCACTGCACTGAAATAACATTTTCCAGTTGTCTCAGAGAATCACCCTCATGCACACATTTCCTGGGCCATAAAATATCCTTACAGATCATTTTGAGTTAGTTTTTCAGGGTTGAGCTAATTCAGTGGAATGAGGGGTTGTCTTTCTCTGCCAAGGCCTACCCTTATGTCAGGGAGAGAGGGGTGGGTAGAGAAAAACACAGGGACAGGCAGGAGGGGAGGAGGGCCCTTGTCTCTTTGCCTGCCGTGGGACCAGCACATTTAAATTCCTTGGTGCTGTTAGTGAATCATTAAGTTGTTACGAATTTTGGATGTGCGTGTTTGTCTGCCCTTCTGAAACTCCCGCCTTACCCTCTCTTCTGTCTCCCACTTCTTTTTAAAAAGGTCAGCAGAAATCACAAAGTCAAGGAAGAGTCTTGGTTTTTGTCCTTTTGGTGGATTAACCCAATCACATTGTGACATTTGTCTGAGTCATTAGGAAATCTACATTCCAAGGTCTATAAAATCCCATCCATGCCTCAGCAGGGAGAGGAGAATGCAGAGTTGCCAAACTTCACACTCTCCCAATCCTTGCTGAGTCTAAATTTGGACCCAAATGCAAAGAACTGGGGTTTTGTATTCATTTATAGCTGGCAAAAGGCAACTGCCTAGTTTGTGAAAAAGGACTTCATGGCCATCAAAAGCTGTTATGGTGTCACGTGGTGATGCGTTTAATGTAAATGAATCTGGAACATCTGGATCAAATTTCCTCTCAAATAAACAGGGCTATGAAAACTAGTGGGCAAAAATATCTTCTGGCCAAAGGCATTCTGGGTTATTCCTGAACCCCAACTGTCTACAGCAGTGATTTAAGAAGGGGCCCAGCAGCTGCTCTGCTATTTCTCCCTGCACCTGGGTCTATGGCAAATGAATCTGAAACAAAATGGACTGACCATGTAACCATCATTGTTGGAATTGAAAAACTGGAGAAATGTATTCATTTAACAATGGTTTACTGAGCACCTACTATAAGCCAGCTATTATGCTATAATCTGGGGATACTACAGGAAACAAGCCAGACCCAGACCCTGCTCTCTGGGAACTTATAGTTTAGAGACAACTTAGAGGCACACATTAAACAAGTTAGCATATAATCCATATAGTCAGGAATTCTAGGAATTCTTTAGGCACACATTAGACAGCATAGAATATGATGGTTGGCGTAGGTGCTGTGGGAGCTCAAAGCAGCCCACGTGAGTCACACTGTGGGGGGTGTACTGAGAGGGTGTTTCTGAGGAAGTGGCCTTTGGGCTGAAAGCTTGAGTATGTCTGTTTAACCATCGTATTTCTCATCACCCATCTCAATGTCTTGTACCTGGCAGGGCCTTAAGAAATGTGTGTTAAGTGAATGGCTTCTCCAAACAATGCGGAGAGTTAGGTGGGGAGGGAGTGGGAGAGTAGAAGAAGTGAAGGGCCCATTCCCAAGGTCAGGGTTAAGAGTTTGGAAATTGCTGGATCATATGATCATCACGGTCCAGTCTATGTCTGTCATTCTATAATTTGAAGCTGTATGAGGACCCTCTACAATCTCCTAAAATTAGGTTTGCCCATACCCATTGCTTCATGATAGTTAATCTTGGTGGTTGTCTGTCAGCTCGGGATGCTATGGTAAAATACCATAGACTAGGTGACTTAAACAACAGACATTTATTTCTCAAGTTCTGGAGGCTGGAATCTAAGATCTTGGTGTCAGTATAGTCAGGTACCTGGTGAGGACTCTTCCTGGGGGGTAGTTTTCTCCAGCCTCCTCCCAACCTCACCCTTCCCCATCTGACCCCTCTTTCTCTCCTGGTAGTGAGCTTTCTCTTCTATCTCACGTCCTGATAAGTCATTGCAGTGAGAGCCCAAGGTCACTAGGGTTTGATAGATAGCTTCCTAGAATTCCTGCTTTCAATGCATTTTTGGCCTGTGCAGATTCATTACTTTCTTTTTGTCCAGCAAATCATTTAAAAATCATTGTTTAAATCATTTATGTTATACTTTATCAGAAGGTGTTTTCAGATGTTCTAGTTGAGCATATTTCTGGAAAGAGAAAGGAAAGCATTTATATCTTCTCTACATTACTAGGTGAAAAGCTTTCTGAGGAGGGATTATTAATCTCTGTGCCAATTAAAGATCGATTGCATTTATCTTATTAATCCTTGTTTCTTATTTTCCCTGGGCATTATCCACAGACCCTAGCACAGTGATTAAACAGTTAGATGCCGTGATGGTTCATTGCATCTCTCAGCTTTAGCTAGGCTGTGGTGCCAAGTTCTTTGCTCCAACAACAGTCTAGATGTTGTTGTGAAGGTCTTTTTTTTAGATGTGAGGAACATTCACAACCAGTAGACTTTAAGTAAAGGAGAGTACTCTTCATCATGTAGGTGGGTCTGGGTCACATCCAACTGACCAAAGGCCTTAGAGCAAAGACTGAGGCTTCCCAAAGAAAGAATCCTGCCTTAAGATTGCATCAGAGAAACCCTGCCTAAGTTTCCAGACTGCTGGCCTGCCCTGTGGATTTCAGACTCAAGACTGCAACATCAACTCTTACCTAAATTTCTGGTCTGCCAGCCAGCCCTGTAACCTTCAAATTTGCCACCCACAGTTATGACTCAGTTTCTTAAAATAAATCTCTCTCTCTCCCTCTTGACATATAAAAATATCCAATTGGTCTGTTTCCTTAGAAAACCCTAACTAATACAGATGCTCAATAAATATTTATATTTATTGGTTAAATAAAATATTTATGAACAATAGGTATTTGATAAGTGCTTGTTATTTAATTGTGTGACTTTTTGAAGCCTCTGCCCTGAGGTCTGCCTCCCTTTCAGGGCTTGCCATGTTTCGATAGAAGAGTACGACCCTGCTATAGCTATGTTCCACTTTCTATGTTGCAATAAAGCGTTGGCAGATATTTAGAAGTATGTGCCAAAGCTTTCTAAATATCTGCCAAAGAATGGGTCCCATTCTTCAAGCTGTATCCAATTTTGTGTAATATAGAATACCCTTGTGCCAGTCGCAGAATTGAGACTGCTGCTTAGAACTGGTAAGGGTTTTAAGACGCATCCAGGAGAACAACAAGGGCTTCTGGGATTCCACAATCTACTCTGCCCAACTTTGCAGCATAAAAATTGTTAGCAAATTTTATACACCCTGCTGGCTAATAAAATGTGTGGCTTGGGGTTTGCAGCATTTCTGGGGCATTTCTCTTTACATTTATTTTGTTATTCAGATCCTAGCCACCTTTTGCTGTCAGGTTGGTGAAAAGCCTGGGGATAAAAAAATTAAAAAATTGGGGCCGGGCACAGTGGCTCATGCCTGTAAATCCCAGCACTTTGGGAGGCCGAGGAGGGCGGATCACCTAAGGTCGGGAGTTCAAGACCAGCCTTGCCAACATGGTGAAATTCTGTCTCTACTAAAAATACAAAATTAGCTGGATGTGGTGGTGCATGCCTGTAATTCCAGCTACTCAGGAGGCTGAGGCACGAGAATCATTTGAACCAGGGTGGGGTTGGTGGGGTTGCAGTCAGCTGAGATTGGGCCACTGCACTCCGGCCTGTGTGATAGAGCAAGACTCTGTCTCAAAAAAAAAACAAAAATTAAAAAAAATTAAAAAACCAGAAAAGTCAAAGGTTGCAAAGAAATAAGAAGCAGCTGTGGACAGAAGGACAGAGATGTTTGCAGAACTTCTGAAGGATGGGGAGCCCAGCAAATTTCACCTCTACTTTTCCAAGTTTACACTTCACACTTACTTCACTCCCCTGGCAACCCCTTCACAGCTTTCTAGGCTTAAGAGAAGCTGGGCTGCCGAAGGGCTGGTTCTTGAGATGTTGTCATGTGGATGGTTTTGACTCGGCTCGAACATGAGAGAAAGAGCTTTCAGTTACTCTGTGTAGCCTGGTGTACAAAAGTAAGGTAATTTTTAAAAAATTATAGTTAATCTAATATGGCTGTTTCTTTATGAGAAAAACTTGGAGCCAGGTCAGGGAACAAAGTTATTCTGGCGTTTAAAAATGTAAAACGGTTGCATACTGTGGAATATTATGGCCAGGGCTGTGTCTTTCTGGAACTCTTTCTGGAGCCCTTGATCTATACCTTAATCTGGAGGTAGCTAGATCGGCATATACATTTGTAAAAATTCATCAAGCTCTACACTTTAGATTTGCACCCTTTACTAAAAGTGAGCTGTGTTTCCATTTTTAAAAGAGAGAGCGAGAGACAGACTGGGCGTGGTGGCTCACATCTGTAATCCCAACACTTTGGGAGATCGAGTCATGAAGATCACTTGAGCCAGGAGTTTGAGACCAGCCTGGACAAGATGGTGAGTCTCTCCCATCTCTAAAAAAGATTTTAAAAATTAGCTTGGTTTGGTGGCCCATGCCTGTAGTCCCAGCTACAGGGGAGGCTAAGGCAGGAGGATCAGTTGGGCCCGGGAGGTTGAGGCTGCAGTGAGAGGTTGAGGCTGCAGTGAGCCATGTTCATGCCACTACACTCCAGCCTAGGTGACGGAGCAAGACCCTGTCTCAAAAACTAAATAAATAAGATAAAAAATAAAAGAGAAACGAAAAAAGGAACTCATAGTGTAGAGGGCAGATTAGTGCTAGTTCTTCTTCTGAGTCTCCACTCGCACTTAGAGGAGCAGCTCTGTGTCTGCTTAGTCCGGCCTCCTCTATTTCCTGTTTCCACATCTTCCCAACCTCTCCATAGGATCACCTCAGCCTCAACAGGAACATCATCAGCTTCTTCCTCCTCACTAACTAATGGGAATGCCACCAGAACCTTCCTGATGTGTACCAGAAGAAGTTGGGGCCAGGCCAGGGAGGAAGGTTATTCTGGCATTTGAAAGAATGAAAACATTGTCCTGTGATACACAGATGTGCACTCAGTATCCACAGGGCTGGCTCAGATGTCAGCCGGGATATTTGACAAGCAACTTCTGCTCTTTGAAAACCCCTCTTCTACTTTTTAAAAGAATTCCTGTTCTTTTAAACTTCTTTCAGGCTAGAACAGATATGCTAAATCTCATGCAAAGACAAATACAGGGCCTGTCTTGGAACCATATGAAGATTGAGTTTTGATTTTATCTTCTGTTTATTTCTCTGGCAGAGCTGATGTTATGTTCATGGTCAGTAGACATGAATGTGGAACTACTCGGACCCGGCGCGTTTCGTTCCCCAGCATGCTTACCTTGACTTCTCTTTCATTTCTATTCTCTAGTTCAACCAAATTCATAGAAGCATTATCTACTGGAAAATGAAGTTAAAACAAGCTGGGTTCTCTCCAAAAAAAGCAAAACTTGAAATATTTCTTAAAGGGAGGGAAAATACATCTGCCCCACTCATCACAATCTTCTTCCCATGCTGTCGGCCTTTCTTCCTCTCTCCCTCTCTCTGTCTCTGTCTCGTTACCTTTCAACCCTATACCCTCTTCAACACTGTGCCGTGCAGGTAAGCTTCTGGGAAGAAAGCAAACAAGAAACGGAAGCATGACTGAGCTACCCCCTTTCTCACCTTATAGGTTTAGTAAAACATCCGCCTTCATTGTTGGGATAAGAAGCTTTGGTAAGGAAATGAATATGCTTTGCTAAGTAAATGAACCAGATTTATGGGCACAAATGTATGCTTTTGTACATTCCACACTGGCCAGGTTCACCAAAATAAAATGTTCTCCTGCCCCACCGCCCCCCAATTTCAAGGGAAAAAGAGCTTAAGTGGAAGCAAAGCATATACAGACAGAGAGTTTGGCAGCTTAAAAAAAAAGTCTTTAAAATTTTTAGTTGAACCTTGGCTTTTGTCTCTAAGCCCTCAGGGGGAAAATGTGAGCTTGTTTCCTCATTGAAAAAATATCATGGCATTTGACAGGCTGAATTCTTTGATCGTCAAATGTTTCAGTGATTTCTCCAGTGCTCCCCCGATGCTCTGTCCCTCTTCACCCCCCACCTAACTGAGGCTTTGTAACCCGATGCTCTATAAAGAGCTTTTCCACAGGAGCATCAAGAGATGTCCTTGCTCAATATTAAACCTATCCCCCGACTGCCCTCCTTCGAAATACAGTCCCCTCCTGAGGCTTCCACCGCAGCCTTGGCTGGCAGGAGAAGCTGACCCAGCTGTTTTGAATTAGGGGCAATGGGAGGCTTCCTTGTAATATATGACTTAATCAGTGTCCCTGAAGTAAACAGTCCAAGCTGTGGCTGGAAATGACCCGACATTGGACTTCAACAACCTCCTTTGGCTCTGAAGCTGAGAATGAATTTGGATCTCCATAGGTGTGTTATAGGGGCTCATTAGCAGATAGATAGCTGTCCTTGGACCTCTGGAGGAGTGAAGTATTCATGTGGTAGTTGTGTATTATTAGGGTTACCAGATAAAACACAAGATGCCCAGTTAAATTTGAGTTTCATATAAATAAGAAATCTTTTAGTATAAATGTTCCAAATATGGAATGGCAACCATATTGTAAATGATGCTTCAGAAGTGAAAGAGCCATTCTGTTCTTTGTGTTACCTCCTTCCCACGGAGGCAAGGGGTGTCAGCTCCTGTAAGGCTCCATCTGTAAGCCTTGAGTCATCTCTGTTTCTGTTGGTTCATGATTTCTCTTTAATACCAGTTTTCTGTCACTTTGACCAGGTGAGGAGTTAGTTAGCCTCATGAGTAAGCTGGGTGATGGCTGTCAGTGTGTACCATCCTATAAGCCAGAGGCTGAATGCTTAAAATGTTGTCATTATATAGATCAGTTCCTTTATATCTTAGGGTTTTGTTAACCTACTAGTTATATTACCCATCATTAAATAAAAAACAGAAACATACAAAACATAAAACATTTGAGTTGTTATAATTTTCCCTAACTGTAATCATTAAGAGCATTGTGTCAAGTTTTTCAGCTTTATAACGAAGCTTCTTTATAAATCTTATTTCATTGTTATTGTTTAAGGCCTGCATGGAAAATGACTCATGAAAAATGAGGTGGAGATGGCAGAGCTGCTTTGGTGTAATATTGAGAAAGGAGTCAGAAGGCTCAAGGAGGTTGCAATGCTCAGATGAATTTAGTATGTAAGACTAGAGAACCTGCAACCTGACTACATTCCTTGGGAGGCCTCTGGTATATTCCTTTCACTAAAGGACTAAAGAATGCATTGGTGTAGGGTCCCAATATCTTCCAGCTCAGCGGTTCATGGGAGACGCTGCCACAGTACTGGAGAAGCCCTGGGAAGGCAGACAGTCCCAGGGCCTCACCATCCCTGCTTTCTCCCAAACCAAATCTGCTCCTACAACAAATTCCAATTCCTACCAAATGTACCACACTCCTGAAATGGTTGTGAGAGGTGAAGGCTCCTGATCGCCTTCATCCAAGGACATCTCCTCTGTCAGGGAGCACAGTCTTCCTAGCAGGTGTACACCCAAGAGGGGAACTTTTTTGATCACCTCGGCCAGAGCTATAGCTATTGGACAAAATGGGAGGAAAAAACAACAGTAGAAGCCTATTAGATTGGATGAAGGAAAGGAAGCCCCAAATCATCCCTCATGCTAGTTAGGAAAGACAGGGCATTTGAGGATTAAAGAGATTTCTCAAGAAACACAACAGGAAATGCAGAGAGGCCTTACAATCGGTGACCAGAAGGATACACTGGGACAGTGAAAAACCAGATAAGATTTGCAAGAGCCAACAAGAAGACCAAGAATCATGGCACTGGACATAAAGGACAGTGAAGAGCTTAGCTAGGATGGACCAACTCCACACAGGAGGATATAGTAAGAAACGACGAGAGGAAAATTGTTAGCATGGTGCATAAGGCAGTCTAGTCTGCTCACCTAGAAATTCATAAGGAAAGAGCAGATATATTCACATCATCAACACGGGAGGCAAAAGCAGAGTTAGCTAAAAATTAACATGATGATAAGAGAAAAGGGGGAAAGGAAAGGATTAAAAGAAAAAGGAAGAAAATGAAACAGGCAAAGATACAGAATTTAAAGTTTAATTTTTATTTATTCCTGTTCTCACATTTTATTATATTTCCCTGGCAGACAGCCCACGTTCTGGTAAGTCTCGGGAAAGGGGAAGGGTTGGCAGAATAATGTCACTGTAGGGATTTGAATCTTATTACTTGGTGCCGCTAGTGTTGGGCAGACATTTATAAAAATTACATGCTGTGGTGGCAGGTCATTTTTTAAAAAAATGAATCTGGAGCTGAAAATTTAGGACAAAGGTGGGGGTTTCAGATTAGTTTAAAAGAAATGAAAGAAAATGGGACAAAGTCGTTGAGAAGGTGGGGAACCCTCCAACAGCGATCGGCTCAGAGGGAGCTGGAGAGCCCACGGGTTACCGAGAATGAGAAGAACCCAGCTGCCAGATCCCTGATGAGCCAGAGACATTTGCTTCATGGAACTTGTCTTTGGAGGCTTGCTTCTCTAGGGATTTCCCATTAAATTAACATTATGGGTTACAAGTATAGACAAAATCATTGGAATTGTGTTTGGATGGTGGATATATCTATTAGCCCTGCTTTTTCTTCTCTCTCATCTTCATCTCCCTTTTTCCTTCTTGGTTTGCTCTCATTTTCTGCTTGGGAAAATATTGACGTGTGCCCCCTTCATGTGCTTCCCTCCATGTGCCCCCTCCCCATTCTTTTCTCTCCTTTGCTCCTCTTTGTCGTGACAGCGATGGGGGCATATTAAAGTGATGCCTGCCCGAGAACCGCTGCTGCCTATATTCTTCCTGCACAGATTCTGTAGCTGGCACTCTGTTCCCCGGGGATAGGACCTTGGTCCCCACTTAGAGAATCTCCCTAGCCCATGCCTAGTGGCCTTCATAGCAGCTTCTAAGATTCTTTGGAAGGGTGACATCCTCCACCCAAGTCAGGCCCTCCAGACCCCCCAGTGTCACCCCTGTGTCCTCAGCCTCTGGAGCATCTTCCCTTCCTCTTCCTTCCTGCTGCAGCTTTGTCAGATCATTTTCTAAAACACTTGCCCAATGGGAGAAGGAAGGGTTTCAGGTGCATATTTCCCTAAGTGACTTTTTGCTAAAAGGCAGCCTGGGAGAATATTTATAATCCAAACGGTCCACAGAGATTGCCATCCCATGTGACCCTCATCACCTAAGGGTTCTCTCGGGTCTGAGATGGGGGGAAGTAGAAGGCAGCCTGCAGTGCCCCCTCCCACACACTGCCTGCTCTTGCCTGGTCTCCAAAGAGTGCTGACGCCTGCCTTCTGAAAAAACAGAGTCTGTAAAGTGATATTTGCCCCTTTCTAATCACAGAAAAGTTGTCAGACTGGTTCTGAGCCTCCCAGAGGCATTGCTTTTTGCTGCACAATTTGATGTGTGTTATTGTGTTTTAATCATGAAATTAGTGCATCCAGGATCATTAAAAATGATTTTCATAAGGAAATCTTTCAAAATTATTCTTGGTTGCTCAGTGTCTTACTTTAGTTCTGTTATCCCTACTTGATAGTGTGTGTTTTTGTTATTTATTTGGTGTTGTGTAGATCAGAGAAGCATTTTTATTGGTAGTATCCTCATTTGCATCTCTTTATGTTTTTAAGACAATAAATGGCATTTTACTTCAAAACTCCCTCATATCCATGGACTTAGAAAGATACAGACTAGACTCATATTTCCTGTATTAAAATATTTGCACAAAAACACTGTACTTTCTGGCGTGTCAAACAAGCTAATGTGTCTCCTGAGAATTGTGTGTTCAGACATGAACAACTCCATGAACTTTTTTGTGTGTGAATCATTTGAGCTTTGAATGGGTTTCCTCATGGGGAGATATGATTGCATAAAATATTCGACTTCTACCTGAAATGTATCATGAGGTAGTCTTTCAACAAAGACTGTTAGTTCGACAATGGATAAGCAGTGTTTGAGAAAATAAACTCTGCATGGACAAAAAGCTTTCAGTTTCTTGCTTATATTCTGTCTTCTTGGGAGACCAAAGAGCTCTCATGAACTCATGAAATTTGAACCTCAAAGATTCGTCTAATTGAGCTATTTCTGTTTCCACATTTTATTCCCAGTGGCCAGTTTCACACCTATAACATTTAAGAGACTTGGAAAACCTGGGAGATATTTTCAGCCTGTCAGGACGCCTTTTTTTTTCCCCTCTTCCTTTGACTTTTAAAAAGGAGCTATTCACTCTCACTCTAATTTTTGCACCAAGCAGCCCATCTCTTAGTTTTTTCAGATCCTCACAGGGGATTTAAATGATGAAATCCAATTCTCCATAAGCAAAGATATTTCTTAGGCTTTTAGAAGTGGAAGAGACTTGGAGGACATTCAGTCTTTCCCATTTAAACGGCTTCAACCCAGGAAAGGATCCAGGTAGAGGGAGAAGGAATCCCACAACACTGGGAGAGACTTCACACAGAAAGAAAAGATCATTTCCACCTTCAGACTCCAGACATCTTTCACCATCGACTCCTGACATCAAAGTGACAAGATGTGGGGGTGGGACCTAAAGGTTTGACTTTTGGTTTGGGTTTAAAATGAAGTGACAGTGTTTCCCTATAATCAAGTTCTTTAGCTTCTAGGTAGACTAAAGTGTCTTTCCTTTGAGACCATAGCTGAGATGAGCCCAGCACAATTTCCACTGCCTGCAACCCACAACCTCATCTTTGGCTCCTACCATTTGGCTTAAGGTCAACTTCTCTCTAACCCCTGCCCTCCTCCCTGGGAAGATTCTGTTGCCTGATCTTTCTTTTCCCACACTCCATTAGACAGCATGATATCTGCCTCTGCATTTATTTATTAGGACTCAGATCTGTAATATACAATGGTACCCTTCCTGTATGATGCTGTATCTGTATAACAGAGAGAATAAGAGGCTCTGCTTGCCATGGAACTGTCATGGCCAGAGGCTTGCAAAAGAGCTAACCCTCAGGAGGCCCCTCAGAGCCAAATGGCTTTCTCAAAACTTCACCCTCATGATCCAGCAGTCCAGACAGGCAGCCATAAACAGCACCTTGTGAGGGACTTCATTTGCAACTGGCAACCTTACACCCACATGTCTGGCCCTCATTTAGTATGCTAGCTATATTTTTTAAAAATTAACATTTTGCCTAATAAGTCTCCTCTTTGTCATTGTTGCTCTCATTCAACATGTCCAAGCAGGCTACAGAGCCAGGGTGTATTTTTCTTTAAGCAGATAATACAGTCATATGTTTCATAACTCAAAATGACATTTTAACAGTGTGCACTGAGAAGTCTCGATCCCACCCCTGACCCTGGGCACCCAGTCCCACTCCCCTGTATGTAAGCACTTTTATAAGTTTCTTATCTATCCTTGCAGTGCATCTTTTTATTTTTACTTTTCCACCTGTTTTTTAATAAAATTTTTTATTTTAGAATGTTTTTAGATTTACAGAAACACTGTAAAGACAGTAGAGAAAGTTCTTGTATGCCCTCATCCCATCTCCTCTATTGTTATTATCTTATATGGTCATTGTGCATTTGTCACAACTAAGAAGGAAGCACTGACTAGTATGTTACTATTAACTCTGCGCTTTATTCATATTTCACTAGTTTTTCCATGGATGTCCTTTTTCTGGTCTAGGACCCCATCTGAGATCATGCATTGGTTGTCTTGTCTTCTTTGGCTCCTTTTTGCTGTGACAGTTGCTCACATTTTGCCTGGTTTTGATGACCTTGACAGTCCTGAGGAGTGCTGTGTTGGGTGTTTCGAAGAATGTCCCTCCGTTGGGGTTTATCTGATGATTTTCTCATGATGAGACTGGGGTTATGGATTTGGTAGGGGAAACCACAGAGGTATATTGCTACTCCCATCACATCATATCCGGAGATCCATGTGTCCACATGACTTATTATCCTTGTTGTGAACCTTAATCACCTGGCTAACGTAGTGTCTGCCAGGTTTCTCCATCATGAAGCTACTTCCCCCACCCTCTCTTTTCATGTTCCACTCTTTGGAAGCAAGTTTCTGACAGCAGCTGCACTCAAGAGTGTCTACGGTGTTTCTTCATCTGTGTGTGGTAAATTGGCAGGGCCCTTAGGAGTGCCAAACCTATGCTAAGACTGTTCCTCCAAGTGGTACTTTCCTAGCAGGATCTCACCTCTCAACAGGACTCACACATTGTCAGAAGAAGTTCATGCACTTCCCAGGTTACTGGGCTTTTGCTCTGTCATTTTAATTATGTCTCCTACCTAAGCCCTCTGTATCAAAAGCAGCTTTGGCCGGGGTGAGCACCATACCCTCTAGTCTACACTAGGACAATGCTCTCTCCATTAAGTTTCAGTGGCTTTGTGTTGGAATTTGTTTTGATCTGAGCCCTGAAAAAGAGTGTGTGGCTCACAGCATGGTTATTTGGATACATGCACACAGGCTTAAAATTAAACATGTCTGTTTTTTAGTTCTAGCTCTGGAACTTTCTGTGGGGAAATAGAAATCTTTTAACCTATTTCTATGTTATCACGGACTCCTGCACTGTAGGCTTGGGAAATTCATTTTGCCTCCCAGAGTTTCAGAGTTCCTTCCTGCCAAGGGGAGATGACAGTGTGAGGCCTGGGCTGCATATCCTCCTAAGCACTCTGTGCTGGACTGGATGGACCCAAGCAGGCAGCTCCCGATGGTAAAGGCGGTGTGCTGTGAAGACACTGAGCGCAGAACACCCACTCTGTCCTCTGTGAAGGGCTCACAGGCCACGCAGCATGGAGTGCATGGTAATACGCATAAGTTCTCCATGGTTCTGGGAGAAATAGCTCCACCCACATATGAGTAAGTGTCGTCTGCTCTGTTATTGCAGCAGTAACACCAAATTTCTTCCACTTTCAGTCAGTTTATAAAAATAAGAGAGAAAACAACCTATTCTGATGAAAGAGTATAAACATTCTTGGAAGATATACTTTTTTTTTTTTTAACAGACAGGGTCTTGCTCTGTTGTGCAGGCTGGAGTGCAGTGGCACAATCTTGGCTCACTGCAACCTCTGCTTCGTAGGCTCAAGTGATTCTCCAGCCTCATCCTCCCATATAGCTGGAACTACAGGTGTGTGCCACCAACACTCGGCTAATTTTTTAATGTTTTGTAAAGCCGGGGTTTTGTCATGTTGCCCAGGCTGGGAAGACATAAATATAATCTCAGGGGTGGGAATGTTTTTAATGAGAAGTAAAAATATCAGGTCAACTGATAAGACTTGTAGAACTGACAAAATGAAAATTCATTTTACCGAAATCTGGCAGCCCCTTCAAGACTCTGCTGAAGACTCACCTCCTAAGTTATAGCACAGTCTTAACCGTAGGCAAATCATACCATGTTAAATTCTCAGTACTCACTCATTCTTTCAACCAGTAAGCATTTATTGGCCTCCACTCTGAGCCAGGCACTGTGTTAGTTATTCATCTTAAAGAGCATGAAAAATATTGTTCTAAGTGTCAGCACTACCTTCATGACTCATTAAAATCTTTTAAATACATTTATCCAGGACCAAAATATACATCTTCAAGCCAACGATTATATTATTCCTTGGCCACACCTTCCAGCAAGTCATCATTTCTCTAACACAAACTACCCTGGCCCCAGAGAAAGTCAAGAGAGGAAAGTATGTGTGGGATGTTGTGGGTCGATTACATTAAAAGAATGTGACAACTTGATGTGGGTTTGTGATATTTCAATTGGCTTATACCAGGCGAGGGTGACAGATAGATTTATGTGGGGCAACTGTGTCCTGCTCCTTTTGGTTTCCTTAATCACAAAAATGTGGCAGAAAACTGGATGTTGTGGATAGACCATGGAATTATGTGGTTTCCACAAAGCATTGTATTTGGCAGTGGTTGGGAGACAATGGTCGTTCTCTAAAGATTCTGGGTTCTCTTAATCATGAAGGCAAACATTTGAGCATTCAGTCGTTCCTAACAAAGGCCTAAATATTATTATATCCAGGGCTTGTCTTGTCCTATGTGCTGAGTGAACCACTGGCTGATGATAGAATAGGCTCCCCCACCCAAAAATATTCTACCCACCACCCCCTTCCACTTCCCATTACCACCATCATTCCTTGCCTTCCCTTCCCACTACCAAATCTCTCTCAGATCTCCTTGGCTGCCACTCCTAGGCTTTTCACAGTGAAAGTCCTGGTGTACAATACATCTACTGAGATGGGCAATGCCTTGGTCCATTGTCGCCATTAACCACCTAAATTTGTTTATCAGATTAACTTAGCCACTTTGCAAGGCCCGGAGAGAATAAGAGGACAAGTGATTTATTGATTTTTGGTGGCAGAGAAGAAGAACCTAGAACAAAAGAATCTAAATAAATTGGCAGTATAGAACAGCAGTTAATCATGTGGTTCTCAAAGTCAGACTGCTTTCCTCGCTTACTCACTCTGTCATCTCCAAGAAGTTTCTTAACTGTTTTTCCTGCATTGGTACAACAGGAATGACAATAATAAGAGTACCTGCCTCATAAGATTGCTGTTGTGGCTGGGCGCGGTGGCTCACGCCTGTAATCCCAGCCCTTTGGGAGGCCAAGGCAGGGGATCACGAGGTCAGGAGATCGGGACCATCCTGGCTAACACGGTGAAACCCCGTCTCTACTAAAAAATATAAAAAATTAGCCAGGCGTGGTGGCGAGCGCCCGTAGTCCCAGCGACTCGGGAGGCTGAGGCAGGAGAATGGCCTGAACCTGGGAGGCAGAGCTTGTAGTGAGCAGAGATGCGCCACTGCACTCCAGCCTGGGCAAAAGAGCGAGACTCTGTCTCAAAAAATAGATAAATAAATAAATAAATAAAGATTGCAGTTGTGAGGGTTAAATGCGAACATTTTTATGTCCATGCATAGGAATGCCTGGCATATATTAGGTTGGTGCAAAAGTAATCGCGGTTTTTGCCATTACTTTTAAATGGCAAAAACCGTGATTATTTTTGCAGCAACCTAATAGTAAGTGCTTGATAAATATGCCGTCTTGAAGAGAGACCTGAGCAGCCAGATGTTAGCATGAGGGCCCTGGGGATTTTAATCATGTGCAGAGGGTAGAGAAACATTCCTGAGTAAAATATATTTGAAAACAAAGGCTCATAATCGTTTTGCTAGCAATTTGCTTCTACCCTAAGTGTGGCACCACAAACTTTTCTTAACCCTCCCTAAATACCTTCCAGGTTTCCATCAGTAATAAACAAAGGGATTGTCTGCTCCAATTTCTGCAGGGAGTATCCATTTACATTGTCCCAAAGGAAGGAGGACTCTTGCATTTTCTGAGTCATGGGTCAAATGTTGTCAAGTTTTTCATTCATTATACAGTAGAGAAGAGGCTAGGATCATGTCCACCCTGGGTCACTATAGTAGCTTGGGTGAAAAGTAACTTGGCCATTGAATCCCGAGGAGAGAAGAAATGCTTGAGTCCAGTCATTTTTACAAATACAAGGACAGAAACAAGGTCGAAAGTTGAAGTGTAGAAGACAGAGAGAAAAGCAATTTTTAAAGTCTAGACAGCATATTAACAACAAGGGCTTAATGTGTTGCGCTCTGTTTATAGGAGCTTTTTGCTGACAGCACGGAACCTGAGCCCTCCTCCCTCCTCATAGCAAGTTCCCTTCTGCTGTGTCAATAGAAGCCACCTCTTCTCAATCCTTGGAGGATTGGCGATCAGAGTTTGTACTTGGTGTCCACAGAACAAAGGGAAACAGAAAAAGGAAGCACATCTTGAGGACTTGCAATATTGGATAGAAGATGAATCTATCATACCAGTCTGATAGCAGCTCACAGTTGTATTTTAGCCTCCCAAGATTTTTTTTCTAGTAACAAATGAAAGGATAGATGAATAAGAGTTCATCAAACCTTTTCTATATGTATTTTGCTTTCCTAAGGAAAGCAGTTCGGGAAAGAGTTTTTCTTTCCTTTTTAGTCATTTTTCTAAAGTTACAAAATGTGTCAGGTACCGTGGCTCATGCCGCTAATCCTAGCACTTTGGGAGGCCAAAGCAGGAGGATTGCTTGGGCCCAGTAGTTCAAGACCAGCCGGGGCAACATAGTGAGATCCTCTCCCTTTAAAAAAAATTTTTTTTAATATAAAAAATATATAAATAAAATTATAAATGACTTTAATTAGAGTATTGGGGCAGTGGCTGGTGGGAATGTAATACATTTCACCTTTCTGGAAAGCAATTTTACAGTATGTAACAACAAGCCATCAAAATAGGCATATCCTCAACCCAGAAATTCCACTGGTAGGAATTTATACTATGGGGACAGTAGCATAAATATTTAGATAAGAGAACATTCTCATAGTATAATTTATAATAACTCCCCAAATGGAAATAATCTAAATACTCCAAAATAGGGGATGTGTTAAATAGAATACAGTGAGAGTGCCAAGCAGCCACTAAACACCTTCTTTAGAGAAGTTTTTCATAGTATTGATATACAAGGCAGTGTTTAAGATTCATTGAGGGTTGGTGGGCAGGCGCTAAGTATACTGTACAATGGGCTCCTGAACTTGGAGATAGATTGCAGGAAGGACTGACCTCTTGGGGTAAAAAAGGCAAGAAGGCTTTTAGCTGCCTGAATAAAATTCTGCCAACGAGACCAAAGCTAGCTGTGGAATCTGCCTGCCATTGTTCACCTGAGGCACCTGAATGAATGAACAGATTTCTCATAATTTGTGCACTGAGCTCTGGTTACATAAGCCACTAGCTGTTTGTGTAAATGGCTGTTTTACCCTTTGCTGAATTGGAAGGAGCCTGTTTGATTAGAACAGCTTATATAACTGAAACCTGAGACCGAAGGGAAGATTTGGCGGGGACTGTTGATTGCATTGGAGGGTGGATTGGAAAGGAAACTTTTCCAGAGTGAGAGGCTCTTATTTTGAGGCACTGATGTGGAACAAATTGTCCCCGACACCCCACCTAACCACATTAACACACAGTGGGATCTAACCCATCGATAGAAATGGGCTCTATTCCTTCTTCCAGGGGGAGAACAGGTCTGCTTCTTTCCAAGGATCAAGCCAGGTTAACACACATGTGCACAGAAGCCAGTCAGAATGCAATGTCGACGGCATGGGCTCCATCAACATTCCAACCCCCTCTGCTTTTTAAAGCTCAAAAACATTTTCATAAAGGTTTTTTGGGGTGGGATTTTATTTTTGTAAGAGTGGGTGTGTTTGTTGTCTTTTTTCCTCTTTAAAAACTTTTTTCCCCTTTTTTCCTTCCTGAATTTTAATGGGCCCTTAAGTAGGAGTCTGCTAGGATTTTAACATTCAGTGAAAAAAGGTACAGGATCTTCCTCTCTCCAAAGCAAGCCTAGAGTGCATTTTCCAGGCCTTTCTCCCACACCCACTCAGCTTAAACCTTAGAGGCTGTGTGGGTGCTGGCCAAAGCCTCCTGCTTCCAATGCATACGCTTCCTGTTTTGTCTTTCACCTCATTCGGACCCGGGGGTAGATTCAGTTCTCATCTTTAGACTCTGTTATTTCAGTTTTTGGTCTCGATGTCACTTAATCAGGAAAATTCTAATTCCTCAGGAGGGAGAATAAAGTCATGACTCTCTTCTTAGGTTTATATTAAAATCTCCTAGGAGCCCCTCAGCAAGTAGCCCAACTCCTTACCTTTGATTTTCCATCTGTAAAGGGAAAAACTGTAATGTGCATTTAGTCCTCAAATGCAATAATACCTGAAAGCCATTTGGGAGCAACTTAGGTCGTGTCTCATTCTCTGAAAAGGTGTAGATAATGTATCAGATCATTTAAATTGCATGCATCTTCAGATGTACAAATCAAATGTGTTTCCATCTATATGTATGACAGAAATGTTTACTCACAAACACACACATTACAGAGAAGCTGTATGCAAACTCTGACCACTGTCCCCCAACACATACAATGGTTTTCTGTGGGATCCCCTCTCACTTCAGCTACTTGCCAATCCCTGCCCTCACTAAGAAGGCCCCCTTCTAATTCAGAACTCTGCCCTCAGGAAGAATTTTGTTGTCCAAATTTCATACCAGAGGAGCTACAGTCTTGTTAAAATAGTCACAAAGGTGTGAATTACTTAGTATGGTTGATCCTGGAGAGGAGAGGTGCTTATTTCTTCTACCCCAGGGTGTCCTCTATTATAAGGTCCACCATCAATTTAATTTAGTAATAGCTTTGCCTTTCCTAGAGGAAGGGAAAACTACTACATTGATTATATTCATTAACAGGGAGATACATTCCAAGTTCAAGGGCAGGAAAATGGACATTATCATTTGTTTACTGTGGTTAAGAAAGCACAGACTCTGGAACAGATTGACTGGATGAGATCTCTCCAACACTGAACAGCTAGCTGTGTGACCTTGGGCAAGTGTCAACTTCTCTGTGCCTCATTTCTTCAACCGTAAAGCCAAGATAATAGTATTTCTCTTACAAGGTTATTGCAAGGACTAAACAATTCAATACACACAGGGTTATTGCAAGGACTAAACAATTCAATACACAAAGTGCTTAGAACAGTGCTTGGTAACTGATCAATACATTTAAGAATTGCTAATCCAGATGAATTTTTTTTTTTTTTTTTTGAGACAGAGTCTCACTCTGTCACCCAGGCTGGAGTGCAGTGGCGCGATCTCGGCTCACTGCAAGCTCTGCCTCCCGGGTTCACGCCATTCTCCTGCCTCAGACTTCTGAGTAGCTGGGACTATAGGCACCCGCCACCACGCCTGGCTAATTTTAATTTTGTTTTTGTATTTTTAGTAGAGACAGGGTTTCACCGTGTTAGCCAGGATGGTCTCGATCTCCTGACCTTGTGATCCGCCCACCTCGGCCTCCCATAGTGCTGGGATTGCAGGTGTGAGCCACCGTGGCCGGCTGAATCTTTATTTTTCTTATTCCCGAAACTTGGCAGTGTGTGAAAAATATTTTTTTCTAATTCCAAACTAATCTGATGAAATGTAGAGATCTTCTCTCCCCTCCTCCTGCAAAATACAAATCTGTTTAGACGCACAAAATGGGTTCATGGGTGTGATGATGTTGAAAAAAACAGACTCCCCTTCTTCCTGCTATACTCTCACCACACAGTCACACAACACTGCTAACACCAGCTGTGTTTCCCCACACACCAAGCAAGTAATCCTCCAGCAACAGACGCCAGCTGGATGTCCTCTAATTCATTTCAACTTGACACTCTCTACCTGGACACAGCGTCAGATCCCACAAGTTGAGGGTTCAGTCCTCAAGACAGCCACCTCCCCAACTGCCCAACTTCAGATGCCAATCACAAGCCACAGGTTGTTTCGCTTTTGCTTCTGACCCATCTGCTATAAATGGGGGTTCCCACAATCCCCCACTACGGTTTGAGTAATTTGTTAGAATGGCTCACAGAACACAGGGAAACACTTATGTTTACCAGTTCGTTATAAAGGATATTTTATTTTATTTTTTTGAGACCGAGTCTTGCCCTGTTGCCCAGGCTGGAATGCAGTAGAATGATCTCGGCTCACTGCAACCTACGCCTCCTGAGTTCAAACAATTCTTGTGCCTCAGCCTACTGAGTAGCTGGGATTACAGGCTTGCGCCACCATGCCCATTTTTTTATTTTTAATAGAGACAGGGTTTCACCACATTGTCCAGGCTGGTCTCAGACTCCTGGGCTCAAGCCATCCACCCGCTTTGGCCTCCCAAAGTGGTGGGATTACAGGCGTGAGCCACCGTGCCCGGCCAGGATATTTTAAATGATACAAATGAACAGCCAGATGAAGAGATACAAATGGTAAGGTCTGGAAGTGTCCCTAATGCTAGAGCTTCTGTCCCCTTAGAGTTGGGGAATGAATCCCCAGTATGTAGAAGTGTTCTGTTCCCCTTCTTTGATGCTCCCCCTCCCCAACCCAGTCCTTTTGGGCTTTTCTGAAAGCTTCATTACATAGGCCTAATTGATTAAATCATTGACCATTGGTGATCAACTTAACTTTAAGCCCTCTCCCTTCCCTTGAGGTTAGGGGATGGGGCTGAAAGTCCCAACCCTCTAATCAGGCCTTGGTGTTCATGTGACCGTACCCCATCCTGACACTACGCAGGGGTTGCCAACCGTCAGTCAACTCATTAGCACAGAAAAAGACATTGGCAATTCCAAGGATTTTAAAAGTTATATGTGCCAGGAAACAGAGACCAAATATATATTTCATAGTATCATTGTCCACCCCTACTCTTCAGACACCGATCTCTTACATCAAAAGGATATAAAAACTCAAAAGATCCTGCCTTATTACCAGAAACCAATTCAATTATTAACAGTTGGTCCAGTCCACCATATGGTATGAATATGTCTCCCAGAGTGAGGCCACTCAGGTTTGCAGACTTCCATTTGATCTTATCAGGTTCCAAAAGCCAGAGTGTCAGCCTGGGCAACATAGTGAGACCTTGTCTCTACAAATAATTTTAAAATTAGCTAAGCATAGTGGTGCACACCTGTAACCCCAGCTACTCAGGAGGCTGAGGCAGGAAGACTGCTTGAGCCCAAGAGATTGAGGCTGCAGTGAGCCATAATCAAGCCACTGCACTCTGCTCTGGGTGATAGAGAGAGACCTTGTCTCAAAAAAAAAGAAAAAAAGAAAAAGAAAAAAAAGCCAGAGTGGCCTCAGCAAACATACAGTTTTACCCTTTAAGGATCTGATAGAATTGAGCTAAGAGACAATGTCATCTCTTTCTCTGAGCCTCTCTCAAGGAATTAATACAATATTGAAGGATACGGTTTGGCTGTGTCTCCACACAAACCTCATCTTGAATTGTAGTTCCCATAATCCTCATGTGTGGTGGGAGACACCTGCTGGGAAGTAATTTAATCATGAGGGTGGTTACCCTCATGCTGTTCTTATAATAGTGAGTTAGTTATCACGAGATCTGATGGTTTTATAAGGGGCTTTTCCCCTTGAGCTTGACACTTCCCCTTGCTGCTGTCATGCCATGTAAAGTTTCACCATGATTGTAAGTTTCCTGAGGCCTCTCCAGCCATGCTGAACTGTGAGTCAATTAAGCCTCTTTCCTTTATAAATTACCCAGTCTCAGGTATGTCTTTTTTAGCAGCATGAGAATGGATGAATACATTGGTTTTCCCTTATTCCATAACCCATTTATTTATTCTTTTACCCTCGGATACTATTTCTCTTTCTCTGCATTTATCATCGAACTTCTCCACCTTTGGAAGGTACACTGTCCTGGTCTACACCACAGGTGTAGCACTGGCCTAGCAAATACCTCTCCCTCAATCCACTCCTATTTAGATAAGGTAATATTATGCAGGTGCAGAATTAGTGAGCTCTTTTTACCACTAGGCAATATAGCTGCATTCACTGTTAACCCCAATTTTGCCAGATGGGATGAAGACATAACCCACCCCTATTAGGTCTTTAGAAATTTTGACATAAGGTTGAAAAACACAGTTACCATTTCTTGCTTAGGAACCATCCCTGTTTCCAGTACTTGTTATTACAGCCCTGGTCCTGTGACTACTGCATTAGGTAAGGGGGGGAAATTGAGCTGATGTGGGGAAGAGATGAAAACAAAATATAGTCATTATACTAGTGTGCTGCTCCCTTGGTAAGAATTGCATAGTCATCCCGGCATCCCTCCTTAACCAGTCATCCCCACCTCCACCAGAAAGCAGGGGAAACTCTAGGGGGGACAATCCTTTAGTCTTACTCATGTTGAGCATGAGCACACACTCATGAAGGTGTGCAAGCCAGCCCTTCCTGCATTTATCTCTCCCATCTTAGACAACCAATATTTTAATTGCATGTTCCACTTCTCTGTTAAACTATTACTCTGAGAAGGATAACTCTCTGCCCATTGCTGTACAGTGTGTTCCTTGGTCTAAAGAAATGAAGGTCAGCTGTCCAAATTCATGCAATATCATCTGTTCTGGTTTTTTATAGCACTCTGAGCATTTGCATCTTCTACTGTGTAAGCAAAGCCAAATCCAGAGTCAGTATCTATTTCTGTCAAGACCCATTCGTAGCCCCTCAGGGCCATCAGCATCAGTCTCACTTGCCAGCTATGTTCAGGGCCATCCCATCAGGGAATCTGCCACATAGCCATAGGCAGTCTCTGTCTCTTTTGCTGACAAACAGAGCAGTTTTTATTGGCATTTTGTGTCCCAGAAGACGCTGGAGGAATATGTTTAGATTAGCTCATCTCTGCACTGCTGCATGACCCCCGTATCCACTCATGTTATGGACCCAAATGGCCCCCTTAAGCAAGCACATGGGGATATCTACTTGTTGATCCCAGACACCTTTAGAACCTGGAGGGAGTTCTTCTGATGGGCATTGAGATGCCTACCTTAAGGCACCCCTTAAATTTCCATAGTAATTTCCAAAGGACCATGCTCCATATGGGCATCCCTTTAATAGGCCAGGTTTCCATTGCCTTTGGTCACTGACTGTGAGTCAGTAGAAACCCAAACCTAGAGGCTTTTAGCCCTGTTCAATTCTTTCCATCACCGCTAGGCAAACAGCATGCAATTCAGCTCACCATGCTAATTTGTTTTTACCTTCTTCAGTCAGAGAGTGGCATCATTCCCAACGGTATGTTATCCATTCACCGTGAAACTGCCATCCACAAACCATAAGCCCTAGTCTGTGTTTCATTTAGGACTATCAAACAAAGAATTTGCCCCTACCAGCGCTTGAGCTGTGCGGGCTCAGGCAATCTTACTAGTTCCCAATTAACCTGCCCAATTAATAGTGATTGAAGGGCAGATTTTCCCTTCTGTTTTACAGTACTAGGTATGGGAAACATTTCCCAGTCAGATACAATGGCCATCTCCAAAATACAATCAGGCAAAAGAGATGCAACCACTTTACATAAAGCATGTTTAAATACACTAACCCTCCTATAAACTTTTATCTTTGTTAAAAGAAAAACTTCAGACAAATTAAATTTAATAGTCTAATTGAGCAAAGAATGATTCACAAATCGGGCAGCCCCAGAATGAGATTAGGTTCAGATGACTCTGGGGCTGCCACATGGTCAGATAACATGTATGGACAGAAAAAAGAAAGTGACATACAGCAAACAGGAGTGTAAACTAAAAATAAAATTCTAAGCACCCCCAACCAGCTGAATGGACCCTTCCTCTCAGCTAAGGATATTCCAAAGTTAAGTAGTTCAGGCCATGATGGGAAGCAGGGGTCAGACTTGCCTTGTGATACCCTCCTTTTTTTGGAATTCAGGCATAATTGACCAGCATTAATATTAAAACAGAGATCTTAAGACTTTGTAGCAATAAGACTCCAAATTCCGGTGGCTCACGCCTGTAACTCCCAGCACTTTGGAAGGCCGAGGCGGGCAGATGACGTGAGGTCAGGAGTTTGAGACCAGCCTGGCCAACATGGTGAAACCCTGTCTCTGCTAAAACTACAAAAATTAGCTGGGCGTAGCAGTGTCAGAGGCGTGTGAAGCAGAGCAACTCCATCTTAAATAGGAGATAGGTAAAATGAGGCTGAAACCTACTGGACTGCATTCCCAGATGGTTAAGGCATTCTAAGTCACAGGATGAGCTAGGAGGTCAGCACAAGATACAGGTCATAAAGACCTTGCTGATAAAACAGGTTGCAGTAAAGAAGCTGGCTCCACCGGGCGCAGTAGCTCATGCCTGTAATCCCAGCACTTTGGGAGGCTGAGGTGGGTGGATCATGAGGTCAGGAGTTCAAGACCAGCCTGGCCAAGATGGTGAAACCCTGTCTCTACTAGGAATACAAAAATTAGCCAGGCATGGTGGCGGGAGCCTGTAATCCCAGCTACTTGGGAGGCTGAGGCAGAGAACTGCTTGAACCTGGGAGGGGGAGGTTGCAGCGAGCTGAGATCACGCCACTGCACTCCAGCCTGGGCGACAGAGAAGACCCTGTCTCAAAACAAAAAAAAAAAAAAAAAAAAAGAAAAGAAATGAAGCTGGCTCAGTCCCACCAAAACCAAGATGGCCACAAGAGTGACCTCTGGTGTCCTCGCTGCTACACACCCATCAGCACCACGACAGTTTAGAAATGTCATGGCAACGTCAGGAAGTTACCTTATATGGTCTAAAAAGGGGATGCATGAATAATCCACCCATTGTTTATCATCAAGGAATAACCATAAAAATGGGCAACCAGCAACTCTTGGGGCTGCTCTATGGAGCAGACATTCATTTATTCCTTTACTTTCTTAATAAACTTGCTTCCACTTTACCCTATGGACTCGCCCTGAATTCTTTCTTGTGTGAAATCCAAGAACCCTTTTTTGGGGTCTGGATACAGACCCCCTTCCTGTAACAGTGGCAAGCGCCTGTGGTCCCAGCTACAAGGGAGGCTGAGGCAGAAGAATCGCTTGAACCCAGGAGGTGGAAGTTGCAGTAAGCTGAGATCATGCCACTGTACTCCACCCTGGGTGACAGAGCAAGACTCTGTTTCAAAAAAAAAAAAAAAAAGATACCAAATTCCAGCCTAACTCTAGTATAGCATCACATGACAGATAGCAGGCCCTAAAAGAAATTGAAGTATTTTACCCTAAAATATATTTCTTTGACATATTTTGAAATGACCTTACAAAGCTGTCTCTTGTGAAAAAAATCTACATTCTGTAGAGAACTCCTTTCCCTTTCCAGGTCTTCATCCTGATCGAGGAGAGAATTAACTAAGAGTCTGACAGCTTTTTAAGTCTGACAAGAAACATTTACAATCTATTCTCTCTGAATCCTGTTACCTGGAGGCTTCATCTGCATAATAAGAACTTTGGTCTCCACAACCCCTTATCTTAACCCAGACGCTCCTTTCTATGGATTCAGGGCTTTAGATAAACTCTTTCAATCAATCGTCAATCGGAAAATCTTTGAATCCACCTATGACCCAGAAACCTGGAACTTTCTCCCCCAACCCTTACCTCCAGTTGTCCCCCTTTTCCTGACCAAACCAATGTACACCTTACATGTATTGATTGATGTCTTAGTGTCCTGTGTCTCCCTAAAATGTATAAAACCAAACTGTAACCCAACCATCTTGGGCACTTGCGGTCAGGCCTTCCTGAAGCATGTCCTTAACCTTGGCAAAATAAACTCCTAAACTGATTGAGACTTGTCTTAGATACTTTTTGGTTTACAGAGGTATAGAAACAACTGTATTGGTTACAGCTTGGCACTTGCCTTGTTTAAACAAGGCTTGAAGAGTTGGCTGCCTGTGATTGGCTGAGATACAGCAACTTGTTGCAAAGTAGTAACAGTCTGTTTATACATCCAGTTAGGTTAGGGTTCACTATGTATGGAGAAACCTTTAGGCCAAACTTAAACTATGTAAGTAGGCAGCTTTAGACTAAATTAATTTAACATCTTAATTCTGTCAACTCTTACTTTCCTAACTATAGCCTCCATTAGGACTTTACAGACAGGTTTTGAAATCACAGTACATTGGGTTCCTGTGTCAAGGAGCCCTGGAAATTCTCCACCCCTGACCATTTTACCCACTCTTGTGCAAAAGGCCTTTGGGTCCCTGACAGGAGATTGAGCCAAGGGACCCCAGCCCTTTTGTCAATCTTTTTCTTGATTAATCTGCCTGAGTGTTGCTTGAGGCAATTTTAGATCATTTTTCTCATTATAATCTTTGCCTCCTAACTTTTCATATTTCTCCAAACTAGGGTAAATTCAGCAAACTTGTTTGGAGCCCTTTAATGTTGCAGGACCAGCTGGGGCTCCTGTTGGTCCATCCAACCTTAAGAGCTTTGTTTTGACCCCACACATTTACATTTTATTCACCTCATTTCTTGGTAACCATATAAAGATTTCCACCTTGCTCAGACAAATCCCCTGACTCTCCTCTTTTTCCGTTTAGTTTCACCTTTATCAATGTTTTCTTTATTCACCTTATTTCTTAATAACCATTTAAAAATGTCCACCTTCCTGGAAAGTTCTTTTACTCTCTTCTCTGTCTTTTCCCCATTCTCTTGTTAATTAATCTAACGTTTTCATTAGCATCTGTAAGACCCGTGAAGGGAAGCTGTGACAACAAACTGGGTAAAGCTTCTCGAACTTTCTTTTGGGTTTGCAAAACAGTACGGTTATATGGGGATCTCCATTAAAGGAGCCCCCTGAATAACAGAATTTACCATAATTCATCAGGTGAATATCCCAGTCATTATAAAGCTGGTCCCACATGGCTTGCATATGAAGCATATTAGCTGCTGTAACTGGAGTGTTCCAATTAGCATTTCTAGGTGGAGTCAGGCAATCTCCCTCCTCAGAGTAAACAGACCTTAAAATGGCTTTTATCAAGTTCACCAGGCTCGCTGTTCCCTCAGGAATCACCTCCTGTTCATGACTGTTCCATAGCGAGCTGTGGATATTGCATCAACCCAAACATACTCTTCCACCCTGCAGCATTTAAAACCAAAGATACTGCCCCTAAATTAGTTAACTGTCACAATCCATTTTACTAAGGGTTCTTCAGGAAGCTGATGATACTGCAAGGCTCTTGTATTGGTTCAAACCCCGAGAGCGGGCCAACAAACAAGACAAGGTGGTGTGGAGCAACACGCTGATTTAATGAGCGCCTGGGTGCAGGTGGGCTGAGGCCTAAAATGGCGTCAGCACCAAATGAGGACAGGGCAGGGGTTTTATAGTCTCCTGTAAACAGGAAGTGTCTCAATCTGATGTAACTGCTTCGAGGTACCCGGATGGCCTCTCTCTCCCTCTTCAGGGGGTACGTGTCTTCCGGCCAGCTCTCTTCCTGCTTCTGCTATCTTGCTAAAGCAGGCTAATGTGCTCTTGCGCCTTGGGACTGGGCCTGAGAAGGGAGGAGTTATTCATTCCCTTAAGCTTTCAGGCTCTGGGGAGAATCTTTCAGATACCAGTCTACAAAATGAAACAATTCCTTCACACTAAACCCTCTGGTTTCAATAGCTTCTTTGTTTTGCCCTTACCACACACTGACTACCTTCTTGGTAAACACAGGTCTTAGAGGTGCTTTCTGTAGTCCTGGCATAATTTTTTCTGGGAGATGGCTCTGAGGCTAATGACTGAAGTTCTAACTCACTGAAGTCTGCACTGGGGGTAGCATCAAGATCTGACCCAGCACTGTCTTTTGATTTCATTTTAGCTATTACAGATAGCAATAACCACACAATTGTATATTTTACTTTTTTGTTGTTTATTATAAGTTTGCATTTCTTTATGCATCCAGCAAACCAACTGTCCAGGAGTTGAATGCATCTCTAAATTTCACTGGAGGTTTTGCCATTAGTAACTGAGTGCAACACAGCTACTGCCTCATATCATGGTGATACGGCTCCAGTGACTGTAGAAACACCGTGGGTCCTTTGTCTCACACTGATAAGATTGACACGGACACACGTGGAGTGATTTTAAGGAGTAAAAAGTTTAATAGGCAAGAAAGAAGAAAGAAGAAAACAGCTCCCCTGTACAGAGGGAGGGAGGGAGCCTCCAAACAGAGAAACCCCACATGCCGCAGAAAGCAGTTGGTTATATTGGGAGGTTGGAGGAAGCGGTGTCTGATTTGCACAGGGCTCAGGGGATTCGTTTAACCAGCTGTGTCATTCATGTAGCCCTCGAAAAAACCCTCCCACCCTAGCTTTTAATACGCAAATGCGAGTTGCCATGAAGTCCTGCACATGTGGTGTTACCTGGAGGTGGCCATGGCACCTGCCACACGTGGTGACAAGGATAAGAGGGCAGGACTGCCAGTTGGGTGGACCTGGTTTCTAGCCATCTGCATTTGCATATCAATGATTGCCAGTCTGGTTTTTCAAGCCTCTTTCGGTTAGAAAGGAAATGGTTCGGGGGTTGCTCTTTATTAAAGGAAAGTTCCACCGAGAACCTTCACCCTTTCCAGCTGCCTAAAAATTATTTCTTAACAGCTCCTGTATTAATAGGTGGCCATATGGTCACCTGAGAATCATATTTATCACCCTCCACCCATTTGTCCTTTTTACCCAAAATCACATGTTCCTGTGAGTCAGAGGCCAGGCTAGTAAATCCCACTTCTGACACCAAATCTGAGGCTATTGAGGAAAAACAAACTCAGTTTCTCCTACTATACTCTCACAACACAGAACACTTCAGTAACTAAATGTGTGAGGTTTTTTCCCCACACACCAAGCAAGCGTCAATTCTACAGCTCTAATTCAATTCTGACACTATGTACCTGGAGGTACCATCAGATCCCACAGGTTGAGAACTCAGTTCTAGAAGACTGGCCTTCACTTCAGATGCCAGTTGCAAGTCTGGGTCTCTGGGATAAGTCAGGATTCCCACAACGCCCTCCTTGAATTCAATTAATTTGCCAAAGTGGCTCACAGAACTCAGGAAATACTTACTTACATTTACTGGTTTATTATAAGGGTTACTACAAAGGACACAGATAAAGAAGTGTATAGGGTGAGGTTATGTGAGGAAGGGGCACAGAATTTCCATGTCCTCTCTGGGTGCACCACCTTCCAGGACCCTCCACATGTCCAGCTATCCAGAAGTCCCCTGAACCCAGTCTTTTGGCAGGGTTTTATGGAAGCCTCATTACATAGGCATGATTGATTAAATCATTGATCATTGGTAATCAACTTAACCTTCATCCCCTCTCCACTCTCCAGAGGTTGTGGGATGGGCTGAAAGTCCCAACTCTTTGCTCATGCCTTGGACTTTCCTGTGATCATCCCCCATCCTGAAGCTACCTGGAGACTTCCAACCATCAGCCAACTCATTAGCATACAAAAAGACATTGCTTTGGAGATTTTAGGAGTCCTAGGCCAGAAAATAGGATGACCAAATATGTATTTTACTGTAGCACAATGGGTTTTCAAGGCTCTTTGAAATCTACTCATATTCCTGATCAACTTGGTGAAACCTAGAGGGAGTCACTTTGGCAAGTGTGGAATAGTGGTTCAGAGTCTAGGTTTTGGACTCAGGCTGACTCTGTGTGGCCATGGGTAAGTTCCATGTCCTCTTTGAACCGCATCTCCTCATGTATAAAATGGGAATAAGAACAGTATCTACTCTGTGGACTTAGCTCCTTGATAGAAGCGCGTTTTATGAGATGAAGCGTGTTTTATGGGATAAACCGTGTTAGGCACTTGGTGCAAGGAAATCATGCCATTATTTGAGAATGGAGGGAGATTAACGTGTTGTTCCCAGTGCATTTCTAGCCACCTCCCCATTACAAAAGAACTAAGAATTGGGAATCTAATACCAAAGTTCTAAAAAATCCCATATAATATGAATTAGGGGAAAGAATAACAACAGCAGCAACAAAAGTTAAACAAATAGTGAGGTGATATATTTCTAAATATTTAAGAAATTGTTACTTTACTGAAAGAGTCTAGATAAATACTCTTAGAGTGACAATGGAGCAGGAAGAGTCCCAAATTTGCTCTGGGGAGCTGGATTTTAATCCACACCTCCCATGCCTCACCAGCCTTAGAGACAGTGAATGGTCATACCTTAACTCAAAACTCTCCCCCAGTGACATCAGTTTGGAACACCCAAAGCCTAGTACATTTTAAGAAAACTCTTCTAAATGGCCACAGGATCTGACTTTCAGCAGGCAATGCTTATTTATACACTGCATATGTTTGTTTGTTTGTTTTTTGAGACAGAGTCTCACTGTCGCCCAGGCTGGAGTGCAGTGGCACGATCTCAGCTCACCACAACCTCTGCCTCCCAGGTTCAATCAATTCTCCTGTCCCAGCCTCCCAAGTAGCTGGGATTACAGGCGTCTGCCACCAGCCCAGCTAAGTTTTTGTATTTTTTGGAGAGACAAGATTTCCCCATGTTGGCCAGGCTGGTCTCAAACTCCTGACCTCAGGTGATCCCCCCTCCTCGGCCTCCCAAAGTGCTGGGATTACAGGCATGAGCCACCATGCCAAGCCATGTTTGTTTTTTTAAAGGCCACTAGGAAACAACAAAATGTTAACAGTTGTTATCCCTGGGAGATAGGGTTATAGATTATTTTATAATTGTAATTTATAATTTTATAATTTTAATTCTTTGTATTTTTCTGCACTTTCAGTAATTTGTTTTGTAATAAACACGTATTGTCTAAATAATTTAACAATTAGACATTAGTCTATATGCCAGGCACTTTGCTAGGTATTGAGAATGCAGCATCCATCATTCCTGGTGTTTATGGTCTAGAAGGGAATAAGACAGTGAATAAATAAATACACAAATAATTAATTGCTTTCTCTACAGAGAAGTCTAGAAGACTATGAAGTCAAGAGGGATTTGACCTAGACCCGATTTTGGGAAGGCTTCTGAAAAAAAAAAATTACTTTAAAGCTGAAATCTGGCTGGGCACAGTTCACGCCTGTAATCTCAGCACTTTGGGAGGTCAAGGTGGGTGAATCACTTGAGGTCTGGATTTCGAGACCAGCTTGGCCAATATAGCAAAACCCCATCTCTACTACAAATACAAAAAAAATTCACCAGGTGTGGTTGTGCGCACCTGTAGTCCCAGCTACTCAGGAGGCTGAGGTAGGGGAGTTGCTTGAACTCGGGAGGTGGAGATTGCAATGAATGGAGATCGAGCCTGGGCGACAGAGAAAGACTCTGTCTCAAAAAAAAAAAAAAAAAAAGAAAAAGAAAAAAAGTTGAAATCTAAAGGAGGAGAGAAAGAGGAAGATATTCTAGGTGGAGAGAATAACATGTGCAAAGAGCCTGAGGCATACAGTATATTTAAGAAACCAAGAGCAGGCCAGAGTAGCTACAGCTTGGGGAACGGAGGGTGTTCAGGTATGGCAAGACCAAGCAAGCATGGCCTTATAGATCTTATTAATGGTTTTTGCATTTTATTTTAAGAAGAATTGAAAATCAAGGTTTTAAACAGAATATAGTAACAGAGAGCTATGTCCATTTCATATTTTATTTTTAATTTCAAATCATTTGTTATCTGTAAGGAGTTCTTGGATTTGGATTTTCAAGGCCAATTCAATGGACTCATCCTATATATGCATGAAAGTGTTTTATAAAAAGCCTTTTTTCTTAAAACATTAGCTTCCTCTGGCCAGGCACAGTGGCTCATGCCTATAATCCCAGCACTTTGGGAGGCCAAGGTGGGAGGTTTGCCTGAGCCCAGGAGCTTGAGACCAGCCTAGACAAGATGGCAAGACCTCATCTTAATTAAAAAAAAAAAAAAATACAGCAACACTTTAGCTTTCTCTATACAGGGAGCCTTGGATTTTGAAAGCTGCACATCACCGCAGCCTGGCTCTCCCATCATCAGTTTGGGGCAACGGAGCATGCTGGAAAAAACAGGAGCATAGAGTAGAAGGCTGAGCAGCAAGAGACCCTTCTGTGTACACCAGGGAGTTGAGGCATGAGACCGCCACATGAGCATTCTGTCATGAAATTTCATGTGCCATGGAAATGCAAAACAATTCAATTCCCAGACCAGCTGCGGTCAAAATACAGCTGAACAAACGACAAGAGCTAGAACCTGACAAATTGGGAGGGTTTTTTTCAGCTGAGGAGTGCAAAGCTGGGTCACTGTCATGCCGATTAACTGTAGTTCAAGCTTAAGTGATGATCTCAGGGACCCCAACCTGAAACGGTATATGAGTAATCGTCACATGCCAACACGAAGTTACATTTGTTACAATGCTTTTGAGTTTGCTTTGCATTTTTGTTTTAAACCTACCCTGCTCTATCATCTTAGGAAATCACTGTATCAGAAGTAATTAGCCATGTGGCTGCTAAATAACAGATGAGAGGTTTCCAGCAAATGCCCCTCTCTAGTGCTCCTAAATCAACTGGGCATGTCCTGACCTCCAGGTGATTTGAATGGCAGAGGTAACTGCCAAAACACACCGCTGGTCCTGGAATAACTCAGAGGTTTAGTGGACTCTGGAGCCACAGTAACGGGCATCTGGTAGTCAACCTTTTCCTGTAATGAGGAGTTATTAAATATTCACATCAGGAATTGAGGCTTTAGTCCGCCCTCAACTGGTCTTCCAACCTGTTACCTATTATGCCTCACACTTTATATACCCCCGAATACAACAAGAAGAAACTTGTGAATGTTCTATAAAACCTGCTACTGACATCAGGGTGGGTCTTTGAGGCTTATGGTTATCCTAATAAAACGAAGGAATGTGTAACAGACTGTAGCCGGCAGACCACCAACTACTTTATTGTTTAAACACAAAAGCAAAACTTTGGTAAACCTACTATACCTGAGGCACAGCGTGTGGCTGTTTCTTAACCCTTGAAGACTGTTATGTACCCAACTTCAGCTGACATCTCTATGTTTCTTGTTTCCCTCCATGTGAGGAGTTTACTAAGTTACATGCTTAGACAAGAAATACCTGTTGATGGAGTGGTTATGAATTACAGATTGGAGCTTGCAAATCAATTTGGAATTTTAAAAAAATAAACTCAAACCAGATCTGTGAGGCCTGCTTCTCCACAGACAGCATAAGCATGAGGCAAAAGAAGAGCCCCAGCAGATAGGCAATCAGGTAGCCCTAAGATAGGTCGGAAAGAGGTCTTCTGTGACCCCAGAATCCTCTTTCTTGATCTCTTCCTTTCCCCACCACCACCCTCAAGCTCAGAAACTCAGTATCCTACTCTTACCTTGATGCAAATGCAGGAAAGGGTCTGCATCAGCAGAGGAATGGCAGGAAACTCTCAAAAGAGTTAAGTGCAGGGAATTAATCAAAGAAGTTATTTCGTGAGATGTGGGCAGGTAATGGAAACCAATGAGAGACAGAGGAGCGCCCAAGGACTATTACCAGCAGGGAGCTGTTCCTCCCCACCAAAGGGGCCAAGGGTGAAAGAGCGCTGATGAGAATTAAGTAGGCATTTTAGTAAAGGAAGCCGGTGGGGCAGCCTTACAGTGGTCAGCCTCCTAAGGCACAGAGTAGGCCGCAGAAGGACAGAGAGCCCATCTGAAGAGGCAAACAGAAAATAACCAGCACAGAGTCTGGCATTAGATTATTCAATCTGTTACCATGTTCAGGTTCATTAGTATCCAAAACCTAGTAGGTGTGAAAGAAAAGTTAGGAATCATGCTAGTATTTTATTTTTAATCCTTGCACTAAAAAGTTTCCAACCATCAGTGAGCAGATCTGGGAGGATGGAAAGAACGACCTATTTCTGTTTCTCAGTCATACCCAAACATTAGTGGTCGCTGGTCTTTTGAATGATCAGTGATGTGAGGGAGAGCTTCCAGGTGAGACCTGATATAAGACCCTCTTTAGGAGGGTCCTTCGCCCTCCCAAAGTGCTGCTATTCATTGGACAAATATTGAGTCCAATGCAGTGTCCACTTGCAACATTTTGCAATAAAAGAATTTTCTAGGCCAGGCGCGGTGGCTCACACCTATAATCCTAGCCCTTTGGGAGGCCGAGGCGAGTGGATCACCTGAGGTCAGGAGTTCAACACCAGCCTGACCAACATGGCAAAACCCCATCTCTACTGGAAAAAAAAAAAAAAAAGCCAGGTGTGGTGGCACGTGCCTGTAATCCCAGCTACTTGGGAGGTTGAGGCAGGAGAATCACTTGAACCTGGGAGGTGGAGGTTTCAGTGAGCCAAGATCGACCCACTGCACTCCAGCCTGGGCAACAGAGTGAGACTCTGTCTCAAAGAAAAAAAAAAAAGAATTTTCTTATTAAGTTTGTTTAATCATCATGAATCCATGCCCCTCATTTCAGTCTTGAACTTTTGACAGAGTCTTCCCCAAAATTTCTATTCCTCTGGCCTTTCTCCCTTCAAATTATATCTCCCACAGAACCATCAGATTATTCTATCTAGAAAAATAAATCCCTGCTTAAAACCCTGCCCTGGCTCCCCATTATCTATAGTGTCAAGTCCAGACCCCAAGAATGGACTCCCAGGTACCTCTGCAGCCTCATTTCTTCTCTACTCTCCTCCTTGCCCTTTAAATAACAACCATGTTGGCACTTTTATTTATGTGTGTGTGTATTTATTTATTTATTATTTTTATAGAGACAGAGTCTCCCTATGTTGCACAGATTGGTGCTAAACTCCTGGGCTCAAGCAATCCTCCCACCTCAGCCTCCCAATGTGCTGGGATTACAGATGTGAGCCACTGTGTCCGGCCATGTCAGCACTTTTTCTCATGTCTTTCCAGGCCCATGAGACCCTCTTCGGCCCCCATTGTTGGCCTGCCTGTCTCCCAATGGTTATTTGAGAAACAGCTCAGGGTAACAGCTCCAGGCTTCCATGCTGAGATGCTCTCTAGCCCTGACTCTTCTTCAACAGAGAATTGCCTGCATCACGTTGAAATGCCTCATCTCCCACCTTCACTGGGAACACCGTAAAGGCAGGAACTATGTCCTATTCATTGAATAATCAATAATCCTCCCCAATATAGTATATGGTAAGAGTTGGCATTCAAAAATATATGATAAACTAAACTAAATGATGACTTCCCAAAAAGAAAGTGTCCCCTTAAAGCAAAGTTCCCTAGGACATTAGACTTTTTTTTTTTTTAAACTCTGTAGGAACACAACGTATACAGATACTTCATTATTGTTACTAGGTTTCTCTATATGTTCAATGTATACCTCAGCCCCTTAGGAACTGGTTTAAATGAAAATCCAAGAAGTTTTGAAAACTGATTGATTAAATGATGTTTGGTAGAATGAATGAAAGGAATTGAAAGTTGGCCAGGCATGGTGGCTCACGCCTGTAATCCCAGCACCTTGGGAGGCCGAGGTGGGCAGATCACCTGAGGTCAGGAGTTCGAGACCAGCCTGGCCAACATGGTGAAACCCTATCTCTCCTAAAAATACAAAATTTAGCCAGGTATAGTGGCATGTGCCTGTAATCCCAGCTACTTGGGAGGCTGAGGCAGGAGAATCGCTTGAACCCTGGAGGCGGAGGTTACAGTGACCCGAGATTGCACCACTGCATTCCAGCTTGAGAGACAGAGTGAGACTCCATCTCAAAAAAAAAAAAAAAAAAAAAAAGAAAGAAAGAAAGGAATTGAACAGAAAAAATAAGCCATAGAGCATCTGACTTATGGAGGCTTTTAAAACACCCTGCAGTAGACGAGGTAAAGTTACACAGTTACCTGAAGACAACAGTAGAGATCATCTGGAAATACTGGCATTGGTAGGCTGACCTCCATGTCCCCATGGGCCTTATTTTCTATAATTCTAAAATGGCTTTCAAATACAGGATACTCCATCAACTTGGAGATGTAATCATCCAGTGTCATTTCACAGTGGTGCAGCTGTAAGACTTCCTTGTATGGTCTGGGAGTGTGTTTCTAAGAAATAGGAGTGCTAAACGAAATGAGTCAAACATACCTCAGTTCTCATGAGTTATATCCCCTGACCACATTATTTATCACCTAAAATCAATATCCTCTAGATGTCTTTATCTTCTTGGTGTTCTCTAGCACTCCTGTCCTGGTGGGTTGACCCATATCTAAAATGCAACCTCATCCATTCAACTGGAACTCACCCACCTAGAGTTACTGGAAAACTTGCATTTCACATTTGGCATGTTACCTCAACCATCAAAATAATCTGGAGTTGGTTTATCCTTTGGAAAACTATTTGCTGCAAGTCAAAAAATCATTAGTCAGAAAAAGGATGTTAATGACAGAAAAACCAGAGCAGCATAAACAAAGCTAAGATACTGGCTGCCAACCACTCAACCTGTGGAAGGGCAGATGGAGGGGGTGCTTTTTGGCCCTCAGACTTCATACCAGCTTACCAGCACCGTAACTATCAATACCATCTGAGGGGGCCTGAACAAGGAAAGCTTATGTGGTCAAAAGGGGCAAGGAGATGCTTCAGAAATTCCAACTCCTCTTGAAGAGTGTCCAGTACTGGGAATCAAAATTAACAAAATTATCCAATAAACCTCCTGCCTCACCACTGCAATGCAAATATTTTCTTTTCTTTTTCCCCTCAGAATGTGAAGTTAAAACTCACCTAATTCAATGGTTTTATGTATGTATGTATGTATGTATGTATGTATGTATGTATGTATGTATGTATGTGTGTGTGTGTATGTATTTAGAGACAGCATCCCACACTGTTGCCCAGGCTGAGTGCAGTGGCTTGATCTCGGGTCACTGCAACCTCTGCCTCCCGGATTCAAGCAACTCTCATGCCTCAGCCTCCCAAGTAGCTGGGATTACAGACATGCACCACCATTCTCGGCTAATTTTTGTATATTCGGTAGCGACGGGGTTTCGCCATGTTTACCTGGCTGGTCTGAAACTCCTGACCTCAGGTGACTCGCCTGCCTCGGCCTCCCAAAATGCTGGGATTATAGGCATGAGCCACTGTGCCTGGCCTCGATGGTTCAATTTATATGGACAACAAGCAACTGGAAACCCTGGCATTATAAGCAGCATATTTATTGTGTATGGTGTGGTCTAATTCTAGATAAACCACTTATAAAACCACCTATCCCCACTTAGGTCTCCAGTTAAAGAAGCTTTAACAGTGACTGCAGCTTCATCTGTATAGTTGCTTCTCCTCTAACAATTATGGCTGGGACACAGCGCCCTTCTCTAGAAATGAGTGCTAGAGCCAGGGAGCAGGGGAGGAGTCAGTCTATCCGAATGCAAGTTCTAAATGTAAGAAGGTGTCTGTTTTGTACACACTCACTTTGGCAGCACATATACTTAAAAAAACATTGGAGTCATACAGAGAAGATTAGTATGCATGGTCCTTTACAAGTATGATGTGCAAATTTGTAACGCGAAGCTTTCCAAAAAAAAAAAAAAAAGGGAAGTGTTGACATAAGTGTGAAGACCATGATAAACAGGTATAGAGATTACCATTTGCTCCACCAATGGCAAATTTTTTTTTATTATTTTTTATTGTTTTGAGACAGAGTCTCGCTCTGTCTCCAGGCTGGAGTGCAGTGGTGCAATCTCAGCTCACTGCAACCTCCGCCTCCTGGATTCAAGCGATTCTCCTGCCTCAGCCTCCTGAGTAGCTGGGATTACAGGTGCATGCCACCACACCCAGCTAATTTTTGTATTTTTAGTAGAGATGGGGTTTCACCATGTTGGTCAGGCTGGTCTCAAACTCCTGACCTCGTGATCCACCCACCTCGGCTTCCCAAAGTGCTGGGATTACAGGCGTGAGCCACCACGCTTGGCCCACCAATGGCAATTTACCCAAATGTATTGAAAACTTATGTCCACAAAAAAAATCTGCATGGCTGGGCACGGCGGCTCATGCCTGTAATCCCAGCACTTTGGGAGGCCGAGATGGGTGGATCACTTGAGGTCAGGAGTTCAAGGCCAGCCTGGCCAACATGGTGAAACCCCATCTCTACTAAAAATAGAAAAATTAGGCAGGCACGGTCGTGGGCGCCTGTAATCCCAACTATTCGGGAAGCTGAGGCACAAGAATCACTTGAACAGAGGTTGCAGTGAGCCGAACTCCAGCCTGGGCGATAGAGTGAGACTCAGTCTCAAAAATAAATAAATAAATAAATAAATAAATAAATAAATAAATAAATCTGGACACGGATGTTGATAGCAGCTTTATTCATAATTGCCAGAACTTGGGACAATGAAGATGCCCTTCAGTAGGTGAATAAATAAACCACAGTACATTCCGACAATAGAATATTATCTAGGAATTAAAAAGAAATGAGCTATTAAGCCATGAAAAGACATATGGGAAACTTAAATGCGTTTTACTGAGTGAAAGAAACCAATCTGAACAGGCTACATGTTGTATGATTCCAGCTATATGACGTTCTGTCTCCATAGGCCAAACAATGGAGACAATAAAAAGATCAGTGGTTGCCAAAGGTTAGGGGGAGGAGGGGACGGATAGGTGGAGAACACAGGATTTTTAGGGTAGTAAAACGATTCTGCATGATACTGCAATGGTAGATACATGTCATTATACAATTTGTCCAAACTCATAGAATGTACGACACCAAGAGGGAAACCTAAGGTAAACTACAGACCTCGGGTACCAATGTAGGTTCATCGATTGTAACAAATGTACCACTTTGGTGGGTTGTTAGTGGGGGAGGTTGTAGGCATGTGGGGCAAGAAGTAGATGGGAACTCTCTATATTTTCTGCTCAATTTTTCTGTAAACCTAAAACTTCTCTAAAAAAGCCATTTTTTAAAAAAAGGTCTAGCATATTTTAAAAAAAGATATAAAGGAAGCAGAGTGAAAGTGGATCTTTTAAACATTTGATTTAAATATCAGTGTTCAGCCACTGAGAGGTTTGGAGTAGTCAAAAAGGGATGTTTTATTTTTTAAATTTTTGTGGGTACATAATAGGTGTATATATTTTGTGGGTACATAGTAGGTGTATATATTTATGGAGTACATGAGCTACTTTGATACAGGCATGCAATGTGTAATAATCACATCAAGGAAAATGGGTATCCATCCCCTCAAGCGTTTATCCTTTGTGTTACAAACAATCCAGCTAGACTCTTTTATTTTTAAATGTACAATTAAATTGTTACTGACTATAGTCACCCTGTTGTGCTATCAAGTACTAGGTCTTATTCGTTCTTTCTAATTATTTTTTGTACCCATTAACCATCCCACTTTCCCTCCACTACCCTTCCCACCCTCTGATAACCATCCTTCTATTCTCTATCTTCATGAGTTCAGTGGTTTTGATCTTTAGCTCCCACAAATAAGTCAGATCACGGGAAGTTTGTCTTTCTGTGCCTGGCTTATTTCACTTAACAAAATGACCTACTGTTCCATTCATGTTGTTGAAAATGGTGGGATCTCTTTCTTTCTTATGGCTGAATGGTATTCCATTGCATATATATGCCACATTTTCTTTATCTGTTCATCTGTGGATGGACACTCAGGTTGCTTCCAAATCTTGGCTATTGTGAACAGTGCTGCAACAAATATGGGAGTGCAGATATCTCTTGGACATACTGATTTCCTTTCCTTTGGGTACATACCCAGCAGTGGGATTGCTGGACCATAGGGTAGCTCTATTTTTAGTTTTTTGAGGAACACTAAATCATTCTGTAAAGTGGTCGTACTAATTAACATTCCCAACAAAACTGTATAAGGGTCTTTTTTTTTTTTTTATTTGTTTTGAGATGGAGTTTCGCTCTGTCGCCCAGGCTGGAGTACAGTGGCACAATCTTGGCTCACTGTAACCTCCACCTACTGACTTCAAGCAATTCTCCTGCCTCAGCCTCCTGAGTAGCTGGGATTACAGGTGCACGCCACCACGCCCAGCTAATTTCTGTATTTTTAGTAGAGACAGGGTTTCACCATGTTGGTCAGGCTGGTCGCGAACTCCTGACCTCGTGATCTGCCTGCCTCAGCCTCCCAAAGTGCTGGGATTACAGGCATGAGCCACCGTGCCCAGCCGAGGGTCTTATTTTTAACATGTCTTTTTTGATCCAGCTCCATCCTCACCAGATTGCTTCCCTCAGTATGGAAACCCATGCCTGCCTCCCTTGGTGTCATATCAGAACTTGGCCGTGGGGCAGCATGATTCCTCGTTGGTCTGTCCTGTGGCTTCAGGAGAAGGCCTTGCTCTGTGGGGAGGAAGGAAGACCGTGACTTTCTCCAGCACACCTTTCCCATGCACCCACAGATTTGGGATCTGGTCTCAACAACCCATGTGAATTTGCTCTGAGTTCCTGACAGAGGAAGCTGCTAAAGTTAAGAACTAACTTCCACCCTTAGTGGACAATCACTTGAGATGCACCAAGGGTTGGACCACCTTGCTCTGCCAAGGTCAGAGCACTCACTGAGGCCAAGCTCCACTCTGGGATGAGATATCTGGCTGAGAGTGGCCTGGACAAATGGAAACAGAGGCAACGTGACTTCCCCTTTCCCTATTTGCACAGCTTGATAATGACACACAGAAAGGAGACACAGTGTATATGTAAGTTTAACAGCACAAGTAAAACTAATAATTTTCCAATAAGAAGTGACCAATTTATTCAAAATTTGAGAAGTTTAAAGTACAGACTTGAAGCCTACTGTTCAAACACAGTCATTATTAAAGTATACATTTCTCAAACATTGCAATCCCACCTCCAAAGCCACAGATTCTTTTCTCCTTAGTCTCTCAGGCCTGAAAGTCTTTGTCCGTATTTCTTCATTCTGCAGCCTGACGGTCACGCCCCTGGTACTGAATACACACACACAAGCAAGGGACTCTTCTGAGCGTATGGTGGGCAAGAGAGACCTCTGCTGGATGAATGATGGCAAACAAGCGCTGCTCGGCCTTAGCAGAAAAACAAGAAACAGTTTTTACAGTGGTGCTTTTGGAGGAGGAGAAAAATTGTTTTTGTTTTAAAATCACCTTTTAAACTCTATGAGATTAAAAACCAACCCCATAATATATGTTTTTTTAGGTTTCTAGAAACACCGTTTGTGGACTGTGCCATTTCTACAGCCCTTTAATACTTATGTTAAGCAATTTTTTAAGAGCTCCGTATATTCTGCACCCAGGTTCTAAGAGCAGCTTAACTGCCTAATAGCTGGACTGTTTCTTTTCTAATTGCCTGCCAGTGTTGCACATTTTCTGTGCACAGGCAGGGATGCGTGAGGCATGATTCTCATAGACCCAAAATCAGGATGGACTTCAAGACTGAGTTTTCAGAACTCCTGGGGAAAGGAGATGTGTTTGAGATAGGTCAGCAGGGGACAAAAGCATTCAAAGAAAACTTGGCACACCTTGCCAGACTTTTCCCCTTGGCTGCATATTTTCAGAATCCTTAGGTCCTTCACTGGGGTGGGGGGCAGGGAGAGTGAGTGCTTTTGAAAAGAGGAAGTTCCCTTGCACACAGCATATATCCTGATGCATTAAAATATGCTCAAGTTTGCAGTGTCCTCTTTACACACTGTGTTTCAGGGGCACAGCAAAGGCAGAGCTTGGTGGTTCAACTCTCTGCCTCTCATATAATGCCTAATTATACTGGTTTCTAATCTGACTCTGCCTAATTAGGCAACGGTGCGCAAGTTTTCCAAATTTCCTAAGCCTCGGTTTCCTCCTCTGCAAAATTGGATTGGTTGTAGTGTCCACTGCAAAGTGTTACTAGGAGAGTTTGATGAGATAATATATGGTCAGTGCTTAGCATAGTGGTGGCTGGCCTATAGTAAATGTTCAATGAACACAGGTATAATTATTAAAGGTGAGGTAAACACGTACACAAATGTTTGTGTACATGTTTCCTTCCTTCTTCCCTCCCTCCCTCCTCCCTCCCTCCCTCCCTCCCTCCCTCCCTCCCTTCCTTCCTTCCTTCCTTTCTTCTTTCAACAAATATTTATAGAGTTTCTACTATGTCGAAACTCTATGCGAGACATTGAGGAGTATAAAAAGCTGAAAAAGTTATGTTTCTATTCTCAGAGAGCTTTCAGTCTCTCTCATGTTTTATCATTTGGATATAGATCAGTGATTCTAAAAGCTGTTTGCTAACATCCCAGAATGGCCTTAGAAGAAAATTCCCCAAATTCTCAGGAAAATAAATAACAAGCTTTTACCTGAAATATTGATTTATGCCTTTCCAATCTTAAAAGACAGAAAAAGTCGTGATAAAAATCATGCTAGACCAGGCACGGTGGCTCATGCTTGTAATCTCAGCACTTTGGGAGGCCAAGGTAGGAGGATTGCTTGAGCTTAGGAGTTTGAGACCAGCCTGGGCAACATAGGGAGACTTCCATCTCTACAAAAAAATGTTTTTAATTAGCCGGGTGTGGTGGTGTAAGCCTGTAGTCCCAGCTACTCGGGAGGCTGAGACGGGAGAATCACTTGAGCTCGGGAGGTAGAGGCTGCAGTGAGCTGTGATTACACCACTGCACTCCATCCCGGTGACAGACCCTGTTTAAAAAACAAAACAAAATAAAACAAAACAAACAAACAAACATAAAAACCTACTAAAAGATTGGCAATCATAGATGTCAATTTTTGAGAGGAAAGTTGTTGGTAGGCAAGCCTTTAATTTTGGGCAAGAATAAAAGCAAGTTGATTTTAAGGTTTCCCTGGCTGTATGAATATTTCTTCCAAAGGACATGGTCAGAAATCTCCAGGGAATTTCAAATCTCTTTTCTAGGGAGAATCCAATTTTTCTGGTGTAGACCAGCATCGCCAAACCATCATCAGTGCAGCATGGCTTCCTCCTTCATTCCTCCTTCACCAGCTCTGTACTGCCGCCTGCCAGGTTCCAGGAAGGGCGGTGATGCAGATCCGTGAATAACCAAGACAACATCCCCTGCCTGGGAAAGCTGCCCTGTTCCATCCTCACTGCAGTCCCACACTCTCTCAAAGGGACCCTTCAAGATTATGGCAGCCCTTCTTGCTGCGCTATCAGGATTAGGGCTGGAGTTGTGAACCCAGAATAGCAAATTCAATTCCTCTCAAATCAGTTTCTCAACGTTGTCCTCTAACCTCTTAGCAGGATTGAGGGAGTTTCTTTCTCTTCATTAGGCAGGTTGTGGGACTCACTTAAACCAAGCAGCAAAGAGGTTAATTGACCAGGTTTGTGTTGTTATTTATATGTCATGTAAACACCCAGCTGGTCCTGGCCTTTACATTTGGCCATATCTCAGCAGGGATCACAGGATAAACTTGACACTTGTGAGACTCCCCAGAGAGGTCTTGAGATTGGGAACACATTCTTTTGAAGTGTATCATCCGCTTCAATCTATTCTTTAGGCCAAATCCTAATAATCACACCTGTCCTCCTTGTAAGGGTCCAATTGTGGATGAGGCAATTTTTCCTTTTTCTGTCCGAAGAAGAGATTATTATCTTAAAAAAAAGACAGTCTTGTAAGAGGCAAATTCAAATACAGATTAAAATAATAATAATACTTAGCATTTCCACCCCACCTTTCATCTGCAGAGCTCAAAGTACTTGGCAAACATTAATTAATTCTCAAAACAGCCTTATGAGGTGAGTAGGGGTATTATCTTTATAATAATATATAAATACTGGCTGGTTCATGAAAGCAGCCACTTAAAAGGGACAGTGCTACAGGATTAGTTTCAAAAACAGTCTTCTCACCTGGTCTAGACTTAATAATTTTGGATAACACATTTGGGAGTGCCAAATTTCCTAATAATACGATACCCTAGAGTGAACATATATACCCTTTCAAAGTGATGTCTCTAGTGGTTTAAGGCAGTCTTATCTATTTGAAGGAAATTTTTAATGTTAAAAAATTCTAATTGTGGGTTGTTCACTTGAAATGATGTCAGTCTACACATGAAAGGATTCTAAACTGTCCTAGTGCATAAAGTTTAGTGGCGCGAGTCTGGGATTCTATTTCAAATGCATTTGCACTTGAAGGGTTGGTGACAATTTCAAGGTTTTATGTTTTTACTCATCGATTTAAATTTTGAGCATGTCGCAAATCACAGTTCCATGACTTGTCAAAATGCATACCAACCAGAATTTCTGTCTCATCACCAGAGATGAAAAATACCAAGACAGATAAAAGCTGACCAGGAATGCATTAAATTGGCTCCCAAATGAATCATACAAAAAGGTGGTCTATTTTTATTTGGTATCCTTTTCTTCCTTTGTCTCCTGTCGTGACCTCCTTTAGCAAATAGAATAGTATTCCATTTTCCAGTTGCTAACCTGAATTCCCCGGAGTTGGTTTCTGAGCATAGAACCGTCAGTGAAGCCCACCGCCTGTGGGGTGTGTTCTGTCATAGCTTTGGTTCCATCTGTGCTTATTTTTCCTGAAGACAATGCTCGTCTATGCGAAATTGTACTGGCTTTTTGATCCTGAAAAATTAATGCTTTGGGTTAGTAGAAATTATACTTTTTCTATCCTAAACTCGCCCCGCATCAAGAATTACCTTGCCCACAGTAAACATTAATTCAGGATTTTCTTTGTTTTATTGAGATGTAAAAATATCCCTAGACTCTGGCTGAAATCATTGTTCATTGTCTTGGTTGGGTAAATCCTCTATTTTAAAGTTGTATTTGTTGCTCCGAATTTTTTACTTATTGATCCTAGTATGTGAATTGGTCCACTTGATCATGAAAGAAACCTTATATACCACTTAACCATGCAGTATTGATCTGCTAAATCTATCTGCTTGCCTCTGTCAATGGCTTCACTTAGCAGCCTCAAGAGAGAAAACCTGGTTTTGGTCTCATAGCTTTGGTTGAGCTGATGGTCTCCAATCTCCAAAGTGGGATAAACCAGATTCCTTCACTGTGTTTATCTTGGCCCGCCATGTCTCTTTATGGAGAAAATGGTCCAAATAAAGTGCTTCCTCTGTGTATTTTGACAGGAAACACTACTAATATGCTTTCCTTTTGTTGTGTGCCTTTCTCCTTTCTCCCAGTGTTGTTTAAATATTTTCAGTACAATGACATATTTATTAATCCACTACTCTCTGCATGGGGCATGAAATGATTGGTTCTTCTGTAAAGCCCTCTTAGAAAAGGTGGTTTCTCCAGTGAGAGTTAATAATATTACCACTATTCATGTAAAAAAACACTGAGACAATCTCTTAAAAATGGAACACATTTATCTAAAACAGCTGGTAAAGAAAGCACGCAGGCCCAGCCAGAGGCGGCGAGGTCAGAGGTCAGGGTTAACACCGATCTCGGTGGAACTTTGAAGCTGACATTTTACAGATTATATGTGTCTCAGTGCACAGTGGGCATGGCATATAAATTGGACTTAGAGACCCCTATTTGTTCTCTGCATTTTTATGAGCCCACAGAGCTCTTCTTTGAAGCAGCATACATAGAAAATAAAAACTCATTTTAATGTTGTGGAACTATTTACAATAAATCACATTTACATCCTGCCTTTTCCTAAGCATAAGATCTTTCTCCCTCTCTCTCTCTGTCACACACAGACACACACACACACACACACACACACCCCCACACACACACACACACGCATACACACACATTCATGGAGTCTATTTCCCAACCTGGGGAGCTTATTTTTCACCTTATAGTATTGTAAACCTAGCTTCCTCTCTCTCTTTGCCTTGACTTAGGAATCAGATTAGAGATTCAGCTATATTTAGTACCACAAGGACACCTTTTGTAAGTCATGTGAGGTGATTCAGCTAGAACGAGCACTCTTCACTCCCAGGACAATCCCCTGATACCATAAAATGCTTGCTATAGCATGGCACTTCAGCACTAGAAGAAAGCATCTGATTTCAAAGAGATTGAGTTCCACTCTGGAACTAATTATATCATTCGTTTTATGGATTTTTTTTTCTAAGTTGCTAGGTGTTTTAACTGGAGAAGGCTGGCGACCAAGAGAGAAACGTACTGGCAGAGATTCTGCCATGGGCACTTTAGCCACCTAATTAATTTTCAATAAAAACTCGCAATAGTTAATTTGCTCTAGACCCCAATGTAAATCAAACTGAGACAAATAGGTTAAAATTAGAAATGTGTGATGGAAACCATGTTTATGGTCAAAATTACCTTTCACCCTGGAAATAACACAGATTGACAGGGAAAGAAAATGAGACCACACAGGTTTTTGTTCAAAGAGACTCTTAAGTGAATTAAACATTTTATTAAGGGGAAACCTGGACCAAAAAAAAGTTTCCAGGATCTATGAAATAATGTTATTTTAATAAAAAGTAAAGTTTTAAAAAGAGTTACCTTAAAAATCACAAGATTAAGACATTTTCATTATACAAAGTTGCCTGGTATCCCCTTTTATTTTTTTCCCAGGCTTAACATGATGTAGGGTATAATAGTAAAAATACTATAAAGTTATTAAGTTCCTGGGTCTAAGTTGGCAGACATACCCACCCAGTGCCACATTCCTTCAGCTCCTATGTTTCAAAACATTACTTTCCTACATCAAATAACCATTTTTACTTTTATGAGAACACAGACATAGATTTTTTATGATTTTATAATTATACTTCAATCCTCCAATTAAAATGCCCAGACAATATAGATATCTTTGGCCCAGTCTATTGGACAAATATTATTATTAAAGTTCCCTCCAGGACTTTATATTTGCAAAATATTTTGTGGGCTTTAATCATTTTAAATTGCCTTAACTTTGCCCATTTTCTCCATGCCACTCTGTTATTTCTCAGGCAACCATTTCATTTTAACCCACAAACTACTCATGTGATGCAAGGTGAAATAAGCTAATTTTTTAACATATTGGAATGTTAGTCTCAGTGATTGTTAGCTCCTTCCTCGTCCTTTGCTGAACATGGCAATTCAAACCACCCCTGGATTCTATTTTTATTTCACTTTTGCCAAGTTCACGAAGTCAATTCCCTCTTTCCCACTCAATCTGGCTTTTCTTCCTGCCCCAAAGGAATGATGTTGTCACTGTGATGTCTTCTAATGCACTATAAATGCCGTGATGAATTGGAGGCAGGCTGGTTTCTTCTGAGTGGGAGTCCATTATCCTGTCAGAGTGTTCCTTTCCTGTAACTTAATTTTTATTGTAACAAATGACTAAGTACCAAAAAATGAAACAATGTGATGGGCCGATCTAAAGTGGCCTTCCTCTGATGGTAAGTAGAGCAGAGTGACAATTGTTTGCAGCTGCTTTCCACAGGGCTCTCTGATGACATTCACTACCCAAATTGGAGTTATCAAAAGCATTTTCTGGGCGTTTATGGAAGATCTTCATTCACACTGACTGACTAACGATACCAATATAAATAAAGTGCTTTGCAAAAGAGGTCACGTTAAGAGTAAGAGTGGAAGAGACAGATTCTCAAACCCGGCTGCACGTAAGAATCACCTGGAGATCTTGTTAAACTGAAATTCAGGGGCTCAGCTCCCATCAAAGGAGATACCCATTTAGTCTGCTGAGGTAGGACCTAGGAACAAGCATTTTAAACAAGCATCTCTGCTAAATCTGTTGAAGCAGTCATACACATTATACTGTGAGAAACACTAGCCTAGAGCTCTGGTCAATTAATCTTTTCAATAAATCTCCACTGCACACTTGACCTTTATTTTATAACAAAGCATTTTTTTTTCCTGCTTGGATTTCTAACTAGGGTAGTTCACTCAAATCCTAGTTCCAATTTGAATATGATCTGTTCACAGTTGGTCCATTTTCCCCGATTTGTTTTACAGATTAATAACCAACATGTCTGAAAGGTTAAAATCATCTGTTAAAGATGATGTGAGAATATTAATCTGGAATCCATCAATCCCCAGAAATCCAATAAATTTGGCGTATAAGTGACCGAGCCTTCATCTGGACCAGAGGGTTCACAGATTTCACCATATTCCCAAATGGGTCTGTGACCCAGAAAAGATTAAAGACCAGTATCCTGGAAGTGAACGAATTTGGCCTCATTAATATGAAACTTCCGTATCAAACAAATGGTTGCAATGTCTAAATGGTATAACTGATTACATGTCTAAATAATATAACTGATATTAAGGTTCTAGCTTTACAGGTGATTAACATTTTATAATAAAAATAAAGCTAATTGCAACCCTTCTGAAATATTAGAATGTTGTTTGATATTTGAAGTTTAATATGTAGTGTAATTGCATTGTCCTGGAAGCACTGAAACTACTCTCCTAAGAAACATTTAGGAACAAAGGACAGAACCACTAGGTTTTACCTCTATGGGTTTAAATGGAGTCTATTTTGGAGGCAGAGTGAAACTGAATAAATTCTAGAAGATCATGGAATCTCAGTATCAATTCTTCCGTCTATTAAACATTTATTGAGGGCCCATCAAGAAAAATAAAAACTATCATATGTTTATTGGAAGCTGAGGCTAGCAGATTTGTGAAATACCCTAGTTTCATCTAAACATATGCACACCTGTGAATTGTCATGGTGGCATTCTGTAGCCATTAAACTTTCAGTTGGAATAATTTCAGTAAATCACAGTTAACTTTATTAATCCATGTAATCTGTAAGAACAAAAGGATGATTTTTTTTCTTAAAAAAATGTTTGAACATCAATTAGTTAAAAGGCTGGATGAGAGTGGGAGATGATTATTGGGGAAAGAAGCAAAATAATAGCTTTGTGAGTAAAACCACAAATCCTTTAATCTATTGATTTCCACAGAAATAATGCTAACCTTTGCGGATAATCACAAAACGTGAAATGAAAGACATATCAAAGAAATATCAAACATTCTGGCTGTACCCAAACAACTTCTGGTAGGAAGACAAGATGTACTTTAAGGGACTTCCAAGTATTTCATTTTAATCACAAACCTTGAGGTGTTAAAGGGGTTCATGAGGTCTCAACTCATTGTCAACTAATTATCTTTAAGTTGTTGTCAGCACATTCTAATTATTATGCTCCTGTCAGCTCCACCACTGGGGGTGCACAATCCTAGAGTAATCGGTTCCAAAAACAATACCACCACCACCAACAAAAAAACCAAACAAACCAACAAACCCAGGGATGACTCACCTGGCTGCTGCTTGGTTTGCTAAACTAAACTGTTGCCGTCACCAACGCACACACGCACATGCACATGCACATGCAAAAAGCTTTTAGGAACTTTCATCTTTTTAAAAGGGCAAGGGAAAAAAATCAATAAAGTGGTGGCCTGGCCAGCAGTAGGGAATAGTTGAAGCAGCATGGGTGGCTGCGCTGTATGAGAAACAGATGTAAGCTCTCTGGGAATTGGGCAGGCATTTCTCTTTACAGCCAAATCAACCAGCCAATGGAAGGCAATTAATGTCCCTACCATCGGTCACCCACCCATTCCCAAAAAGATTATTCAGTGTGGCTGCTGAGGCCAAGAGCAGAAAGGGACATCCACCCAGCTGGAGAACATATGATTTGGGCTCACACTTTACCCAAGTCGTATTCTTAAATATGATTTATTTCGAGGTCTGAATCAGCAGGGGAAGGCTCTCTTGCTGTTCTGACTTGGCACATTCTACCATCAGACAAGTCTAAATTCATCTGTTGCCATTTACATCCATATCTTTTTTTTTTAATTTATTTTTCTTGGCCTAGGAATCCTTTTAGAGTTGGTAAAAGACATGGACCTGACACAAAAGGATTCTTGCTGGTGTAGAGTTAGATGTTACAGATTTAAGGATTTGGAATGATTCAACCCCTTTGGAAAACTGGCAGTTTCTCATAAAGATAAACAGGCATCTACCCTACAACTCAGCAATTCCAGTCCTAAGTATTACCTGAAATAAATCAAAAGATATATCCACAGAAATAATCATTTAAGAATATTCAGAGCAGCACCGGGCACGGTAGCTCACGCTTGTAATCCTAGCACTTTGGGAGGCCGAGGCGGGCAAATCACGAGGTCAGGAGTTCATGACCAGCCTGGCCAACATGGTGAAACCCCATCTCTACTAAAAATACAAAAAATTAGCTGGGCGTAGTGGTGGGCACCTTTAATCCCAGCTACTTGGGAGGCGGAGGCAGGAGAATTGCTTGAACCTGGGAAGTGGAGGTTGCAGTGAGCCAAGATCGGCACCACTGCACTCCAGCTCAGTGACAGAGTGAGACTCTGTATAAAAAAAAAAAAAGAATATTCAGAGCAGCATTACTCATAATAGCTCCAAACTGGAAACAGCCCAGACGTCCATTCATAGTAGAAAGGAAGGATAATCAAGTTGCATATTCATACAACAAAACACTACTCAGCAATAAAAAGGAATGAACTACAGATACACAGTATGATAGAGAATCTCAAAAGCATTGCGGGGATCAAAAGAAGCTGGATATAAAAGAATACAAGCAGTATGATTCATTTATATGAAGTCTACAAATGGGCAAAATTAATCTATAGTGAGAGATGTCAGAAGTCAGAAAGAAGTCACCTTTGGCAAAGGGATAATTGAGTGGGAAGGGGCACAAAGAAACTTTTTGGGATGATGGGAATAGTCTATATCTTGTTTTGAATCATGGTTACGTTTGTGAATACAGCGGACAAAATGCATGGAGCTGAACACCTAAGATCTGTACATGGCATTGTATGTAAATCATGTCTCAAGGTTTTTAAAAATTGAAAAGTGAAGGATTTTTCTAAACCCAGATGATGCAACAGAAAAAAAAAATGAGGAAATCAAAAAATAGGGAAAATGGGGGGAAGTGGATGATGCCGGGGAAAGCCAAATTAATTAAGGATAAGGATACATATGAATGTATGTAGAAATACCCAGCCATTTACCTAAGATTTTCTCGAGTGCTTACTAAGGGCCTGATACTGTGCTAATCACTTTAATATACATTATCTCATTTAGTCTTCTTTTTCTTTGACCCTCCAGTACACAGAATTGGATTAATCATATTCCTTGGTTCATGACATATTCTCATCATTGGTCCATTTGTAGCTAGTTTGCTAGTTTTATTTAGTTGACTACTTATTTTTATTCATTATATGTGTTCACGAGCCTGCCGCTCCATCACAAACTAGCACCTTGACTATAACCAGTTATCTCCCTATTTGATCCTCTCTCCCTCCCATTCTCCCTTATTCCCTCTCATTCAAAGCAGTCATCACCCTGGACCTTGTGTTTATCATTCTTTTTCTTTTTTGCACATGATTCTACTGCTGCTGTATGAACTCATAAACATATAGACTTCAATGTTATTTAGCTTTACCTTTATGAAAAAATGTGCTATACATAATCTTTGGAGATTTATTTTTTCCTTTAATATTATATTGCTAAGATTCATTTATGTTATTGTGTGTTTGTGTATCATTTAATCTTTACTACAACCTTGTAAAATTGGTATTACTATCCACATTTATGGAAGATAAAGTTGAGGCTCAGAGAAGTTGATTAATATGCCTAAGGACACACAGCTAGGAAGGGGCAGAGGCAAGATTCAAAGCTGAATCTCTTAACCAATATACTACACTGCCTTCTCAATTCTATTGCCAATTATCTATAGCCATATCTCTATCTATACCTATTTGTATCCATATCCATTGCTGTACATATTTATATATAAGCATAAATGTCTCCAGGTAGTGGAATACAAAATAATCAGCCAAGTTCATCTAATAATTTATGGGTTGTTATACCCCGATAGAGAAATACAAACACAAGCCCATAACTTCAAGGGTCAAGTCCTCTAAAATTTAGAATATACGAGCAGGTAATGTCTAAGGAAAAGCATCTGAAGTCAGAGTATTGTGTGTGTGTGTGTGTGTGTGTGTGTGTGTGTGTGTGTGTGTGTGTGTATGTGTGTGTACGCACGTGCATGTGCAGTTTCTGGAAAGTGTCTAAGAACAACATCCTTATTTTATTTAATCTCATATGCCAAAAGGGCAAATACATGGGCATTGTTTAACTGAGTCCTTGCTCTGCACCTTATAACTGTATACCAGAGGCCGTGGAAACTGGATCGCCCTCTCAGGATGCCATTATAGCCAAGCAGAATCTCATTAAAAATCAATTCCTCGGGTCCATAAAGCCAGTTTATTTTATCTTCCTGGAGTGCCTGCTGCTAGCAGTTACACAGTTTCATTGTGTGGCAGTCTTGTCTGTTAAGAACATTGCACAAAACGGCTATTTAAAGATTTTCCATTTTTATGTTAAACTTTATAATTTTACAGTAGTTTAAGTTTACAGGGTTTGCTTTTCAAGCTTAGGGTATCTTGTTACATGGGTTGGAAGTAGCATTGCCAGTCCTAAGGTTCCACTAATTAAATATTTGCCTTTATAAACTAGATGTTGTCCAATGTGAGTGTGCAGATTTAATTGGGCAGCAGAGCTCCAGATCTAAGAAAGCCTGATTTGGCCACTTTCAGCAATTTCTCATTCACTGCTGCTTTTTGATTGTTGAATTGTGCCTAGGGCCTTCACTAGTAGTAACACAAAAATCAGCTAGGGAATTTGCTCTTTGTAGTAATCCTAATTCAACTCTCTCTAAATATCTTACAAATCAATATTAGCCAAATTTTATAAATGGGGAGTTGAAAGCACATAGAGATTTAGTGACCTGTACAGGTCACCCTGAATGAGCAACACAGGCAGAAGAAATTGGAGAGGCTACTCTGGCCCCATCTGGAATCTTTTAACTCTTTTGACCCCCTTCAGTGGGCTTCAGGGCTCGCTGATTTCAAAGATCAGTGACCTTTTTGGGATAGTGCTTGGCAGTGAAACAGAGAGGCTTGAATTCCTTAGATTTTGGCTACTGTGGTCCATGACGCAGTTTGAGTTTGTTTTTTAGAAGAGTCCGTGCTGTTAGTGAGGAGAGTAAGGAGGGATGGGGAATGGTGTGTTGGGCTGGGATTGAAGTAGGAAGATGTTTAAGATCACTAGAGCCACCCAGTGTTCCTTCCCTACCACGTGTTGAGGACTAGCATAAGCATGTCATTACAATTTTTTTTAAAGGTTAGAAGTTGACATTGGAAGGAACCAAATCCAAAACAATCCTCAACATAACCTTTTTCAAATTCTCAGTGGAAAATAACAGGGTTATCCTCTGTTATGAACCCTTGCAATTTTGACAATTGCATTTCTCCTCAAGAAACCATCCCAGGCGGGTGCGGTGGCTCATGTCTGTAATCCCAGCACTTTGGGAAGCCAAGGTGGGTGGATTGCTGGAACCCAGGAGTTCAAGACCAGCTTGGGCAACATACTGAAACCCTGTCTCTACAAAAAATACAAAAATTAGCAGGGCATGGAGGTGAGCAGCTGTAGTCCCAGTTACTTGGGAGGCTGTGGTGGGAGGATAGCTTGAGCCTGGGATGCGGAAGCTGCAGTGAGCCAAGATCGTGCCGTTGCACTCCAGCCTGCGTGACAGAGCATAACCTTGTCTCAAAAAACAAAAACAAAAACCCTCACTTTACAGAGGAGACACAGAACATTAAATAACTTTTCCAGGTCACATACTTAGGTATTGGCAGAAAATGGACCATCACCCAGGATCACCACCTCCCAAGCCAGTGCTTCTCTCTGTCACCCCTCTGCCACTAAGAGCACCTTTCATAAGCCCTACACCAAATCATCTTTGAATTTAGAGTCATTTTAGTCTGGGCTTGAAAACATAAAACTGCAATATTGCTACATTAGTGTACAGTGCTAATGTTTGCTTAGGGTGAGACTGGGCTAGGAGAATAAGATCTAGGGAGAGCTCCAAATAAGAGCCCCCAGCTGGGTGCAGTGGCTCATACCTGCAATCCCAGCACTCTGGAAGGATGAGGTAGGAGGATCACTAGAGGTGAGGAGTTCGAGACCAGTCTGGCCAACATAGCAAAACCCCATCTCTACTAAAAATAAAAAAATTAGCCAAGCGTGGTGGCATGCGCCTGTAATCCTAGCTACTCGGGAGGCTAAGGCAGGAGAATCACTTGAACCTGGGAGGCAGAAGTTGCAGTGAGCTGAGATCACCCCCAAGAATGTGAAAAGGGATTCTTTAAGAGGGAGAAAGAGTTTTAAAGACTACTGAAGCTTTTAGAAAAATCATAGGTCCTTGGCTGGACATGGTGGCTCATGCCTGTAATCTCAGCACTTTGGGAGGCTGAGGTGGGTGGATCACTTGAGGTCAGGGGTTCGACACTAGCCTGGCAGGCATGGTGAAACCCCGACTCTACTAAAAATACAAAAATTAGCTGGGTGTGATGGCATGCACCTGTAATTCCAGCTACTCGGGAGGCTGAGGTAGGAGAATCACTTGAACCTGGGAGGCAGAGGTTGCAGTGAGCTGAGATTGTGCCACTGAACTCCAGCCTGGGCAACAGAGCGAGACTCCATCTCCAAAAATAAATAAATAAATAAATACATAAATAAAAATTATAGGTCCAGAAAGTATGTAGTGATAAATAGCCCCTGAAGCTGCATAATAAGACCATTTTTAAAAGCAAGGAACTTCTGGGAGTGCATAAAAAGTAAAATGCATTGCAGGGAAACATAGGAAAATCATTCATGAGCCTCCGAATCAGTGGCTTGACTCAGCACTGAAACATGGATCTTGAGCAAAGACAGATGGAAACTTGTTTTACGAAGGACCAGGAGAGGAATTGTCTCACGAGAATATGTAACTAGAAATGGCTTTATATGCCTGGTTCATCTATATGCTGCTAATGCACTTATTTGTGTATATTTTATGCTAATAGAGGCCCTAAAACTGATATAAGAATCTGTGTATGCTAAAAAAAATTCTGATTCCCCGAGCTTTGCTGAAACGGCGCCTAGGGAGGGAGATGAGGTGATGGGGATGGGTGATGGGAAACAAGAAACACAGTTTTTGAAGGAAAAGCAAAAACTTCATTCCTTGGGTGGGATGGTAGAGGGTGGGGTTGAAGGGAGTCTTCAACCACGCCAAGTCTAAATAGACTGGGAGGCTTTTATTTGGAACTCTCCTTTGGCAACGTTTTATCACAGCATGTTTTCCATTCTTGGCGGAGAAAAGGACCTGGAGGCTATAGAACTGGCTCAGTCTTCACTCTGACAATACGTTCACAATAATGGAAGACATCTTTTCCCTATAACTTTGAAAAACATGAAAGCAGATATTGGCTCTGAGTATGTCTGATAGTCTAACTTTATTTCCTGTCAACAGAAATAACTATGATTTATATGTGGTCATCAACTTCGCATACTCACATACAATTCAGATTGAGAGAGTACAGCGAGATGTAATGCTCGGAGCCTTGATGTATGCCTATCTAGCAAAGCTTCCCGGTTCAAGGAGACCTCAGGGACTGAGAAAGACTCTTTAATATTCTCACTCTTCTGACACTCTAGCCCCAAGTGCATCCTTCCAGTGAGGTATATTACATGGGCTTCAGACGAACTACATGTAGGCTTTGATCTCTGAGCCCCTCAGCTACCCTTCTTGTGATCCTGAAGGTTGGTTGGACTGAATCCAATAATTATAGTGAGATGCTGAAGGCTGAGGAGCTGATTCATGTTGGCATCCGGCACACTGTTTTATTCTTTTAGTATTCGTTTACATCAGAGGAGTGAGAGCATTTTAAAAATTCCATTTTCTTCTCAGAATGGATTGATAGTGCAGGCAGTGGAAATTGAGTGAATACACCTTTTCAGTTAATGCCATCTTATGTCATCTGGTTTTGAATTCAAAAGCATTTTTTCCACTGTCTTGTTGTTATGCTGTATAATTTATTGAATTTAAGATGTCGAGAATCATAAGATGCACCATTACGTTATGTACCACTAAGAAAAAAAATGCTGCCAATTAAAATATCACCTAACAATTTTTTACATTTTTTGCACTTTATCCTTATTAAAAGGGTGCTTTTATATTTGTTTAGATAGATTTTTCTTACGTATCATGCTTCTGCTGATATGAAAAGAAAAATATATTTAAAATAAACTAAGCTTTATTTTTGCTAAGATTTTCCTAAAATTCCTTCATGTTCAGAGTCCAACTCTTCGGAATCCCTTAAAGACAGAATCTTCAATGTCTATGTTATTGTACACAATGCAGTGTTTTGCCCCAAATATGACAGTACTGCACAATGACAGCTACATCCTGACCATTACCTGGCTGACAGTGAGTCTGTCTAAGTGCCAGCAATTGTAACATGCCATGGATTGTGAGAAGCCAAGACTTTGATATACATCCTGATTTTAGAAATGTTAAAATGTGGGGGGAAGTGCAGCTTAGAATGGAAGAAATATTTGTTTTGGTATTGAAGAATGGTACCAGCTTCACTTACACACAATTTTAAAATAGTTTACAAAAATTTATATTTCTGGCCGGGTGCGATGGCTCACACCTGTAATCCCAGCACTTTGGGGGGCTGAGGCAGGTGGATCACCTGAGATCAGGAGTTCGAGACCAGCCTGGCCAACTTGGTAAAACCCCGGCTCTACTAAAAACACAAAAGAATTAGGTGGGCATGGTGGTCCATGCCTGTAGTCCCAGCTACTTGGGAGACTGAGGCAGAAGAATCACTTGAACCCGGGAGGCGGAGGTTACAGAGAGCCGAGATCGTACCATTGCACTCCAACCTGGGTGACAGGGCAAGACGCTGCCCCCTGCCAAAAAATATATATATATTTCTTAGGTTCAATATCAACCTCAAAAAGTAGGCAAAGTTTAAATCATTCCCACCTAAAGCTTTTTGCTTTGATTGAATGACTGTTCCAGTACAAGCAATTCAAAGCAATTCATAGAATGCTAACTGGGCATACTTAATTTTGCTTCTGGAAAGACTCTGGAGGCTTTCTGCTCCAGAAAGAAGTGACTATTGTAAGTGTATCAGTCAGTCCATTAAGCTGTGAGTCAGTTTCATACAGTTCCTGGGAAAGGCATCTGCCAATATTTATTGGTCTTCCACTTAAAAAGAAAAATATAGTTTCAAATATAAAAAGACATATTCTTCCTATTTGGCAAAGACATTTGGTGAAAAGAAAAAAAGTGGCAGTCTTTTCCATTTTTTGTGCCTATGCTTATGACAAAGTAAATGACGTGTACTTTTCCAAAGTTAGAGCCAAAAATTTTTTCTTTATGACATAGTTGTAAAACTAACATATTTGTGAAAAAGTTTTTTTAGAGAAAAAAGAAATTTGTAGTAACCACTAGAATCATATTGCAGAAAATATTATTTGAATAAAAATTAATGATAAATTTTTTGATCACTTAATCATAATGTATAGAAAGTCACAAAATTGTCATAAAATTTATAAACATCCAAACTTTATTTACTCCCAGGAATTTTAATTAATTAATTAATTTTTATTTAAGTTTTAAGTTCAGGGGTACACGTGCAGGTTTGTTACATAGGTAAACTCACGTTATGGGGTTTGTTGTACAGATTATTTCATCACCCAATTATTAAGCCTAGTATCCATTGGCTATTTTTCCTGATCCTCTCCCTCCTCCCAACCTCCACCCTCTCATGGGCCCCAGGGTGCGTTGTTCCCCTCTATGCGTCCATGTGTTCTCATCCTTTAGCTTTCACTTATAAGTGAGAACATGCGGTATTTGGTTTTCTGAGGAGCTTTAATTTCTATAGCTACTATTTACATGCACATACACAATCCCCTAAGAGCAGATTTTTTTTGCTGTCGTTTGCATTAGACCCAAAGGTAATTAAATGCTGGTGATTCTGTCTATGTCCAGCGGAGGGCAGCAGTGCACATCTTTAGAACGGGATTCTCATTACAGATTGGACCGACAATCAACCTGAGAAATTGTACGCTGCGTTCCGTGTCGCTGCAGTCAGGCTCCGGCCACAGGTCCCGTCAGGGGCAGCGAGGCCACGGCGAGGTGACTTCAGGGGGCCAGGTGGCAGAGTTGAATCCTTTTCTCAGTTCTGTAGAACGACCTTCCCCAGTCCCCGGGTGTACAGCGCAGGAAAAATGCAAGACTCTATGACATGCAAAGGGGCTGGCACTGAGCCCACTGCTTGGCTGCTGAGTTTACCTTTGGTAGTAAATTTGAGGAAATGTGGCTAAAATGCTACTTATTCCCTTCCCAAGATTTCTGTCTTAGGGTTAATTTCTACTTAGATTGCATGGCCTCCCGCTTTCTGCTCTGATGAAAGACACTGAGGTTGGGCATGGTGGCTCACACCTGTAATCCCAGCACTTAGGGAGGCCAAGGCAGGAGGATCACTTGAGGCCAGGGGTTCGAGACCAGCTTGGCCAACATAATGAGACCCCTGTCTCCACAAACATTTTTTAAAAAGAAAAAAGACAATGAGGAGATGTCATGGCTTTGGTGCTATGAGTCTGTAATACAAAAGCCATCTCTCCACGCTAGCAGTGGCCAGGATTTTTCCTCCCTCATACAGTGTCTATACTCACCAAAATTCCAAGGGGACTTACCTGCAGGGGCTCCTGTGTTCTTTTGAACTTTCCACTAAAATGGAGTGCACTGGGCAGTAGTCCACCTAATGTCATTTTTGTTTTTCAACTTAAAGAAAACACATTTAAAAATTATCCAAATTTCTTAATGAGGTCGCAAATGCTTAGGAATGAATTATTCTAACCTTGTGCATTACTTGAGTCTATAGAAGCACTGGATGCAACACAGAAAAAAGTAGACTCTAAAGGTATCATGATGCAATGGCTCACACCTGTAATCCCAGCACGTAGTGAGACTGAGGAGGGAGGACTGCATAAACCCAGGAGTTGGAGGCCAGTGAGGCCCACATAGCAAGACCCTGTCTCTACAAAAAAATTTAAAAATTAGCTGGGTGTGATGGCATGTGCCTGTAGTTCATGCTAGTCAGGAGGCTGAGGTGGGAGGATCACTTGGGCCCAGGAGGTCAAGGCTGCCGTGAGCTGTGATTGCATCACCGCACTGCAGCCTGGGTGGCAGAGCAAGTCCCTGTCTCAAAAAACAAAAGCACAAACAAGTAAAGGTGTCATGAAAGTTTAAGTCTTAGACTCCCTGGCAACCTTTTCATCAGCGCAGAGTAAATTCTCCAGACTGTTATTATCAGTGCTGAAGAGTGTATACAATGTGTGCACAACTTAAGGAATAATAGCAAGATGGACACTAGTGTACCCACCTCCCACAGTATTACTAGTACTTTGATACACTGTTTGCCCTCCCTGCCGCCATTCACCCCCTCTCTCCCAGGGATAACCACTCTCCTAAATTGTTATCTTTTCTGTGTTTTTCATTATAGTATGAATTTCTCTCTATTCTGTTCCATTGGTCTACTTGCCTACCCTACACTAAAATCACCCTGTCCAAGTCACTGAAGCTTTCCAGTGAAGTCTTCAGTTCTGGTAGGTCAAGTGAAATCCCCCTCCACCTTCTCACGCCTTCAACTCCAGTTCTTTTTCAGGGCTGTCTTGACTATTCTTGTTCCTTCACAGATTTAGTCTTAACATTCATGATTAATCATTATTTGCATAAAAACTAAAAGAAAATTAGAGGATGAGAAGTTGACTCCTTTAGCGAGCCTCTCAGTCGGCCAACCTGGTTTGAATTCTGGCTCTCTATACTGCCTGTGCTGCCTTAGACTAGTTATTTAACCTCTCTGAACCTGGCTTCCTCATCTGTGAAATGCAGTTAATATTAGCACCTACTTCATAGGATTGTTGTGAGGAGTACAATGTGATAGGCAAAGCACTCAGAACATTGCCTGGAAAGTGCTCAACAAATGGCAGCTATTTGTTTTGTCACTGCTGACTTTGAATAGCCAGGGAGCTTCTGAAGTCACACTGCCCTCAGCTGGAAACCTGGCTGTCCCCAACCAGCTGCATAACACTGGACCACTTTCTTTCTCTCTTCAAACCTCTGTTTCTGAATTTGCATAATGGGGATAATATTAGGGTTGTTTAAAGATGACATGGGGCCGGGCGCGGTGGCTCACGCCTGTAATCCCAGCACTTTGGGAGGCCGAGGCGGGCGGATCACGAGGTCAGGAGATCGAGACCATCCTGGTTAACACGGTGAAACCCCGTCTCTACTAAAAAAAATACAAAATATTAGCCGGGCGTGGTGGCGGGCGCCTGTAGTCCCAGCTACTCGGGAGGCTGAGGCAGGAGAATGGCGTGAACCCGGGGGGCGGAGCTTGCAGTGAGCTGAGATTGCGCCACTGCACTCTGGCCTGGGCAAAACAGCGAGACTCGGTCTCCAAAAAAAAAAGATGACATGAGAAAAACCAAGGGAAATCACTTAGTGTGATGTCTGGTAAGTTGTATGTGCTCAACAGGATTTTAAGTAGATTTCTTTTTCTTTTCTTTTTTCTTTCTTTTTTTTTTTTTTTTTTTTTTTTTTTGAGACAGAGTCTTGGTTTGTTAACCAGGCTAGCATGCAGTGGCACGGTCTAGGCTCACTGCCATCTCCACCTCTCAGGTTCAAGCGATTCTCCTGCCTCAGCCTCCTGAGTAGCTGGGACTACAGGCACACGCCACCACGGCCGGCTAGGTTTTGTATTTTTAGTAGAGACGGGGTTTCACCATGTCGGCCAGGCTGGTCTCTATATCTCCTGACCTCAGGTGATCCACCTGCCTCGGCCTCCCAAAGTGCTGGGATTACAGGCGTGAGCCACCACGCCTGGCCCATAGATTTAATTTTTGAAGTGAATTGCATCTTAAGGCTAAAAATGGTCTGTACCCTTGCTTCTGAGTATCTACAAAAACACTTGCCTGGGAGTCATTGGAAAAGAATGCTGGCAGTAACAAAAAGTTTATAAAATCACCTCTTGTGATCTTGCAACTTTTCTTTGCTTTCAACTATCAGAGGTGCAGGGAGGAGAAAGTGTTCCTTACTCAGGGCGGGACTCTCTTTCCTGGGTCCCTCCTCTGGTTCCACAGCCTGCTTTACTGGCTGAGGGCAGACAATGCAAAGCCATGTCTTAACTTGATTTCCAGAATCAGAGGAAAGTTTAACATAACAAAATTTTATAGCTCCTGCCCAGTAACATATATTACTTTAAAAAAATAAAAATACCTTTCCCTTATCATGCATTATTCTTTTACATGTACATTTTTCCTGATGTATTGAAGTAATATTCCACGGTTTCCTATGAGTTGGAGGTTTTATGGCCCTTCTGTGGCAGATCAGACTAAACATAATTCATTCATAGCTACTTAGTGCTCAGGGAAATAAACCCCTGAACTTAAATAACTATGGTGTGACCTCTGTAAAATATTATTTATGGCTTTAAAACTACTATTATGTAGATATCAAGATGTGCCAAATGTTATAAACCAAACACCAGCCAGCAAATGGGACAACTACTACTCCATTTATTTTTTTCTTTCCTTCCTGGATACTTCTCTGCAAATACTACTTCTGTTTAAATGGATTCTGGGGTAATTACCAGGCAGGGGAAAGCAATGTTTATTTACATTTTATTATAGAATATTACAGTAAGTAAAAAATTCTCTTTCATAAAGAAGCACCACAAAAATGTGAACATTCATTAACATACTGGAGTTTAATAGGAAATACATTGATTACTTTTGAGCATAAAGTAACTACCCTCACTATCAATGAACTAATGTAACCCATCTGCTATTCATTTTTGCAAATTAGTTTATGGAGGAAAACCTGATTGTACGTTTAAGTTATCCAGATGGGATACGCTGAGCATTTCCATGCTGTTAAGAATATACGTGCATTCTCAGCTGTCTTTAAGATCTTCAGTGTTTAGAGTGCCATCTCTGCATCTTACATTATTAGATGCATCTCTGCATCCAATAATTTCCTGAATTATTTCCTATGCATTCAACTATCTTGTAGGAAACAAAATGTTCACTGGTAAGAAAGTAATGGAGTCATTGGTTTCCTAGTTGTCATTCAGCTAATGTTTGAGGACCCATCATGTGCTGGTTATGGTACTTGGCACTGGCAATAAAGATGAATGAGAAAAAAATTCTCACCTCTTGTAGGACTAGCAGCCTGAATATGGAGATAGATAAATGAATAATCAGCTTCTAGGCACATAGCAAATGCTCCGAGAAAGAAATGGAATAAGTACTAAGAGAGGATGAGGGTTAAGGATAGGGCATGGGAGAGGCAAAGAAGACTTGCAAAGAACTTCACAGAGGTGAAAACACAGAGTAAAGTCTTAAGGAAGAATGAATGAGTAAATTCTGGTGGTCAGGTGGAGGAGCAAGACCAGCATGAGCAAAGACACGGAGGTTAGGGCCTCTTTAAATCATTCAATATGGCTGGAATTTGGTGGGGTGTTGGAGGAAAAGTGGATGAAGATTTAGAACGAGGCCAACCATGAAGGTGTGTATGTCCTGCTGAGTTTACTTTCTCCTGTAGGCTGTGGGTAGACAGGAGTGATTTTGCATTGAGGGGTAACATGATAAGACTTGTGTTTTATGTAGCTCATTGTGGCTGTGATGTGGAGAATAAACTGGAGCCCAATTAGGAGGCTTCTCCAACTTTCAGATGAGAAGTAGCAAAGCCCTGGGCCAGGGCAGTGATAAAGAGAGAATTGACTGAAAGTGCATTTGGGATATAGAAGCAACAGGATCTGATAACTAGGTTGATTCTAAGAGGAAACAGAAAGGGAGAAATCAGGGAGGCAATTCAGGGCTCCTTGAGGGGATAGAGGAGTCATTTTCAGCATCTGATGCTATTCTTGGAAGGATGGGTTTGGAGAAGTGGCCAATGAAGTTAGTATGGCCCATACAGAAGTTACAGTACCTATAGGGAGGGCATTTAGACGTGTTCAAGAGGTTTTTGGAAATGTGAGTTTGGAGAGAAGTTAGGGTTGGAGACACAGATTATGCCACTTATATATATGATGTTCAGTAATGTTTTTAAAGATACATGAAAGTGAATATATGAGCTAATTGGCTCATCTAAGTAAAACTTAAGACCACAATTCAGTTGTTGGCAAACTACATTGAAATAACAGATAAGTCTTCATCCTTCAAGACCTGTAGGAAAAAATGAAAAGAATAGAAGCTGTTTTACATGCTGTCACTTAGCATGAATAGGAAATGTTTCCTTTCCCATTTTGGATTCTTTAACAAAAATTGGAAATGTCTTTTACTTATTAAAATCATAACAAGTATTAATCAAGCCTTCCTTTGAAAATACTCATGGTCCATTCCAATGATTGTCATTGCCTCATCCAGAAGTTATGCTTTCTTTTCTTTTAGAACATCACCTACTTTTATAGAGTTCTGTACAAAACTGAGCAAAATATAAAGGAATATATTTCTACCTCATTGGTCTTGATGACTTTCTAACACCTCATGCATTTTGATGGATAAGATTAATGCGACCATATAGTGTCAAGCACCTTGGACTTTCAGAACAAAGCCCTTTTAGAAGAACAAAGTATCATTATTAATGACACATCATTTACAGCTTTCATCGGTAATGTAAGGCTTCAGCCACTATAATGGGAACTTAGTTAAGAGCTCAATGTAGAGGGCAAGGCTATTAGCTAAGGTTCTTGACAGTAATACCTTTTGCTCCTAAGGAAAAAGACAAATCGCACTTAAATTGATCAAAAAGACAAGCCAAGGGGTTCAGAAAGAGGTGAGCCACCATTCGCTTACTAAATTTCTCAAAGCCCTTGTCATCAATGAGTCCTGGTGGTGAGCCATGCCCTCATCATGGGTTTCCTTTGCTGCCAATCCCCTGCCTTCTAGGTATCCTGCTCCTCCAGAAAAATGCCTCATGCTTCAGACCTCATCTTTCCCTTTATTCTCCTCTCCTGTCTCCCTACAACCCCCAAAGTTTCTTGGGTTTCATTGCCACAGGATTTTTCTCTGTCCTACATGAACTCGGACAGCAAAGTACATTAAATAAAGGAATGCTGGTTTGCTCCGGTAACCTAATTGACATGAGTACCGCTAATGACGGCAATCTTAATGCAAGGTGGCAAAGCAGTGGGGACGCATTTTTTCCTGAATATGCGTTGTCAGTGTATTCAGTGTATTGTTGTATTACTAACAATCAAGTAAATAATGGAGGATGCCTGTGTACATAGCATCAACACTATTAGAAAAATTGGCAAATTCCTGACGAACTGCTGCTCTTATGTAAGAATCTCTTTGGGACCTTAATGTACTTCAGGTTCATGAAGACCTTCTTAACGACTCTTTTGCAACTACTCTGTTTTGGTTGGAGGAGACTTAAGAGACATTTTCCTGGGGAAAAAAAAATTAAAGTTAATTTTTTTAAAAAGAATGCCATCTAAAATCAGCCAGCTCTGTTTTAGGTAGAGAGAAAAAATCTGGAACACAAAGAAATGTCCAATAAAAATAACAGAAGAGGGACTTTTTTTTTTTTTCTTTTTGTTTTTAAGACAGAGTCTCACTCTGTCACCCAGGCTGAAGTGCAGTGGCATGATCTCGGCTTACTGCAACCTCTGCCTCCCAGGTTCAAGCAATTCTCCTGCCTCACCCTCCTGAGTAGCTGTCACTACAGGCGCCCACCACCACACCTGGCTGATTTTTGTATTTTTATTAGAGGCGGGGTTTCACCATGTTGGCCAGGCTGGTCTCGAACTCCTGACCTCAAATGATCCATCCACCTCGGCCTCCCAAAGTGCTGGGATTACAGGCATGAGCCACCGCACCTGGCCGGGAATTTACTTTTTGATTACGTGTATGCCCTTGGACTTCTTATATCCAAGGAACTAGTTGATGACCTTGCAGCTCTACCAGCAACTTAGAGAGTTACTCAAGATTGTTGAGATCTCCTATGACAGGAAGACGGCAACAGACTTAAAGTAAGGTAGAAAGGGTTTTGATTATATATTATGAAGTGATATTTGCTCTAAAGGAAATTCCAGACTATTAGTCTGTCTCTGAATCTTAATAATTACATAGGCCGGGTTTGGTGGCTCACACCTGTAATCCCAGCACTTTGGGAGGCCAAGGCGGGCAGATCATTTGAGGTCAGAAGGTCAAGACCAGCCTGACCAACTTGGTGAAACCCCATCTCTACTAAAAGTATATAAAAATTAGCTGGGCGTGGTGGTGTGCACCTGTAATCTCAGCTACTTGGGAGGCTGAGACACGAGAATCTCTTGAACCCAGGAAGCGGAGGTTGCAGTGAGCCGAGGTTGCAGTGAGCCAAGTTCACATCACAGCACTCCGGCCTGGGCAACACAGTGAGACTCTGTCTCAAAAAAAATAATAATAACAATAATTTTATAGTGAGCAAATTGGTTAGTTGATTTGATTGTGGAGATACCTGGAAAATCTTTGTCATATTATTGTTTTAATTTTTTTTAACCATCTGAGAAAATACAGTGACATATTATTGTTTTAGGAGCTCTCACCAACTACTTTACTTTCTCTTTTATGCTTTTATTTTACAAAGTTAGGTCAAAGCTCATTTCCAGTCCAATTGTTGAGGTTCACTCTTTTCTATCTCACTTCCTGAAGATACTTCTAGCTAGTGAACATTTACTGGGCAACAAGGGAATTCAGGCCAACAAGAACCTGGAAGCCTGAGACACCAGACAAAATGTTACAGCACAGGGATCATTGCAGGAAAACGTTTCCCATTTCAGTTTTAAAGTTTCTGCTGCTTTGAAGTCCAAAATATCCAATAAATAATTGCAATTTATAATTGAAGTAAAATGCAGAAGACTACTACAAAAATTTTTAAATTGACATTTATTAAATTCAAACAGTATTTGAGGACTATCTAGTTTATATACATGTTGAGGTTGATAAAGTATTGAGGACTATCTAGTTTATATACACGTTGAGGTTGATAAAGTTCAAATTCTGTTTTAGGAAGTTAACAATGAATTGAGTTCATTTTAACTGAATGTTACTATAAAAGATGGTTTTCTTGCTGCAATGTAAATCTGCTATTAAGAAATTAGCAAAGTGGCTGGTGGTGTTTGTGCCTTTAAGATCATCGTTCAAAAGAATTCAGCAAACTCGATAACAAAGGTAAGACAAACATAACCTTTATTCTCTCTCAAAAACCCAGAGAACAGGGCCTGGAACCATATTCGTTAATTTAACCAGAATCAGAATACTTTAACTTTCATAGTCTCATTTAAAATTTTATAGCAATATACTGACCATTCTAAAAATAACAAAATACATGTTGCTCTCAACTACATAGTTAAAAAAGGTAGTAAATTCTCTTACCCAAAATAGAGGAGGGGTGGGCTAGTGAGCTGCTCAAACATTTGTAACAAATAAAAATGTATCTATATACATATAATGATCATGTTTTCATAGCCTAAAATCACCATACAAAATCTAATAATAAAATTGTGTCGTGTTCAGGAGTTGGGAAGCCAACACATTAAATTAACAAAGTATTTTTGGTATATGTAAATAATGGGATAGAATCTCTCGAATCAGGATTGTCCCAGAAGTTCTAAGGCAGATGTCAATGACATGCACATTGTCCATGTTCAGTAATTTTCAAAGACTAGAATAAACTATGTAAACTATTCAATACAATTCAATATTACTTAACTGCTAAAAAGTACTTCAAGATCTTGCACTGCCTTGAGTGAGTATAATCAAGTTAGTAATTGGAAAATAGCTGTAATAGCAGGCACTGAAGAATTCTGACAAATACCAAATAACTGTTTGTTTTTACCAAATAAACTGGTAAGATGATATCACAAAGGGTTTTAAGTTATTTTGCTATACAAGGTTTTTAAAAATAAACTATTGCTTCTTAGAATAACTTTAAACATACTGATTGATGTTAATCAATAAAATCAATGGAATGATTTTAGTTGAGTGTAAACTTCATCTCAAAGGTTCAAATAATCTTAAGAATCTAGTTTACATATAAGACTATATATGCTTTAACATTGATTCAAATATGATTACTAGAAATCAATAGATTTCATTTGAAAAGATAAAAAAAATTTTTTTTCCAGGTCCAAGGGAAAAGGTATGAATGAAGCCCTTTCTAATCACACACACACACACACACACACACACACACACACACAATGACAAAGAACACTGAGCTAGGAGACATAGATGTGACTTTAGGGAACTTACTTTCCCTCGAAGATCTCTTCCAGCTATCTGATTCTACGTTAAAGCATTTCCTCTGAACTGTACAAACTGGCCTCACATTTTCGAGTTTCTACACAGTACCTGGCAAAGTTTGCCTGTTGGCTTTTACACCAAAATACTAAAATATCAAATGAATCACATAAACCCTGTCCTACAACTCTGTATGCCAACTAGTTTTCCCCAGATAGTAATTTTTTAAAAATTCATTCCACAAATCATCAAGAGCTTCCTACGTTCAAGGCAGAGTGCCAGACCAAACCTGGAACATCATGGTTGTCACTGCCCCTGGGAACAAATTACTATCCGAAAAAGTGAATTCAGTTGACTGCTTCAGGCCCAACCTGGTTCAGGGTCGTGATTCCCAAATTTGAGGGAATATGGGACTCTCCAGTGGAGTTTGTTAAAACACAGCTTCGAGGATCTCATCCCAGCCTTACTGTGTCTGAATCTCTGTTTGGTGTCTCCTAATCTACCTGCATATTTAACAAGCATGTTCTCCCTCACGCCTCCACGTCTCTGCAGGTAATTTGTGGGCCTCACTCTCCATTCCAGCCCACTCTCCCCGACCAAAGAAAAGAAAACCACTGTACTGTAGTGGCGAAAGCCCTGGACTCAAGATTCAGGAGTCACTTGCAGCTGCCTGATCTTTGTTACTTCACATTGCTAGGTCTCTCAATCTCTTCCTCTAATAGGGGTTTAATAGGAGTCTCCATAGGGATCCCTTCCACTCTCAGACTTGAAGAACCTCACATGGCAACTCAGTGTCGTGAAGGAGGTGGGAAGAGTTTGCAAGGATGTTTCACTCTGCAGTCAACATCCCTCCCCGCGGCAAGACAGTCTAGCAGCCCCCCAAGAGCAAGGGGGGTAATTCCCTTATCTGGTCCCCTCATTCACAAAGGGAGGAAAAGCTAGGCGAGGTTGGAATTGGGTGACGGGCGAGGAGGAGATGCCAAAAGCACCTTGCAAGAGTTTTGGCAAGAAGCAGGAGGGATCCCTGGAAAGCCGGAATCACTCCTCGTCGTCGTCGTCCTGGTCCTGGTAGCGAATGTAGACGACCAGCATGACAAAGCCGGTGAGGATGCAGAGGGAGCCGACGACCAGGTAGGCGATGCCCAGGAAGGGGTTCTTGCCACCCATCCACGAGATGCTGCTGAAGATGAGGAGCTTGTGGCCGCCGAACGCGCGCACCGGGTAGTTGTAGGTGATGTTGACGCGGTAGGCGCCCCGCGGCAGCCCGGCCGAGTAGTTGCCCTGGCGGATGCGCGCGTACAGTTTGCGGAACGTGGGCAGCGCCGCCGTGCGCATCCACACCACGAAGTCCTGATTGATGAAGCCGGTGTTGTTGGGGTCGGGGCTGAGCTCGTAGACTGGCCGGCGCCAGTTGGGCGGGGGCGCCGTGCCCTGGAAGGCCAACGCCAGGCTGCCGTTGACCAGCGGCGGGTTGCGGAACTTGACGTGGTAGTCGGTCCACCAGGCGATGCCGGAGCGGTCGAGCGGCACCTCGACGTAGGGCCCGCCGGGCTGGCGCTGGTGCCAAAGCGAGAAGGAGTCGTTGAAGAGGCTGTTGGCGATGGCGCCGCAGGGCGCGATGGGCAGGCCGGCCGCGCTGCGCTGGTAGGGGGCGCACTCGTTGACAGGGTGGCGCAGCGCGCTGGGGAGTCCGCTCAGCTGCGCGTCGTCGCGGGACACGCCGTAGCGCCGGTTGTTCTGGTAGAAGTTGGTCAGCTCGTAGTAGAGGTACACTGGGCCCTGGAAGAGCTCGGGCAGCGAGAAGTACCAGGCGCACGAGCAGGGGGGCGGCAGCGCCCGGCCCTGGCCAGCCGCGGCGCACACCGAGCAGTTACCGGTGCCCGGGTCGCCTGTATAGTCGTACTCCAGCTCCTTGATGCCGTTGGAGGAGTAGTAGAGGCCCAGGCCCAGGCCGATGAAGGCCAGGCCCGCGCAGAAGAAGAGCGGCAGCGCGATGCTGGCCGACAGCAGCGGCTGCCAGGCGGGGAGGCGCTGCTGAGTGAAGGCGGTGTTGTCGGGCTGGTGGGCGCCCCGGGCCGTGGCGCTCCAGGTCATGGCGGCCGCGCGGGGACCGACGCGCGGGCTGACCGAGTGGGGGCCCCGCCGCGGGGCGCCTCCCTCTCCGCGCCGCGCAAGCCCGGGGACTGCTCGCGGGTCGGGTTTCCCGCCAGCTCAGGTGGGTTTTTGCCCGGGCCCCTCCTCTGCCTCCGTCACAGGTGAGTTTAGTTCCAGGCCCTACGAGCAGTGCCCACACCCTCCCAGTTCCGCCTCCGCCCAGGTGCGCTGCACCCCCGCGGGTCACCGGGAGCCGCACCTCGCCCGCCCCTTCCGAGGTGAGCAGGTGGGTGTTTTTTACCTCACCTGGTAGACTCAGTCTCGCGTTTCCTCTCAGTCCAGGTCATCGGACTCCACCTCCTCTCCTAGGTGAGTGGCGGCCCCGGGCTGCCTCTGAGTGGCTCCTACCTGGCTCAGGTACCACCTTCTCTTCCGCCTTCCAAGTGACTAGAGTTCCTGGGCCAGTCTCCCGAAATCAAAAGGCGCTCCGGCCTCCAGCAGAAATTTTTGCTGAGGGCTTGCACCGTGGTCCTGGAGGCTTGAAGATTTCAGATCCTTAATCCTCTGTTATTTGCGGGGAAAAGGTGGCTCTAGACCATTTTGTCTTTTAGGTTAGCTTCACAAACCGCTTTCGCCCAGCTTTCAGTCTCAAGTTGGGAGTGTCCAGGGAATTACGTTATGATAAATCTGTTTCGAATTCAACGCCTGCGTTCAAATTTTAGCTTTTTTTTTTTTTTTTTTTTTTTTTTTTTTTAAGGGAAAATGATTTTCTGGCCAGATCACCCAGTCTGGCTGTATAACTAGGAAATGTGGAAAGTTCTCTAAAAATAAAATCATCCTTAAAAAGAATCAAAGGCTGGAGAGGTTCAGAGCCTTTAAATAACTCTTAGCTGGTGTGGAGAAACCAAGAAAGGAAAAAATGTGCTGGACTACATGTGATTTCGTTTTCTTTTCAGATTATTTGCCTGACTAGAGAAAGGCCCAATCCAAGGTCCCAGGAGACCTAGCTGCTATCCACAAAAACATCTGGAGTGTCTGGCCTAAGGAAGTAAACTACAAGGATTTATAGGATTTATTATAAAAAGAACTCAAATTAGCTCCCTATGTTGCCTGGGATTCTGGCTTTTTTTTTTTTTTTTTTAAATCTAGGTTGGTAAAACATATACAAGGGGGTATTGGGACGTTCTGATTTCTTACTAAATCTAAATCTTCCCTAGGTATTGTGTTCTTGCTTCTCCTCCAGCTTGTAAAATGCAAGTAATACAAATGTTTTCTCTATTACACTACACCTAGCATAATATATTATATTCAGGAGTCATTCAAAACCCATTGAACTTGGAAAGTTAAAATCCTTATTAAATTTAACAGAGGAATGTTGTTAGCATCTTCCAAGTGTTCAGTCCTATGCTAATTAGACAAAAAAGGACCTTTGACCTCAAGGCATTTGCAGTTTGATAGGGGACATATTAGGAGTAAGAAACAATCAAAATAGCCAATAATAGCTATGAATCATAGGGTGTAATCAAGTATCAAATTGCATTCTACAAGTCACATTAAAATTAAAAAGTAATATTGATTTAATAATGGAACATTGATTCCAGTTTGTTAAATGAATGCAAGTTGGAAACCAGGTATTATAGAAGACTGAGGGAAATTCAAGTGACTTGAATTTCAATTCCCTCACTTCTTATCATACCCAAAGAGAGGAAGTTCCAAAATTCTCAGCAAGTTCCCACAGTGTGATCCAGTCTCCAGTCACCCTTTTTTTCAATAAAAGAATAAATAGTTCTTTGTATCATTATGGTTGAGTTCCACCCACCCGTTTCATTGAATCACTAGTCCACAAAACTCGTCTCTAGGAAGGAATTCAGTTTTCACAACTTTTGTAGATTTTTTTTTTTTTGAGAGAGAGGTGTCTCCCTCAGTTGTCCAGGCTTGTCTCAAACTCTTGAGCCCAAGAGATCCTTCTGCCTCAGCCTCCCAAATTGTTGGGATTATAGGTGTGAGCCATCACACCAAGCCTATCTGGTAAATCTTAAGTCTTTTTTCTAGTAGATCACCACCACACCCCTAAAAGGGCAAGCCCCATTCTTGAGCTCAGAGCCTTTCCTCCTTTTCTCCTATTCCTGGATGGCCTAAAGGTACTAGTTTATTCATTCCACTAATTAAGGTGACAGATTTTCAAAGTCAAAAGAGAATATTTCAAGACAAGGAATGGTCAGCAGAGTTAAACACAGCTGAGGGTTCAAGTGAGATAAATGAAAAGGAATTATGGGGTTTGACTTTTGTGGGAACACTTTGGGTGGTTTGTGTGGCAGGAATGAGGTTACCATCAGGTGCAGGGAAAGGGAAGCAGATAGCAAGATAGGAAGACACTCTTTTTTTATTTTTATTTTTATTTTTTGGAGATGAGGTCTTGCTGGGCATGGTGGCTCATGCCTATAATTCAAGCACTTCGGGAGGCCAAGGCAGGAGGATCACTTGAGCCCAGCAGTTTGAGACTAGCCTGGGCAATATAACGAGATCTTGTTTCTACAAAAAATAAAAACAAATTATCTGGGTGTGGTGGCATGTGCCTGAGGTCCCAGCTACTCAAGAGGCTGAGGTGGGAGGATAGCTTTAACCAGGGAGTTATGATTGCGCCACTGTACTCCAGCCTGGACAACAGAACAAGACCCTGTCTCAAAAAATAAAAATAAAATAAAAAAAGAGAGAATGGGGTTCTAAAGGGGAAAGCCTGTTTTTAGAAATGTGTGGAAAGGGAAGGAGAAAGGCAAGTGATAACTGTCTAGAAGAGCATGTATCCTAAAGGAAAGGCTTCTTTTTTAGATGTCAGAGAAGTGTGTATCCTGAGGGAAAAAGATAATAGTGCAGATGAGGTTGAAAAGAGGGGTGGCAAGCTTACTGATAGTGCAAAGGCAGGAGCAGGCTGGAGACGCTGATCCACCAGCCAGAGCCACTGGTTTCAGAGAACAGGTGCAGAGTTATCTCACCTCTGAAACAAGAGGGCAGGGTGATAAAAATGCCCTCTGCAGAATGCAGCTGGGTATTGGGCTCCCGCACCTCAGGCTGGGAGAAAGAAATGACTGAGTGTGACCAGCATATGGTGGTTTTCAGGGCAGATGAATTTGAAAGATAAAAAATTCAAGGTATTGCAGTCCTTGTGGAGGGGTGGCTAAAGAGATGTGCCTTAGTAGTTAATCTGAAAGGCGAAGAAAATGAAACCAACCCTGTGGATCAAAAGAAAAAGAAGATACTGGTAGATTGGCAGTCCTAATAATGTTAATTGGCAGGTGCCGTGAAAGCTGGGAGGAAAAAGTGCTGGTATGAGATGGGGTGTTAAAGATCTTGGAGGTGAAGCTGTACCAAGGTCCATGTATACACTATATTTCCCCTACCAGCTCGTAAGTTCCGAGAGGTGGAAGACTGATATAGATATACATTGTCGTGTTCCTCAGAGTTCACTATGTAAGGAAGGTTCAGATCTCATTTCTCTCATTTTATTACATATGTTGTGATGTATTAAAGGATGCTTGGATCATGTAAACTCTTTAGTACCAGTAAAATAAGAAACAAGTTCACTCTAAAATTGTTTTTTGTATCAGTGTTATTAAGAACTCAAAGGAAAAGAAAAAAGGCATTTCTAGTCCAAATACTGCTAAAATCACTTCATTTTTTCATTTTATCTCCCAGACTTTATCCATGTAAATATTTAATTTTTAATAGATTGTAATTAAGATATACACACAATTATTCTAGTTGTCAAATTACCTCATTTTGGAATGAGATGAAGATTGAAATAAATATTTTCTATGTTCCTTAATGGTGCCATAATTCATAGGTCTATCATATTTAACTATTGTTGGACATGTAGGTTATATCCAGTTTTTCAGTATTCCAAAGTATATGATAGTGACCATCTTTTCTGCATATAACCCTTTTTAAAAAAAACTATGTGTCTCCCTTTCCCCCTAACGTTTTCTTTCAGATTTTTTTCCTTGGGATAAAATTCTAAAAGTAGGAAAGGGACTTAAAGGTGAAGCTCTTTAAAAATACATACTGCTGGAGTCATATTTACACTGCCACACCAATGTATATATTTTGATACTTTCACCAAAAATTTGCCAACAAAACCAAGAGCTAAGCACAGAATATATTTAGTCTATGCCAATAAACTCTCAGATACTAGGAGAATAGTATTGGATAGGGGAAAGAATGCTGGCCGGACCTTAAGGAAGTTCAGATTCTACCCTGAAAGTTCCTTAGGATATAACTGTGTGACCTTGGTCAAATTGCTTAACTTCTCTGTTCTCATGATTGCTTATCTGTACGAACGTGTTTACCAAAATGATTGTTAGTGTGTCTTTTTTAAGCAAAGATTTCTGTTCCTAGTCTTCCTTACAATGACTCATTGAATAATAGCTAACTTTTATTGAGTACCTTCTGTGAATCAGTACTTACAGTCACTGCGTAAACACTTTATATACATTGTCCCATCTAATTTGTACACAAATGGGGGGCATTCAGTCCAATTATACTCAAAGAACTGATGCAAAACTAAGATTCAAGCCAGTGCAATGGAGGCTGCCTGAGTTCTCATAGTTGTAATGGGGAGATGAGGGATTCAAAGGGCAGCTTAATTCCAGTGTCCTGTTTCTTCAACCATGCTACACTGTAAGGCCTTGGCATATTTCCTCCTCAAAAAACTCCAAAAACGTTAACCTTGAACCAGTGTTTATTGTTGCAGATCTTCTCTTAACACCCCAAAGATAAGCAAACTCTGTTCCATTTACACAGAGTCCCAGGAACAGCTGAGTTGCTTGTATTTTTGTTTTTACAAAAGCTTTTGTTTTAAATCCAACTTTTGTTTAGCATGCTCATTTCTCTTGCTAGAATAAAAATAACTTCACTTGTCTGGCTGTTCTCAGTTTTTGCATGTAGTTCATTTAATTCATGACTATTTATCTTACTGTAACAGAACCTGGGTTTTTAATTGGCATTCCCTTATATAGGTTTATACTGCTCAAGATTGTTGCCTATTACTCTGCCCATGGGGCAGCTTTTATTTAAAAAGAATCAAATTAAATTGCTTCATAAAATTACAGCATGCGCTCAGAAAAGTTTTAAAAAAATTCTTTGTGCCTGGACTTCATTTTTTATTAAGAACTGCATCCAGCAGACTTCTGTTTCAAAAGTTATGGAGTGGTACCCCCTAGTGGAAGATGCAGAGAAACTTTAATTAACTAGCACTGTAAGCACCAGAGGCACAAAAGACAGAAGCGAATTCTCTCCACTCCCTGCCACGGTGTGTTGGTTCTTTGTCACTAACTTACTGCAAAACAGTGGTCAAAGAGAGGGTGAACTCACACCTGTAATCCCAGCACTTTGGGAGGCCGAGGCGGGTGGATCACCTGAGGTCGGGAGTTCGAGATCAGTCTGACCAACATGGAGAAACTCCGTCTCTACTAAAAATACAAAATTAGCCGGGTATGGTGGCGCATGCCTGTAATCCCAGCTACTCGGGAGGCTGAGGCAGGAGAATCGCTTGAACCTGGGAGGTGGAGGTTGCGGTGAGCCGAGATCACGTCATTGCACTCCAACCTGGGCGACAAAAGCGAAACTCCATCTCAAAAAAAAAGAGGGTGAACTGTGAGCACAGTTGGGTGGGTTGAGTTGCAGGGGGCAGTATAAAGTGAAAAATGGGACTGAGATGGATAACAGAAGGTCTTAAACAGCAGAGGCATTAGGTATGGGATGGCCAGATTAAAAGACAGTTGGCAGGGTGCAATGGATCACACCCATAATCCCAGCACTTTGGGAGGCCAAGGCGGGTGGATCACCTGAGGTCAAGAGTTAGAGACCAGCCTGGCCAATATGGCGAAACCCCGTCACTACTAAAAATACAAAAATTAGCCAGGTGTGGTGGCATGCACCTGTGATCCCAGCTACTTGGAAGTTGAGGCAGGAGAATCGCTTGAACCCGGGAAGCAGAGGTTGCAGTGAGCTGAGATCACACCACTGCACTTCAGCCTGAGCAACAGTGCAAGACTCCGTCTTAAAAAAAAAAAAAAAAAAAAAAAAAAAAAAGATAAACCAGCAAGGATAGGGCTGGACTTGAATTGTGTGGGTAGAGTTTGGCTGTAGGGGTTGTGCTTGGTGAGTTGGCAGGAGAGCAACACCAGAATAGGCAGAGGACAAGTTAGGTGACAGAATTGAGACAGAGGGGAAGGAAGAGCTCTGTACTGGAAAGAAGAGAGGGGGTTGACTCAGAAGTGAATTAGGGCCACGCCCGGTAGCTCACGCCTGTAATCCCAGCGCTTTGAGAGGCCAAGGCAGGCAGATCACTTGAGGCCAGGAGTTTGAGACCAGCCTGGCCAACATAGCGAGACTCCATCTCTACTAAAAATACAAAATTACCTAGGCATGGTAGTGCACGCCTGTAATCTCAGCCTCTTGGGAAGCCGAGGCATGAGAATTGCTTTAACCTGGGAGGTGGAGGTTTCAGTGAGCTGAAATTGTGCCACTGCACTCCAGCCTGGGCAACAGAGTGAGATTCCGTCTCAAGGAAAAAAAAAAAAGAAACTGAATTAGACTGCCCAGTGTGGCCAGTGAGAGGGGCTTTATACCCAAGGTGAGGACTGGAAGAGGGAGGGGGACACCATGACAGTGTCTGTGGAGCCAGCCAATCTTTTGAGGCTAGAAGTCACCTCCTCTGCCATCCTGTCCCCAGTGTAGTGAAACTCACTGGTTTGGGGAAGTCTTCACCTCAGCGACCTCAGACTGGCTTTACCCTCTGCATAGTGACTATATCTGTTTGAAACTTTAGGAATTTCTTACGTATCAGGTAAATAATTAAACATTTCAAAAATTTCAGAAAGTTATCAGATTTTAAAATTGAATAAATATATATTGCTACATCAGAGCAAAGCCATATATTCTAACAGCCATAAACTAGGGAGAGAGGGGTGACATCCTTTAGGAAAACTCAGGTGCCCAACAAAGACATGCTTAGATGTCTTTCCCTATGTGATATCATCAATGAGCCAAATACACATACTCTGTTTTTTTCATTTCTTCCCCCAGAACCACCGGAAAAAAAACTAAATACAAATTAAATTTTATTTTTTTGTAGAAAGAGAGTCTAGCTCTGTTGCCCAGGCTGGTCTTGAACTCCTGAACTCAAGCGATCCTCCTGCCTCAGCCTCTCAAAGTGCTGGGATTACAGGCATGAGCTGTGGTGACAAGCCTCAATAAACATACTTTCAATTCCATTACCTAGGTCACTGATTCAAATGCAAAAATACCTTGGCCCAGCACCCTAGGAACCTATGTCATGTGTGCTGATCAATACTGACTTGTTAATATTCAATCTGGAGATCGTATACCCATGGAGTGTTGTAGGGGCCCCTGACTTTTTCTCTGAATAGTAACTCTGAATTCGTAATGGCTGTGTTTAAATTTTTAGTTTTCTTTCTGTAGGAAAAGTTCTGTGAGGATGGCTGCATTGTGTCAACTTCTAAGCCAAAGTTTGGGAATCTTAATGAAACCAAGACTGTAGATGTTACCAGGAAGTTCACTCAGAGCAGGCTCTGATGTGATGATAGGAGCTCTGGGAGCCACTCACCTACTTCAGCTTATTTCATCTAGCAATTCTCTTTGACTTAGTCGGAAATTTCTGGGATGCAAGGAACGGAAACTTATTCAAATCAGCTTTAATAAAGAGGTTGTTATTGTTCAGAGATGAGGGATGTCACAGAAGGAAGAATTGAAGGAAGCAGATCTGGCTGTCACAGGAGTAGAACGTCATCAGGCAGCTCCCTTCTCTCTGCATTGTCTTGCCTCTGCTTCTCTCTGCAGCTCAGGCAGGCCATCTTCAGCAAGGCTCTTGGTTTTTGCACCTCCATATCTTGGCTTCTATGGCTTTTGGTTGCCACAGCTTTGACTCTGGCACCAGTGCTGTGTCACCTTGCAGGTGATACAGGCATGAGCCACCACACCCAGCCCCACTTTTAAAACATTACTGGGTGAGCAAATTCCTTAATAAGAACATCTCTAAACCCAAGTTAAGTGTAAAGGAAGGGGACCAGCATGATGAGAATCTAGATCCAAAGAGGACCAGTTCAGGGAACTAAGCATGTATAGGCTGGGCATAAAAATCTTGAGGTGAACATAGTAGCCATCTTCAGCATCCTTAAAAGGCAAGGAGTGATTTTATTCTGTATTACTCCAGAAAATGAACCTAGAATACATGAGGGTCATTACCAAGGAAACTGCCAAGGCCAGGTGCAGTGGCTTACACCTGTAATCCCAGCACTTTGGGAGGCCAAGGCAAAAGGATTGCTTGAGTGCAGGAGTTTGAGACCAGCCTGGGCAACATGGCAAAATCCTGTCTCTATAAAAAATACCAAAATTAGTTAGTCATGGTGGCATGTGCCTGTGGTCTCAGCTACTCAGGAGGCTGAGGTGGGAGGATCACTTGGGTCCAGGAGGTGGAGGCTGCAGTGAGCTATGATTGTGCCACTGCACTCCAGCCTGGGTGGCAGAGTGAGACCCTGTCTCAAAAATAAACTAAGTATTGAGGGTGACTTTACACAATAGAACAACATGCAAAAAATACTTCACAGCATAAGAGTGAAGGCAGAAGGAATATATTTTGTAAAATAGAATGGAGCTGAGTGAGAAGCTGGTTTGTGAAGCACCTGCCATGAAATCCTGTGGCCTTGCTGGTGGTAGTCTGCAGGGCTGCCTCAGGTTTCCTAGTGGCCAGAGAAGGGAAAGGATAAGTCATTGCATCTGTGAGAGAAAATAAGCCATTAGCTCAGAAGAACTTTAAAGATTTCTGCCTGAGAGAATAGGAAAAATGTGTCCAGGCACGGTGGCCCATGCCTGTTATCCCAGCACTTGGGGAGGCTGAGGCGGGCAGATCACAAGGTCAGTAGATCGAGACCAGCCTGGCCAATATGGTGAAACCCTGTCTCTACTAAAAATACAAAAATTAGTCGGGCGTGGTTGCGGGCACATGTAGTCCTAGCTACTCGGAAGGCTGAGGCAGGAGAATTGCTTGAACCTGGGAGGCGGAGGTTGCAGTGAGCCAAGATCACACCAGTGCACTCCAGCCTGGGCGACAGAGAGAGACTCCATCTCAAAAAAAGAAAAAAAAAAAAGTAAGAATAATGTTCTCCTTGGGATTCTCCCAGAGATGTGAAACTGGGGAAAAATAACATCTTTAACAACATACTTAGGGTAAATACCTCAGTGAGTTCCTAGGATTGTTTCTTGTAACATCTGCCAGAGTGAGACAGGATGGTGCTCGGTCAAGGCACAATTCAGAGGCCCCATGATCCAGTCTGGGTGTGCCATTCTGTGGGTCTCTGCCCTGATGTCTAAGGATAGGTTAGAGGACCTAGCAGTTTTTCCAAGATGTCCTCTGAGGGGCAGCTTCCCAACATCCCATTCTCCTATCCTTGGGCTTCTAAGAAAGACAGGGTTTGAACAAGGATTCTGTGGTTTAAAGAGTTTGAAACTGACCTAAAAGAAATGGGTGCATTGCTGTCCTTCACATAATCCTCTGCAAATATCTCTCATTTCCCAAAGTTCAGTAGTTAAGGAGCAGCAGTGAGTTACAAGATTAAGTATCCTTCAGTTAATAGGGTTGCTTAAAAAAAAAGAGAGAGATTAAACATCCTGATAAGTTCCTGGCACACACAGCATCCGTGTTGCCAGTTAAATACAGAGCCATATGTTTTAATAAGCCAGCAAGCTAGGGAGGGATTGACAACTTCTTATTAAAACTGAGGTACATAGCAAGGACATATGGTAGACAGAAGGCCACTGCACCTCAGCTTGGAGGTGGGCTAAGAAAGGACTGTCTGTCTGTGCTCAGATTCTCCTTAAGAAATAATTTAGTGTTTGCTCCAACAAGATAATATGCCAAGTACAGCCTCAGAGATTTTAGCCTGAACAAAATTTAAATTTCTTATAACCAAATGTCAGTTTTATCCATAAACAAATCTCAGTAAGTCCCTTATAGAACATCTAGCTTTTTATACTGAGAAGGGTATATGTGCATAAGTTTTAAAATATATATAAATTAGAAAGTTGGGTTTGGATTTAGAGCAACTGGCCCTTCTTTGTGATAATAGCTAAGATCAATTGTCTATTAATGCCCTCTGGTTCTTTTTTTTTTTTTTTTTTTTTTTTTGAGACGGAGTCTCGCCCTGTCACCAGGCTGGAGTGCAGTGGTGCCATTTTGGCTCACTGCAACCTCCGCCTACCGGGTTCAAGCAATTCTCCTGCCTCAGCCCCCCAAGTAGCTGGGACTACAGGTGTGTGCCACCACGCCCAGCTAATTTTTGTATTTTTAGTAGAGACGAGGTTTCACCATGTTGGCCAGGATGGTCTCGAACTCCTGACCTCAGGTGATCTGCCCGCCTCGGCCTCCCAAAGTGCTGGGATTACAGGCGTGAGCCACCATGCCCAGCTGCCCTCTGGTTCTTGATAATGAAACCATAGCATTGATGAACCAGAGAAAGCCTCTGATGAACCAGAGGAAGGTCTCTATATTTCTTGTAATTGGAGTAAACACTGTATCTAATCCTCAATGGACTGTTACTCTTGACCTTGAAACGCGGTGGTATTAAGTGCAGGTTTCTTATAAGCTTTTGTGGCTGAGGGTGGGAGTGGGGATGGGGAATCAATACTGAGCTTGCATATCTCAGCCTATAACTGATTTCAGTCATCTGAGTCAAAGATTATGGAAAGGTCAATAAAAACTGCGAGCGCTCTTAGGTTTTTCTTATCAGATTGCTCCACAAAATTGATAAAGACTTTAATAATGATCAGTGGTGAAATAGCTGGGCCTCTAGAACCTTGTGTAGAACATTGGCCCAAGAGTCCCGGAACTCACATTTTATCAGTCAGGAAGTGGCATGTATTTTAGATGCACCACCTAGTAAATTAGGAGGAGAGTTAAAAAATTACCCTTGGGAAAAATGTGGCAGATCAAACTCTGCTCCAATCAATAAGGAAAATTTTCTCATTAAAAATACCACCAAAGGCCAGGCACAGTGGCTCATGCTTGTAATCCCAGCACTTTAGGAGGCTGAGATGAGAGGATCACTTGAGCCCAGGAGTTCAAGACCAGCCTAGGAAACCCTGTCTCTACAAAAAAAAAAAAAAAATTTAATTAGCCGTGTATGGTAGTGCACATATGTGGTCCTAGCTACTAGGAAGGCTGAGATGGGAGGATTGCTTGAGCCCAGGAAGTCATGACTGCAGTGAGCTGTGATCACACCACTAGACTCCAGCCTGGGCAGTGAGACCCTGTCTCAAAAAAAGACAAAACAAGCTGGGTGCAGTGGCTCACACCTGTAATCCCAGCACTTTTGGAGGCTGAGGCGGGTGGATCACCTGAGGTCAGGAGTTCAAGACCAGCCTGATGGGGTGAAACCCCATCTCTACTAAAAATACAAAAATTAGCCAGGCATAGTGGTGCGTGCCTGTAGTCCCAGCTACTCAGGAGGCTGAGGCAGGAGAATTGCTTGAACCCGGGAGGCGGAGGTTGCAGTGACCCAAGATTGAGCTGCTGCACTCCAGCCTGGGCAACAGAGTGAGACTCCATCTCCAAAAAAAAAAAAAAAAAAAAAGCACCAAGCTGGGTGTTGTGGCTTGCACCTATAATCTCAGATACTAAGGAGGCCGAGGCAGGAGTATCACTTGAGGCCAGGAGTTCGAGACAAGCCTGGGCAACATTGTGAGATCCTCATCTCTAAAACACAAAAAGAAAAATACCACCAAGAAGGGATTTTCCCTGTCTGCTCACAAAACCAGGTGATTATTCAGCCTTTATTTCAAGAGTTCTGTGGGAATAGTGTATATGCACCAGAAGCCCTATGTAATAAAGTGGCACATGACTAAAGAGTGAAAGTGGAAAGTAATAACATTAATAAAACATAAGCTCATCTTCATTAACCTCCCAAGAGGGCAACAGGAGAGGTACAGGTGGGTACCAACTGTCTGTTAGGGCAAAACCCTAAAATGCCTGATTGACTACAACTGCATGGACAGATAGACCTTCCATCTTCACAGAGGGCCTGTCAGCTGGTGCAAAAGAAGCACCTGCCCTTTTAACCTCATCTCAAATGACCATGGCAAGGGCAATACGCTAGAGCTTAGAAGCCTGGTGGGCTAGGCAGCAAGTGTGACAGCAACAAAGTACAGGCTTCTGAAGGACTGGTCCCAGGTCTTCCAGAAGCAGAGAAGGGACTTCCCATTGTCCCCTCCCCTTAAGGTCCACACAGCCCACCTCTGGCTGACCTTACATTCAAGTAGATATGGAATCTTATCGCAGCACTAAAATGACAGCGTTTCTTCTGTCCAGCTTGTACAAACGGAATACTCAACCAGAGACCAAATCACTCAGTTCTCAGAACACCTGAAGATTTTTTTTAAAATTGTTAAAAATCAGAGCTATTTATTAGAAGCAATCTGTGGGTGATAATAAATCTGCTTTTAGAGTTTTATTTAGCTAGATTTTTTATTGTGCTAAATAATAGAAGGTTACTGCCAGCACCATCTCTGATCAGTCTGCAAACTTAGAGCGGTCAGCCTCTGCTTGCAAACTGAAAAGTTAGTTTCCTAGACAGCACCTGTGGTCTGAACTTCAGTACTTCTCCAAGGAAAATCTTACCAGGAAAACTCTGCCCCAGAATCTGTCTATTAACAGAGCTGATAACCAAGCTCTTTCAAGGTAATAATATGTTTATATTGAGTTTTATACTTTCCATGTTCCGAGGTGGCCATTTTCATTGCATATGTCATCCCACTAACGTGGCTACACTTATTTGTTTGTTGATGCCTGACAGTTCACGTCAGTCAAATTGCCTGCCCCTCTCAGGTGGAACGCTCTCCACTCCCAGAGATGTGGGATTTAACAGAGAGACACTAGTTGGACATTGTTTGAAGTTTTATTTTTATTTTTATTTTTTTTTTTGAGACAGAGTCTCGCTCTGTCGCCCAGGCTGGAGTGCAGTGGCGCGATCTCGGCTCACTGCAAGCTCCACCTCCTGGGTTCACGCCATTCTCCTGCCTCAGCCTCCCGAGTAGCTGGGACTACAGGTGCCTGCCACCACGCCCAGCTAATTTTTCCTATTTTTAGTAGAGATGGGGTTTCGCCGTGTTAGCCAGGATGGTCTCGATCTCCTGACCTCGTGATCTGCCCGCCTCGGCCTCCCAAAGTGTTGGGATTACAGGCGTGAGCCTCCATGCCTGACGTTGAAGTTTTAGATTTTTATTTAAATTTTATGTTGATTTAGGATCATAATTCCCATTTATTAATATTATTTATGTTCTGATTCTTTATATCTAGTATATTAGGCTTGTGTCACCCAAGCATGTGATCAATATAACCCTTCATTCAAGTCACAAATAAAAATCTTTTAACTGTGATGGTAGATTTATTGATGGAATATAAGATGAGAATTGAATATATTGTTGCAGACCTATTTACTGTCATAATAAGATATCAATAATACACTGAAGACCGAATAAAAAGTCATTGAATATTATGCGTTTTTTATTCATTGTTGTTACAAATGTGTTTGAACATAAACATACAAAAAGGCCTGCAAGGAGATGCACCCCCCGCAAAAAAAATATCAGTATATATCTCTTAGTGGTCAGGCTACCAGTAATTATTTGCTTTCTTTTTAATTCCTATACCTATCTTCTTTTTTTGTTGCTGTCAAGACACAGTCTTGCTCTGTTGCCCAGGCTGGAGTGCAGTGGTGCGATCTTGGCTCACTGCAACCTGCACCTCCCGGGTTCAAGCGATTTTCATGCCTCAGCCTCCCGAGTAGCTGGGACATGCACCACTACTCCAGGCTAATTTTTTATATTTTTAGTAGAGACAGGTTTTGCCATGTTGGCCAGGCTGGTCTCGAACTTCCAGCCTCAAATGATCCACCTGCCTCGACCTCCCAAAGTGTTGTGATTACAGCCATGAGCCACCACGCCTGGCTCTTGTACCTATCTTCTAAAAAATAATGTAATTGACATGCAGTTGTTTTATAAACAGAGAACATGAAAAAGGATTCTGTATTTTAAAAAAATTCAAAAGAAAAAATATCAAAGAGAGTCCTGTGGTCTCTAAAGAACTTCCAGGTCTGAAAGACTGGTTTCAGATTGCCATGTTGCACAGAATTACTGGAAAAGATTTTTAAAAACATCTCCCCTGGGAGAGTCACCAGGTGATACTGATGTTGTCAGTCCCTGGCCAGCTAGAGGACACAGCCATGTAATTTAGCTATTGACACATCTAACTCCTCTGCCTCTTACTAAATATGGGACCTCAGGTTACTTGAATTTAATAAAAAAATTTTGTTTCTCCTGAGCGGCAACGTGGAATAGTAACATGAAGGATGGTAGTGAGGCTTAAATGGGGTAATGCCGAATCCAGTGCCTGGCACAAAGTAAAGCCTAGTAAGTGATACGTTGGTCTCCATAGCATCTAGCCCATGGTTCTCAACCTTATCCATAGGTGATTCCATACCACACGTCTTCCTTCTTCTCCCTTTGCAGCATATTCTAGACCAAGAGGAAGTAAAGAAAGCAATGGCTTAGTATGGCTGTTACTGTTGCTGCCCATTTGTGGAAATCATTGTTTCGAATGCTCTCTGCATAAAGTGATAACCCCCGATAAATAACTTATATTTTCACCCTTTTTTTTTTAAACCCTTTGCTGGTTTTCTTGTGGCTTTCCCATTATGGTGGAAATCCCCCTTAGAATTCAGGTAAGCCTGGAAGTTCATTCAAGAAACATTTGCAGTTGTGCCTGAAGCGGTCGGCTAGGGATTGATATGATCTTCATTCCCCAAAGAACTTGAAGCCAAGTGGAAAAGACAAATCAGTAAAATACCAGTTTCCACATCATAACATGTTAGAGGAATTTTTGTTGTTTTGAATATCTCACTTGCTGGGAGAGAGTAAAAGGGTAAACTTTATTTTTAAAATTCCTTTTTCAAATAGAGCAGGATATTTAAAAAGCAATTCTTATGGGGGAGTTACCAATTTTGTATAGAATATGGTTCAAACCACTTCAGAAGGGCTGAGATCAAAGAGCCTTAATCTTGAAGAGGTCACAGAGCTATGAGGCATTGTTCTTGGGGTAGCAAGCTTGGCAGCTCCTCGGGGGATCGGCTAAGCTGATACACACCCCTGCTCCTCCCATCCCTTCTCCATGTGTGCTGTACCACTTCCACACTTATGCCCCCAGAGTTGGGTGGCAGTGTGAGCAATGGAAAATTCCTTTGACCCCAGAACTGAGCTGTGAAGGTCATGCCACGGGGTGCATCTTTCCAAAATAGAACCAATGGATCTCAGCTCAGCTTCACTTTCTTTCTCTAAAGTCCAAGATACGTTCAGTAGCCCCATAATCTCCTCTGTCTTGAAGGGCTGCAGGGAGAATGGTTAGAATAGTCATTTTCCATGCAGAAGACTGGCCATCTGCTAAACTTGTAGACATCAAGATAATATCCTTTTATCTATCCCCCTAATCTTACCCTCCCTTTAAAAAACTATCCTAAACATATTATTTCATCCAAGGTATTTCTAATGATTTTGTTTCTGTGGGAATAGTGTATACGCATGAGGAACCCTATGTATTATAGTTTCAGGTGATTGAAGAGTGAAAGTAGAAAGTTGTAAAGTGCATATAAGTTATGGTTTCAGGTTTGTCATGAATTATTTTAATTTAACATGTGATCTGTAGTTATCTATGCAATATGATCATTTGTAACTCACATGATTGTAACTCACATGACAATGACTAAGGCAAAGATAAAATTTTTGTAGGCAAGGGCAGTTAACTATGCAATTTTGAAGCTTGTAATGTATTAGATTTTACTATTTTATTATTATTTCAGTTCTGATTCCCTTTCTTCTTCTTTTGGCTTATGGTTTGTGACCATTAGATGGCACTGTGCATCTCAAATATGGAAAGCACTTGGCATTCAAATGCTAGGCTATGCAGAAGAAAGTAACGTGCATTAGTTAATATTTTCATGCTATGGTTTCAATCAGGGTAGAAACATTTTATTTTTCATATAAAATTTGCCAATGTTACAGTTTATTAAGGAGAAATCCAGAATGTAATTCCACAGTCTTATGAAACTTACCTTGCATACAGAAACTATTCCTTTCTGTGTGACACAAGAATAATCCCTCTCAAACTTAGACTTGGGCCTGGGGCTCCTGAGTCAAATGAGAGAATACAGTTCCTTCACCTCCACTTCAGAGCATTATGCTGCTGATTTTCTAAGAATGTTGGTGAACTCATATTTGTCTGCTGCAGTGGTCTCCAACCTTTTTGGCACTAGGAACTGGTTTCATGGAAAACCATTTTTTCATGGAAGGGGAGGAGATGCTTTCAGGATGAAACTGTTCTACCTCACATAATTAGATATTAGATTCTCATAAGGAATGTGTGACCTAGATCCCTTAAATCCGCTGTTCAGGATAGGGTTTGTGCTCCTGTGAGAATGTAGTGCTGCCACTGATCTGACGGGAAGTGGAGTTCAGGGGGTAATGCTGGCTTGCCCGCCACTCACCTCCTGCTATGTGGCTGGGTTCCTAACCGGCCACAGGACTGTTAACTGTTCGTGGCCTGGGGGTTGGGGACCCCTGGTCTAGTGTGTTCTGTCATTTGTAGGTCCTTATCACCAGAAGCATTTGCTTACAAATAGGACGCAAATTCATTTACAAATTACAAATCATCTGAGGTGCTAGTCTTAACTCTAGAAAAGAATAAAATTAATTGGCTTTCAATCCCAGGAGCTAGCTTTTTTACTCTCATCTTTAATCAGCTAATGGAAGATGATGTTACTGACATTTCATCCCCAGACTTTGTCCCCTACATAGCACAGCCCTTGATACACCAACAATCTCTTTGTTCCCCTTAATCTCCAGCCTTCTCTCCTACTGTACAACCCCTTCACTCCAGAGCTCTGCCTGAGGCCTTGTGTCCTCTCCTTCTACAACTCCCCTGAGCAGTCTCACCTGTGCCCAGGACTCCAGTTCCTTGATGGTGTTAACGTTTCCCAGTCTGTATCTTCAGTCCATGCAGCCACTTCTTCCACTTGGATGTCTTCAGGCACTTCTAAACTTAACTCATCCAAAATAGTGCTCACTATGCCCAACTTCAAACTTAGTGTTCCCTCTCTCAGGGAATGCCGCCGTCATCAGTGACATGCCCCATGCAGAGATCTGAGTCAGGATCAACCTTCTCTTGCTCTCATCCCTCAACTTACCCAGGGATGAGGGGAAGAGCCAGGATTTGGAACCAGGAAGTGCAGCTCCACATCACGATCCCTAATCTACAACATGATAGAGAAAACAAATAAGATACATATTCATTTACAAATTACAAATTATCTGAGGTGCTAGCCTTAACTCTAGAAATGTGAAACAGATTTTCATTATTTTAATTGAGGATACTAGTATCTATTTAATAAAACTTTGTCATGTGGCCCTGTTTCAGTACGTAGATATCTGAGAGTAAGAGGGTAGTTTTTTTGTTTTTGTTTTTGTTTTTACCAAAACTCTTTTTTTCCTGCTTTTTACTGTTACCAGCGGTGAATCCCTCTGGGTCTGCAGCAACCTCAATTCTTGCCTCCTCAGAAGAAAGAATTTGACCAAGGGGCATAAAGCAGAAAGATAGTGCAAGGCAAGTTTTAGAGGAGGAGTGAAAGTTTATTAAAAAGCTTTATAGCAAGAATGAAAGGAAGTACACTTGGAAGAAGGCCAAGTGGGCGACCTGAGAGATCACGTGCATGGTTTTACCTTTTGACTTGGGGTTTTATATGTTGGCATGCTTCTGGGGTCTGGTGTCACTTCTCCCTTGATTCTTCCCTTGGGTTGGGCTGAGATAAAAGCACTATCTTATGTTCAAAGATCACATAATGTAGGGTAAAGGAGAATAACTTCATTTACACCATGAGAACACAGTGTATAGGTGCCGTAAGGGACATGTGTACTGGTGGACATGGGTACAGGGAGGGAGAATTTAAATCCTCATGGTGGTTCCAGAAAGATTACACTGAAGAAGGGTCTGCATGTGCAATGGCCAGCCAGTGCCTGGGAGGGGCTGCATGCTCAGTGTGTTTATTGGAGTTGTATGCATGCTCACCTGAGGCGTTCTTACCTTACCAGTCAAAAGTTCCTAGAAGGTCATATATACCAGTTAAAGTCTGCCATGTTGCCTCCTAATGCACATGCTTGAGCCCACTCGCCCAACTCCTGAGATCTTATCGGGAAGCTGCGGATCACAACTTTCAGGTTTTTTCTACTGGGAGACTGCCTTCCCCTGGGGCCACCTGTGACCAATTATTATTTTAGAGAAACAGTGTAACAACCACCTGACCATCACTTGATGTTGGCCTGACATTCCTGGTGGGGCAGGAGGAGCCCTCTTCTGCCCTGCTCATACCTGATTAGCTATCTACTGTAATAGTACCACAGCATCCTTGTCTCAAAACCTTGCAGTAAACTTGCAACCTTTTGCCTTTCAGGTTTTCAACTCTACTTTCATCTCCCATGAGACCTTTTTTTGAGACAAGCAAAGCCTCTCAGTTCAGCTTATATATTTTTGAATACACCCTCCCAACCTAAAATCAAACTAGAGCTCTGCAATTAGAACATAGCTACAGAAGTTAACAAACTGTATTGTTATTTGATATAAGAAAATGTGATCATAAACCTATGCATTATTATAAAACCTATTTTAAAATAAACATTTCAAAGGACAAATAACATTTTTCATCAGTTTGAATACTGTCTCACCTTTTGGGAAGTAATTCCATTGCAAAGATCCTTTCCCCATATGTAAGTTTTTCTTTCTCTTATAATCCAAAGCCTGTGAGTGTATGTCCAAAGTCTCATTTCTCTACTTCACTTTATCTCATAATATAGTTTTCCTTTCTCTTTTCTATTTTTCATTTAATATTGAACTGGAGCATTTTTGAGCATTTCATTCAGTATCTGCTATCTAATCTTTTTGTTTTGTTGTGTGTTTTCTTTCTCGGGTTTTGGAATACTTCTGTAGGATATGTTTTCTTAGATAACATGTAACAGGAAGGGAATCAAATTCAAAGGAAAAAATGTTTAAATCATCTTCTCAAGACCAATAGTATATTCTGACTGAAAGAATCTCCATATGACTATCATTCAAGCACTTGATGAAACAGAATTTATTGAGCACCTGCTAAGCCTGGCAATATGACAGGCACTGGGAAAATGAGATAAAAGCACAGTCTTATGTTCAAAGATCACAATGTGGGGTAGAGGAGAATAACTATATTTAGACCATCAGAACACAGTATACAGGTGCTGTAAGGGAGATGTATACTGGGAGACAAGGGAACAGAGGGAGAATTTAAATCGTCATTGATATAGGAGTTAAAGAGAAATATTTAGGCAGATAGTGAGGGTAAGGAAGTCCTTGGTAAGGTTTTCCTTTTAATGAAAAGTAGCCCCCAAATCCTTCCTTTTCTAACAAAAGCAGGCTGAAAAATCGAGCTGCAGACTGATAAGCAAGCTGCAAGCTTGCACGGGTGAATGGCTGGCAGCTGTGACAATAGGAAAAGGCTACCTGGGGGCTAGGCATGTTCAGCATGGCAGTTCCATCTTCCCTTTTGTCAACCTTGTGAATGGTAAAGAACAGAAAACGTGGCACTGGCAAGGTAGAAAATCCATTTGCAGAATAAAAGATTAGGGTGGGGTGGTCAGCTTCTTCTCCTGTTATGTAAACATCACACCTGGTCCAACCGATCTTTGGGCCCTATGTAAATCAGACACCACCTCCTCAAGCCAGTCTATAAAACCTGTGTACTTCACCATGGGACCGGAAGACCCACTCAGGCGCCCCGCTCTCTCTGCAGGAGAGAGATTCTCTTTTCTCTTTCTTTCGCCTATTAAACTTCTGCTCTTAAATCCACTTCTCGTGTGTCCATGTCCTCGATTTCCTGGCTGAGAGAAGGAACCTCAGGTATTTACCCCAGACAATGACTCTACTTCATCATGGTGGTTCCAGAAAAATTACACTGAAGAAGGTTCACAAGCTAAATCTGGAAGGATGAATCAGTACAGTCATTATTATCATCACTGAAATAAATATGATTGGGTTTGAACTTTGGAACTTTTATTCAGAAGGAAAATAAACATTTTTCAAATAAAGTTGTAGGATATGTTTTGCATTTTAGCATATATCGTACCTAAGATATCTCAGGGGACTTTTTTACTTCAATTATATTTAAGATTTAAAATGTCAGAATGTTTCACATTTTGTGTTTATGTCATAGTTTTTGGCATGCAACTTATATGCTCAAGGTAACGTGTGCATACAGTGAAATGTACACATCTGTTCAGGCACTGAGGCTCATGCCTATAATCCCAAAACTTTGGGAGGCTAAGGCAGGAGGATTGCTTGAGCTCAGGAATTGGAGACCAGCCTGGTCAACATGGTGAGACCTTCTCTCTACAAAAAATACAAAATTAGCTGGGTGTGGTAGTGTGTGCCTGTAGTCCCAGCTACTCAGGAGGCTGAGGTGGGAGGATCACTGGAGTCTGGGAGTTCAAGGCTGCAGTGAGCTGTGATTGCACCATTGCATTCCAGCCTTGGTGACAGAATGAGATCCTGTCTGAAAAAGAAGTACATATCTTAAAGGCAAAATTTTATGGATTTACCAAATGATACACCCTTGTAACTACCACAAAAAGTTTATGATATAGAATTTTTTTCATCATTCCCAAGAGTTCTCTCATGTTCTCTTTCAGTTGACATTCTACATAGGCAACCACTGACCTAGTTTCTATCACTACAGAGTTTTCCCTGTTCTATTTCTTTAACAGAGACAGGGCTATTCAGATTTTCTGTTTCTTCTTGTGTCAGATTTTTACATGTTGTATTTTTCAAGAAATGTGTCCAATTTATCTAAGTTGTTGAATTTATTGGCATAATGTTATGCACAATATTTCCTTATTATTCTATTAATAACTATGTGATCTGTGGCATAAAATGTAAGCAAATACTTACCATAAATCCTGCCTTAAGCAAATTATAGGCTGTGAAGCATATAGCATTCTTGCCTTTCCCAGAGGGGTCCACTTCAGTTGTTTTACACAGTCCTTCTGAAGCAGGACTTACATGCCTTTCTTTATGGCATATAAGCCCTGGGTCCGGGTTGGGGGAAAGTGTGGGGATCCACCATCTCATCTCATGGCTGCCCTAGACATGGCTTCTGTTCCTAAGTTCCTATTAAAGGTTTCTTTCTGAGAAAACGGATTTGTCAGCCTCTTTCTTCAACATCTCAGCTACCTTAATTTTGGGGGGTAGGTTTGCATAGACCTGCTGTCTATGGAACATCCACAAATTTTGATTTTTAAAATTATTATTCAGGCTAAAATATCTTTTAAATTTACTGTGATTTCTTCTTTAACTCAGTTATTTAGAACTATGTTGTGGGACTTCCAAATATTTGGGAGTTTTAAGATATCTTATTGTTATTGATTTCTAATTTCATTCTGTTATGTTTAGAGAGCATATTCTGTATTTTTCAATCCTTTGAAATTTATTAAGCCACATTTTATATTTCAGCACGAGATCTATCTTGGTAACTAGTCCATGTGCACTTGAAAATCGTTGTTTATTCTGCAGATACTAGGTGAAGTATTCTCTATTTATCAATTAGGTTAAGTTGGTTGATAGTGTTCAAATCATTTATATTCACATATCTATGTCTAGTTCTACAAAGTACATGTAGGTGAATTAAAAATGTTCAACTGTGATTACAGATTTGTATATTTGTTCCTTCAATTTTTTTTTTTTTTTTTTGAGACAGGGTCTCACTCTGTCATCCAGGCTGGAGTGCAGTGGCATGATCTGATCACAGCTCATTGCAGCCTTGACCTCCTGAGTTCAAACAATCCTCCTGCCCCAGCCTCTCGAGTAGCTACAGATGCTACAGCTACAGATGTCTATCACCATGCCCACCTAATTTTAAAATTTTTTTGTAGAGACAGGATCTCACTATGTTGCCCAGGCTAGTCTCGAACTCCTGGGCTTGAGCATTCCTCCCACCTTGGCCTCCCAAAGTTCTGGGATTATAGGCATGAGCCACTGTGCTGGGCCTGTTCCTTTAATTTTCATATCTTGCTTCTTATACTTGAAGCTTTTTAGTCACATAAACATTTATATTTTTTATGTCTTCATGATGAAATGACCATTTTTCATTAAGGAATGTCACTCTTCAACTTTGATAATTCTTTTTGACTTGAAGTTTGTTTTGTATAATAATAGTATATCAATACCAGGTTTCTTAGATTTGCTTGGTCTATGTTTTCCCTTCCTTTTACTTTCAACCTATCTGGATCTTTAAAATGCATTGCATCTCATGCCAAAGCTCTTACTTGAATCTTGCTTTTTATTCATCCTTGCAATCTTTTTCTTTTCTTTGGACTGTTTAGTTCATTTATATTTAATATAATTATTGATTTGGTAGGATTTAAGTCTATCACCTTGCTATTTGTTTTCTGCTTGTCTCATTTTTTGTTTGTTTCTCATTTCCTCCTTCATGGCTTTATTTTGGTTTATACAATATTCTTAGTATTCTAATTCATTTATTGATTTTAAAGTTATATGTCTGTATTTTTTTTTTTTTATGGTTGCTATAGGGCAGCATTCTCCAACTAAATGTTCTTTAGTAGTGAAAATGTTCTATGTCTTTCCAATATGGTAGACACTGGCTACCTGTGACTGTTGATACCTTGAAATATGGCTAGTACAACTGAAGACTGAAATTTAAATTTTATTTATTTTTAATTAATTTAAGTTTAAATTTAGTCACTTGTGGCTACTGACTACCATAGTAGTCAGCACAACCTTAACAGTCTGTTTAGAGTTAATATTATACTACTTCATGTGAAATGTAAGAATCTTACAATAGTACAATTTTGTTAACTCTGTCCTTTTTTTCTTTCTCCAAAAGCATTGCTTAAAATAAACACACACACACACACACAAACAAAACCCTCTGTCCTTTTTTGTTATTGCTGTCATGTATTTTACTTCTACATGAATTGAGAGTCCTACAATATATTTGTCTTTAAATAGTCTGTTTTAAAAAAATGAGAAGAAAAAAGTTCTTTATATTTACACGTCTACTTACCATTTCTGGTGCTATTTATTACTTTCTGTAGTTTAGATTTCCCTGTGCTATCATTTTCCATCACCACCGCCCCCAATTCTTCTATTAGTATTTAATATAGTTTACAATGAATCCTCCCAGCATTTGTTTATCAGAAAATGTCTTTTTTGTTTTCATTTTTGAGAAAATGTTAGAATTCTGGCCAGGTGTGGTGGCTCACACTTGTAATCCCAGCACTTTGGAAGGCTAAGGCAGGAGGATTGCTTGAACCCAGGAGTTCAAGAACAGTTTGGGCAACGTAGCTGAGACCCCATCTCTAAAAAAAAAAAAAATTAGTTGGACATAGTGGCATACACTCGTAGTCCTAGCTAATTGGGAGGCTGAGGTGAGAGGATCACTTGAGCTTAGGAGGTTGAGGCTGCAGTGAGCTGTGACTGCATCACTTCACTCCAGTCTAGGCGACTGAGCCAAACAAGGTCTTAAAAAAAAAAAAAAGCTGGGTTGCTCTATTCTTTCAGTACTTTAATGGCATCATTCCATTTCTTTTGGCCTCCACTGTTTCTAGTAAGAAGTCAACTGTGATTCATAGCATTGTTCCCCTTATGTCATTGACTTTTTTTTCTGTTTCAACATTTATTCTATATTTTTGGTTTTTAACCTTTTGACTACAGTGTAGCTGGTGTGTTTTCTTTCTTTATTTTATTTTTTGTATTTATTCTGCTTGGAGTTTGTTGATTCTTCAATCTGTAGGCTGATGTTTTTCACCAAATTAGAGAATTTTTTTAAAAATTTCACTCTACCCCATTTTCTTTTTCCTTTCTTTTACTGAGACTCTAATTATTATTATCTTTTACTTTAGAGATAGGGTCTCACTCTGTCCAGCACGGGCTGGAGCACAGTGGTACAATCAGAGCTCACTGCAGCCTTTACTTCAAGGCTTAAGTGATCCTCCCACCTCAGCCTCCCAAGTAGCTAGGACTATAGACATGTGCCACCATGCCCAGCTTTTTTTTTTTTTTGGTAGAGATGGGGGTCTCACTGTGTTGCTCAGGCTGGTCTTGAACTCCTGCCTCAGCCTCCCAAAGTGTTGGGATTACAGGTATGAGCCACCATGCTTAGCCTTAGGACTCCAATTATATATATACTAACTTTGCAGGGTTGTTCCAGAGTTCACTGAGGCTGTTTATATATTTTTTCCAATCTTTTCCTTTCTGTTATTAAATTATATAATTTCTATTGCTCTCTGTTAGAGATAATTCACCCATCCTTTTGCCATCTCCAAACTGCTCTAACCATCGAATAAATTTTACATTTCAGATATTTGCTTTTTATTTCTAATATATCCATTTGGTTTATTTCTTTGCTGATCATTCTCATCTGTTTAATCACATATTCATCTTTTCCCATGCATCCTTACATATATTTATAATAGCTGTTTTAAAGACCTCATCTGCTAATTCCAACATTTGGGTCATCTTGGATTCTGCTTCTATTGACCATGTCTTATTTTGATTATGAGTCACATATTTCTGCTTCTTTACAGGTACAATATTTTTTAACCTCCTGTTGAATATTGTTATAAAGGAGTTACAGAGAGTCTGGATTATGTTATCTTCTTTTAAATGGTGTTGAGGTTTATTCTATCAGGCTATTAAACTACTAAAAAATCCTCTTGATCTTGCTAGGCTTTGTTTTGTTATGTATTATTATTATTTATTCTATGTCAGTTTTATCCTTAGTCCTGAGACATGGCCCTTTGTCTGGGACATGGTATTTACTCCTAAGGTCTATCCTCTTTAGAATTTCAATTGAATGGATGAGGTGCTTAGTAAGGTCTCTCCATTTAGGCTGGGACAGTATTCCAGTGTTTGCAGTACTGCACAGTCTATGATATCTTGGCCCAGTTCTCTTGTTCATAGCAACCATTCTCTGCTAGGCCTCATTAAGTCCTATCCTGCACATGGGCTACACAGGAATGCTTGTGAAATCTTCTTTGTCCTCTTCTTCTGCATACTCCTTTCTTTGTGGTATTCTGTCTTACAAATTTCAGGGATGACAACTACTCTAAACTTTTATCTAGATTTCTTCAGCTCAGCAAGACTTCCATACTTCCTTGGATTCCACTTCCTTTTAGTCTACTTGGTGTCCCCAGACAGAAAGCTGAAGAGGACGTGCAGATCACATTGTGTTTCCTTTCTCTCAAGTATCACTGCCCTGCAATGTTTGTTGTCAAATGTCTAGAATCAGTTATCTTGTGTATTTCTAGTTGTTTCTAGTGGGAGGATGTGTCTGGCATTAGCTACTATCTATGGCCATAAGTGAATGTCCTCTGATGTATGTTTTGGTATATTGTCTACAACTTAATAACGTACGAAAACACACAATCACATTTTTCCTTTTTAAATTTAAAGATCTGTCTTTCATTACTGTATTAGGCCACTACTCTTCATGATTATAGATATTCTTAATGTAACTTCAATAACCATTAGTTTGTTGAAGTTCCTTTAAATGACTGTAATTAACATTTCTAAATTATAATTATTAATAATTAATGTGAAATATACATCTGTACGACTCATTGCAGCTTTTACCAAACACTGAAAAGACATTTTTAAAGAGTTTAACACAAGATTTGGGTATAGAACAAAGTATATTCTAATATGCTTCTATTTTTTTAAAGTGAGATAAAATAAAATTTCAAGACAATAAAATCATCTATACAAACCTTGTTCACTGGTACAAGATTTAACTTGTAATTTTCTTAACAACAACAGGGCCGGGTGCAGTGGCTTGTGCCTGTAATCCCAGCACTTTGGGAAGCTGAGGCAGGAAAATCGCTTGAGGCTAGGAGTTCAAAACCAGCCTGGAAAGCATAGCAAGACTCTGGTCTCCACTATAAAAACAATAACAACAGTAAATAACTTTTTTTCCTACTGGTTATAATTTCACTGGCACATCAAAGAAAATTCCAGAAACAAACTTGTCACAGACATTGTATTTCTAAGAAAGGTGATATATACATCATCAACAACAGCATAATTTATATGTTTTACTTTATTGTTTAACAAACCATATCAAAGCAATCTAAACAATAATGCTGTTTAAATCAATCAATCAGATAAGGCCTATTGATCCAGTAATTTACTTGAGATAGGACCCGCTCTGGGAGCCTCTAGCCTTACATTCTGAAGACCCAGAGAATGTGTAATAAAAAACATGCAGATACTCAGCTCTGATTCTGGCTCCTCATCTGTAAAATAAAGGTTTGGTCTAGAGTTCTCTAGCATATCTTCAAATGGACCCATTTTTCCTGTGTTCGTCTGGCCCATCTTATTACAATGCTGTTTTTTTGTTTTTTATCATAAAACATTCATTCTATACATTTATTTTCATCTCAAAGTAATGATGGCCATATTTCTGTGTGATTATAACAATCTTCAAATAACTATAAATGGGAACAAAAATAAACATGCAGCTAAATGCCAGGTAATTTTATTTTATTATTTTTGAGTGAGACAGGGTCTCGCTCTGTCACGCAGGCTGGAATGCAGCAGTGCAATCAGGGCTTACTGTGACCTTGAAGTCCTGAGCCCAAGCAATCCTCCCACCTCAGCCTTCTGAACAGTCAGAACCACAGGCACACATCAGCACACCTGGCTAATTTTTAATTTTTTTTTGTAGAGATGGGGATCTCACTATGTTGCCCAGGCTTGTCTTGAACTCCTGGCTTCAAGTTATCCTCCTGCCTTGGTCTCCCAGAGTGTTGGGATTACAGGCATGAGCCACTGTGTCTGGCCCCAGGTAATTTGAAAACTTAAAATGTGTAACAATTATTCTATAAATATAATGCATTGAGTCTCTGATTGCTATTACATAAATGGACCAAAACTAAGAAACATAGCTTGTGCATTTACGTGGAAATATAGATGCTAGAATGATATCACTGCCTGCCACCAGTTATCTAAAACGGAGTCCAAGTTTTTAAAGTCATTTCCTAACTAATGTTAACAAGCACAGGTGTTTCCTGATTTCAGTTGTTCGGACTCTTAAAATGAGTAACTCAGGGAAATGTGTAAAATTCCTTTGTTGACTTCCTTTCTCCTGTATCAAGCCCAAGTTTCATCTTAGTACTCAGTGTGGTTTTTATATTATCACACCCATTGTACCCATGAGCTTATCATCTGCCTTTATTTTTGTTATACTCACCAGAGCACTTGTGTCTTTCTTGCTACTTGTGTTATTTTTCAAGTGTTCCTCCACATATATGTGTGTGTATGTTATATATTATTTTTTATTTATTTTTTGAGACAGAGTCTCGCTCCATTGCCCAGGCTTGAGTGCAGTGGTACAAACACGGTTCACTGCAGCCTCAAACTGCTGGGCTCAAGTGATCCTCCCACCTCAGCCTCCCGAGGAGCTAGGACTACAGGCATTTGCCACCACACTGGGCCTAGTTTTAAATTTTTTGTAGAGACAGAGTCTCACTATGTTGCCCAGACTGGTCTTGAATTCCTGGCCTCAAGCAATCCTCCAGCGTCAGCCTCCCACAATGCTGGGATTACAGGCATAAGACATCACGTCCAGCCTCCTGCATATTTAGAATCTCAGTTTAAGTGATTATATTTGGACTAAAAGAATATGTCAAAAATTCTACCTCTGAGCGGGGCACCATGTCTCATGCCTATAATCCTAGCACTTTGGGAGGCCAAGGTGGGAGGATCACTTAATATCTGGAGTTCAAGACCAGCTGGGCAACATACCGAGACCCCGCCTCTACAGAAAAATACAAAATTAGCTGGGTGTGGTGGCACAAGCCTGTAGTTTCAGCTATTCAGGAAGTGAGGTGGGAGGATCACTTGAGCCTGGGAGGTCGAGGCTGCAGTGAGCCGTGATTGTGCCGGTGCACTCCAACCTAGCTGACAGGAGTGAGACCCTGTCTCAAAAAAAAAATTACCTCTGATTTGAAGGTTCTCTGCAAATGGCAGGGTTGAGCCCCCTGCATAGTCATGGATCTGTGGCAGGGGCCAAAGGATGAGGTGAATAGGAGGGGATCTGTGGCAGGCAGGAAGGATAAAGCAAATGGAAGGGAAAGTGAGCAGCAGGATGAGGCAGAGCTGATAACATTAATACAATGCTGCAGGGCTTTGCAATGCGCTTTAAATTCAGTTTCTCATTTAATTCTGTGCAATTATATGATTTGTCCAAGGCCATCTAGCAATTTTGGGAGGATGCAAACCAAAGTCTTTGAAAGCTATTGTCTCCTATGCCTAGGGTTCTTAAACTTGAGAGAAGAAAAATCACCCAAATTTGTCAAATATTGTCAAATCCCAATATTTGGATCATCTAACTCCCCATGCCACCCCAAAAGGTCATGAATGGAAGATCTGAATTACCTTGCTATTACCTACTGGCTTCTAGAACTAAAATTATGTTGACTACTTTATTAGTCCATACTGCTATAAAGAACTGCCCGAGACTGGGAAATTTATGAAGAAAAGATGTTTAATTGACTCGCAGTTCCATATGTCTGAGGAGGCCTCAGGAAACTTACAATCATGGCAGAAGGGGAAGCAGGCACATCTTACATGGTGGCAGGCAAGAGAGAGTGCAAAAGGGAAAGAACCCCTTATAAAACCATCAGATCTCATGAGAACTCACTCACTATCACAAGAATAGCATGGAGGGAACCGCCCCCCCTCCGTGATCCAATCACTTCTCTCCCTCAACAAAACACATGGGGATTACAATTCGAGATGAGATTCGGGTGGGGCACAGAGCCAAACCATATCATTCCATCCCTGGCCCCTCCCAAATCTCATATCTTTTCACATTTCAAAACCAATCATGCCTTCCCAACAGTCCTCCAAAGTCTTAACTCATTTCAGCATTAACTCAAAAGTCCACAGTCCAAAGTTTCATTTGAGACAAGGCAAGTCCCTTCCGCCTATAAACCTGTAAAATAAAAAACAAGTTAATTCCTTCCAAGATACAATGGGGGTACAGGCATTCGGTAAGTACACCCATTCCAAATAGGAAAAATTGGCCAAAACAAAGTGGCTACAAGCCCCATGCAAGTCCAAAATCCCGCGGGGCAGTCATTAAATCTTAAAGCTCCAAAATGGTCTCCTTTGACTCCATGTCTCACAGCCAGGGCACACTGATACAAAGAGTGGGCTCCCATGGCCTTGGGCAGCTCCACCCCTGTGGGTCTTCAAGGTACAGCTCCCTTCCTGGCTGCTTTCGAGGTGTTGGTGTTGAGTGCCTGTGGCTTTTCCAGGCACCTGATGCAAGCTGTAGGTAGATCTACCATTCTGGGGTCTGGAGGATGGTAGCCCTTTTCTCACAGCTCCACTAGGCAGTGACCCAATGGGGACTCTGTGTGGGGGCTCCAACCCCACATTTGCCTTTGCAGTGCCCTAGCAGAGGTTCTCCATAAGGGCTCTGCCCTAGCAGCAAACTTCTGCCTGGACATCCAGGCATTTCCATACATCTTCTGAAATCTAGGTAGAGGTTCTCCAACCTCAATTATTGACTTCTGTGCACCTGCAGGCCCAACGCCAAGTGGAAGCTGCCAAGGCTTGGGGCTTGCACCTTCTGAAGCAACAGCCTGAGCTGTATGTTGGCCCCTTTTAGCCACAGCTGGAGCTGAAGCAGCAGTGCATGGGATGCAGGGTGCCATGTTCCAAGGCTGCACAGAGCAGAAGGGCCCTGGGCCTGGCCCATGAAACCAAGTTTTCCTCCTAGGCCTCCAGATCTGTGGTGGGAGGGGCTGCTGCCAAGATCTCTGTGACATGCCCTGGAGACATTTTCCCCATTGTCTTGGCAATTAACATTTGGCTCCTTGTTACTTATGCAAATTTCTGTGGCCAGCTTGAATTTCCCCCCAGAAAATGGGTTTTTCTTTTCTATTGCATCATCAGGCTGCAAATTTTTCAAACTTTTATGCTCTGCTTCCCTTTTAAACATAAATTCCAATTTCAGATCGTCTCTCTCAACTTCAGAGGCAAAATGCCATCTGTCTCTTGGCAAAAGGATAGCTCCAGTGTTCAATAAGTTCCTCATCTCCATCTGAGACCACCTCAGCCTGGGCTTCATTGTCCATATCACTACCAGCATTTTGGCTCCAACCATTCAACAAGTCTCTAGGAAACTCCAAACTATCCCATATCTTCCTGTTTTCTTCTGAGCCGTCCAAACTGTTCCAACGTCTGCGTGTTACCCAGTTCCAAAGTCACTTCCACATTTTCAGGTATCTACAGCAGTGCCCCACTCTTGGTACCAATTTACTGTATTAGTCTGTTTTCACACTGCTACAAAGAACTGCCTGACACTGGGTAATTTATAAAGAAAAGAGGTTTAATTGACTCACAATTCCACATGGCTGGGGAGACCTCAGGAAACTTATTTCGGTTGGTGCAAAGTAATTGTAGTTTTTGTAAATGTAATTGTGTTTACCTTTAATGGCAAAAACTGCAATTACTTTTGCACCAATCTAATACAATTATGGTGGAAGAGGAAGCAAGCAAGTTCATCCTACATGGCAGCAGGTGAGAGAGTGTGCAAAGGAGAAAGAGCCCCTTATAAAATAATCAGATCTCACAAGAACTCACTCACTATCATGAGAACAATGTGAGAGAAACTGCCCCTATGATCCAGGGTGGTTGACATGTGGGGATTAGAGGTCCCTTGACATGTGGGGATTACAGGTCCCTCCCTCGACATGTAGGGATTATAATTCAAGATGAGATTTGAGTGGGGACACAGAGTCAAGCCATATCAACTACATAGTGGGATTTTATTAAATTAGTACTGAAAAGAAGCAGTACCTTAATTTACCTACTTTACTTGTCCAGCATTTTGAATAAACATTTGCTAAATTTCTGTGTTCAAAACAAATGATTCTTGTGCTTCAGCTTCCTAAGCAGCTGGGATTACAGGCATGTGCCACCATGCCTGGCTCATTTTTGTATTTTTAATAGAGATGGAGTTTCGCCATGTTGGCCAGGCTGGCCAACATATTTTACACCAAATAGGGTCATGATGAATTACAGTTTGATAGCCTGCTTTTTTCACTAACAATATATTGAGAAAGTCTACAATGGCTACTCTAGTAAATAGCTATGGCTACATCCTGGTAAAATAGTCAATTTAAAGTGAAGCTCTCCATATTGGTCCATTTTCATACTGCTATGAAGAAATACCCGAGAATGGGTAATTTTTTTTAAAAAGAGGTTTAATGGAATCTCAGTTCCACATGGCTGGGGAGGCCTCTCAATCATGGCAGAAGGTGAAGGAGGAGCAAAGGCACGTCTTACATTATAGCAGGCAAGAGAGTGTGTACAGTGGAACTGCCCTTTATAAAACCATCAGATCTCATGAGATTATTCACCATCACAAGAACAGCATGGGAAAACCTTCCCCCATGATTCGATTACCTCCCACTGGCTCCCTCCACAACATGTGGGGATTATGGGAGCTACAATTCAAGACGCGATCTGGGTGGCACACAGCCAAACCATATCACTCTCCCCCCGCCTCCCACAGCTATGAAAAACATAACTAAGAAGGCCTGAGTGACCTCCTTAACATTAAGATCATTTGAATTGATAATAAACATTTTGTGTATTAAATTTTATCACTATAAAAACTATTCAGTTCAAAGGCTAAAAGAGTGTGTAGAGGTTTTCATAAGTGACCTAAAGGCAATTCCAAAGGATTTTGAAAAATCCAAGTATGATGCCCAAGGACAAGAATGAAATTACTGACTGGATGGTCACTGAGTATACCAGAGAATGCCATCAAGACCTAGAGAAAACCCAGTAAAGGGTAAAGAGAATGATGCTATTACCGCAAAATAGTCATTTTCCTTTCACAGGTTTCTTACACAAGCCATACAGTTTAATAATTTGGTTATGACTTGTAGTTAATAACTACTTGGCTTGTTAATGGACAAGAACCAAATGAGAAAAGTTAATGGAACAACCTGACCATTAGCTATATTAATAATAGCTTTAGAGAAAATGATTACTATTTTAAACCATATTCACATGCTTCTATCACTAATCCTTTTTTAAAATGTCAAAAATATTAAGTTCTGCATTCAGAATTAAAGAATTTTAAACCATTTTATTTTGAGACAGGGTCTTGCTCTGTTGCCCAGGCTGGAATACAGTAGTGTAATCATGGTCGGTGATCAGCCTCAACCTCCTAGACTCAACCACTCTGTATTAGTCTGTTCTCATGCTGTTGATAAAGACATACCCGAGACTGGGCAATTTACAAAAAAAAGAAGGTTTAATTGGACTCATAGTTCCATGTGGCTGGGGGGTGCCTCACAATCATGGTGGAAGGCAAGGAGAAGCAAGTCACATCTTACATGGATGGCAGCAGGTGAAGAGAGCTTGTGTAGGGAAACTCCCCCTTATATAAACGTCAGATCCCATGAGACCCACTCACTGTCATGAGAACAGCATGGGAAAGACCTGTTCCCATGATTCAGCCACCTCCCACTGGGTCCCTCCTACAACACGTGGGAATTCAAGATGAGATTTGGGTGGGGACACAGCCAAACCACATCACGATCCTTCTGTTTTAGCCTCCTGAGTAGCTGGGACCATAGGCATGTGCCACCACGCCCAGCTAATTTTTAAAATTTCTTATAGAGACAGGTTCTCGCCATTTGCCCAGGCTTACATTATTTTAGTTTGAAAAGATATTTTTGCCTCATTTGGTGACATGCTAGTTTTACGTGTTAGAAGTGGATACAAAGAAATGTTTGCAGTGACTAAATGCAGTTAGATTTGGCTCCCCTAAATAATTTATCTCTTCTTTTTTATTGTGTATGAAGTCTTTTTTTGTGTATGAAGTTTTTTTTATTGTGTATGAATCTACAAAACTATAATTGGGCTGTCATAAATCTGTTTCTTAATAGAATGGCAGCAAGGTTTTCCAGGGTTCACACTATTGCTAGAAAGGCACTTAGATAATATAAAGGATTTCAAAGGAAAATATTCTAATATGGATAGATTCAAGTAGGTGAGATGTCAAAAAATAAATTAGCCATAGAAGAGATTTGTATTTGTTTTGTTTACATACATAAAATATTTAACCTCACTCGATTTTCCTGTTAGAAAACAGTGGCAGAAATGTTTTATGAAGTCGTTGCTCTTGATCACCAGGCTGTCTGGGCAGTTGTCAGTACAAAGTGTTACTAACTTGATTGCTTTTTATGGGAGGATTATTTTTATTTGTGCTTTTCTGTTCTGATCTCAATCCCTGGAATCTGTCTTACTTAAGTGGACTTTTGAGGCAAATAGTCATCGAAGGCTCTTCTTTTGGGGAAACCTGAGGAAGGGCGAGAAGCTCTCCCTGTCTCCTGGATCTGCTTGCCCTCTTAGGACCCTTCCCCTTTGGGTTTCCTTCCCTTTATTCTCTCTCTCATCATGAGCTGTGCATCCACTGACACCCTAACAGACTGGCCGTCAGGACCCTTTGGCTAGCTGAAGTCCTCACTCTCTGATCTCAGCCCCCCATGCCACCCCGCCCTGACTTTGTCTCTGTTTCTTCCTCCAAGTCATTGAAGATCTTTCCTTTATCCATCATGAAGTCTGGAAACTTCCCAATGATATTTCTAGTTGTGGGTCGTTCTTTACTCGTTCTGCCCAATATGCTGCATCATTTTCAATATGAGACCAGTGTTTTTCTTTCATTCTGAGAAATATTACTATATCTTTGAAATATCTTACATTTTCTGTTCTTTTTGTCCCATGAGGAGGACAGTATGGCCCCACTTATTTAGATGTATCTTTGCATACTCAGAAATGGATATAGACAGGCACTTCTAGGACCCCTGCCCTGCAAACCACTCTCTCCTGCTTGCTGAGAGTCTCAGTCTTCCCCTTTGTACTCAGTGTGTAGTAGCGGTAGTTTTCAATCCTACTATCCGTTAGAATCATGCTGGGATGGAGCTTAGGCATTTATTTTTCCAAAAATTCGTCAAATCTCAGCTCTACCATGTATTAGCTATGTGATCCAATTCACTTAACGCTTCAACTCTCGGTTTCCTTATTTGTGAAATAGAGATAATAACATTTCATTTGGTTGTCATGAGGATCAAATGAATAATGTTTGTCAAGTGCTTTGTTGGCTGGTGGATGCTCAGGAAATTATAATACAGAAGCCAAGGTAACAGCTGAAGTGTACCATGTGCCTGGCAAGGTATCAAATGCCTTATGTTAATTATTTTATCTTCAGAGTCCTTTAAAATAAGTACATTTATTTGTACAATGCTCTGAAAATTGTTTTAATTTACCCGTGTTGCATTGTTTTCTTTATCCTTTTGTATACATATTTTTTGTACTTCTTAGCATATTTATATTTCTTACTCTAGTTTTCAAATGTTATTTACTGGATTTTTTTTTTTTTTGAGACGGAGTCGCTCTGTCACCCAGGCTGGAGTGCAATGGCGTGATCTTGGCTCACTGCAGCTCTTGCCTCCTGGGTTCCAGCTACTTTCCTGCCTCAGCCTCCTGGGTAGCTGGGATTACAGGGACATACCACCACGCCCAGCTAATTTTTGAATTTTTAGTAGAGATGGGGTTTCATCATGTTGGTCAGGCTGGTCTCGAACTCCTGACCTCAGGTGATCCACCTGCCTCGGCCTCCCAAACTGCTGGGATTACAGGTGTGAGCCACTGCGCCCAGCCTATTTACTGTTTTTTTCTATGTTGTTTATCATATATAATTTTAGTAATTACATAATATTCCATTAAGTTGCTATTCTATAATATACTCAGCCATTCCAATATGGCTGAACTGGTTCTTTAGGCATAGAACTCATTTTACTTTGAAACTTCTGATGTACACTGTCAAACTGCCCCTCAAAGCCTGTGCCATTTTATAGTAACACGGGGTCACATTTGACCTGGCTGTGTTATTCTCTAAATTCTCTAATTCTATTAAATGGAATGGGAGTTGTGTGAAATGTTCCTTAAGAAATTAGAAAAATGACAGTGATTCAATCAAGCAACCAATCAATTTAAAAAGCATTTTGATAATGTACTAGGAATTATATACAGAGAAGTCTAAAGTTATAGTGTGACTAAGACAAGAAACAGTAATAGTGATCATGGAATAAAACCCTCTAGTCTATAAAAGGACCTATAATACAGATATATCTATATTGCAATAGTTGCTATATTGTATCACATACAATCCATTAGTGATCAGCGTGGGATGTGTAGAGAAAGGGAACCCCTTGCTCCCCTGCTTTCAGGGTCAGGGCCAGCTCTGGATAAAAGTTGTTACATAGGAGAAGTTGGTATTGGCAGACAATTCCTTCTTACGGAGACCTTGTACTGTGTGCTGCTCCCTACCTGACCTTATGTCACATAACATAGGCTGGAGACAATTAGAGTTTTCCTGGAGATTAATTTTGAGATGCTGATAGCAAAGATCCTCATTCTGCTGGGGCTGTTAAGCTGGGAATGTAGGAAGTTGGGGCTGTTGATGACCATCTTCCCTGGCTGTATTTAGGGAGCCAGTTGCAGGAAGAGAAAATGAGGAACAGGGAGAGGGGAGCAAAACCAACAGGTGATGAGAGGGGGAAGGAAGGAGACAAAAAGTGCTTGAGCCAGATGGTGAGAGGGTAGCTTGACAATTACCACGGTAGCCTGTATTTTGCCTGTAGCCTTTTGGGGTTTAAATACTTCACGTCAAACGTGTGACTTCAATCAGGCAATTTTGGGCGGCAGGCTGAGAGCCACAACATAGGTGTTTCTTTTTAACTAAGGCCCATGCTTTTGCCATGTCTTGGGTGTCATTCCCTCCTGCAGTCTCAGAACGCTATGATCTCTCTCCTCGGTGTTGCTTACCCATTCTAAACAAGCCCTTCTTCTAGTGATTCCATCTTCTTCCTCAGCTCTCACTCTCCTTCCCATCCCAGCCAAACTTCTTGAAAGGGTGCCTACATTCACTCTCTCACACACTTTTCACCTCAACCTACCCTAACAGGCTTCCACTCACAACTCCCTACTGAAACTGTTGAAAGATTACTAAGGACCTGTCCATGCCAACTCCACATGCCATTCTTTTTAAATTTATTTTTATATTTTGTAGAGACAGGGTCTCACTTTGTTGCCCAGGCTGGTCTTGAACTCCTGGGCTCAAGTGATCCTCTTGCCTCAGCCTCCCAAAGTGCTGGGACTACAGGCGTGAGCCATGGTGCCAAGCCCATGTGGCGTTCTTTAGTCCTTGCCTACTACATCTCTTGACATCATTTGACCTAGCAGACAATTCCTCCCTGCTTGAAAACTTTTTGGTTGGTTTCCATAATACCTGGACACCACATCTTCCTGGCTACTGCTTTTCTCTTACCTCCCTGGCTACTGCTTGTCATCCCACTTGCCTGCTTCTCCTCCACCTATAAATGTTGGAGTTGCTGGAGGGCTCTGTCCTGGGTCCTTCTCTCAAGTTGCATTCTCTTCCTATCTTCCCATAAAGAGTCTGATCCACTATTCTAGCTTCAATTACTATCTGTATACCAATGGCTCCCAAATTTGTCTTTAGCTAAGAGACTGCCCCTCCGAGTGTCACAACCACATAGCCAATTCCCCACTTCAGATTTCTGCTTAAATGTATCAAGATATATCAAACTTGATAAGTTTTGAATTGAGCTCTTCATCCTCCCCTCCCACCCCCAACTCTTTATCCCTGCCCCAATCTCCTCTTGCCATGTTTCTTTCTTTTTTTGAGACAGGATCTCACTCTGTCACCCAGGCTGGAGTGCAGTAGCATGATCATAGGTCACTACAGTCTCAACCTCCCAGGCTCAAGTGATCCTCCTGCCTCAGCATCCGAGTAGCTGAGACTACAGGAACCTGCCACCACGCCTGGCTAATTTTTATATTTTTTTGTAGAAACGAGTCCTCACTTTGTTGCCCAGGCTGCTCTCTAGGCTCAAGTGATCCTCCTACCTTGGCTTCCCCTGTGAACACAGGCACGTGCCCTGGCTAGTTTTAAAAAGTTTTTTTTTTTTTTTTTTTGTAGAGATGAGAGTCTCCCTATGTCGCGCAGGGTGGTCTCAAACTCCTGGGCTTAAGCCATCCCCCCACCTTGTCCTCCCAAAGTGCTGGGATTACAGGCATGAGCCACCACACCTTGTCTCATGCCGTTTCTTAACTCCCTAATAGCTCCCTAGTCCACACAGTTGGCTCAAGCCAGATTCTGCAAGTCATCCTTGATACCGTCCTCTTCCTCATTCCCTTCAATCTGTCATCAAGACTTGTCAGTTCTACTTCTGAAACACTTCTTGAATTCATCTATTTATCTTCATCTCCATCACTACCACCTGAGTCCTGGCCACCATCTTCTCACCTCTGGACTTTGGCAACAGCTTCATAAACTGGTCTCCCCACACTCGTGCTGCTTCTTCCAATCCACCCCCGAGAGAGATATTTTATTTTACTAAAAAAATAAAATGGGACTACAGGCACATGCCACCACATCCAGCTAATTTTTTTAGTTTTTATTTTTTGTAGAGACAGTCTTGCCATGTTGCCAAGGCTGGTCTTGAACTCCTGGGCTCAAGCAGTACTCCTGCCTCAGCCTCCCAAAGTGTTGGGTTTATAGGTGTGAGCCACCTTGCCTGTCCCCAGAGAGGTATTTTAAAACACAAATCCTCATCTTACCCTGGCTCTGCTTAACAGCCTTCAGAGGCGTCCAGTGGCCCATAGATAATGTCCAAGGCTTTCCTGTGATCTACCAGTCTGGTCAGTGTGACCACCTTTGCAAGCTCATTTCAGCCACTCTCCCCTCACCTTCCTCAGCTCCAGCCACGCCTTCCTCAGCTCCAGCCACGTAGGGTGCTTTTGGTTCCCAAACAGGCCAACCCATCTGTCTCCTCAGGAGCTCTCAATGAGCTGATCTCTCTGCTATTTGCTTTTTCAAGGAACCCTTCCCTGACCACCCATCCAGTTATAATACATCACCCCTTGGCACCGTGGGCTTTTCCTTCACTGCACCCTCTTCTATTAGTTGTTTTTCCTCCTTGTGGGACTGTAAGCCCCAGGAGGGCAGGCACCATGGCTGTCTGACCCACTGCTCTGTCACCATTGCCAATCCTGATAGGTACTGATAGGGTGAAGATGGAGTGTCTGGTATCGTCATATCCCAGTCCCAGGACAGCTGTGTGGCCACCTACCATTTGGGGACTGTTTTCTTTTTAAAATTTAAAAAAAAATTTAAAGTCTACACCCCATGATTCTGTATGGGGACTGTTTTCTTTTAGCCCCAAAGTCCAACAGGAGCAAATCCTTTAGTGGCTCTTAAAGCTAGAGTTCAGCTGTTTGGAGGAAAGGGTGACAGAGCTGACCCACAGGGTAGATGCGACATCTTCCCCTGGAGCACTAAGGCCAAACAGGAGCCCCCTGGACGTTTGGGAGCAGGCTTTACAAGCCCTGCCTAAAGCTAAGATGTCATTAGAGTGATGCGTTGCATCCCTGCCTTGTTCTCTAAGGAAGCTTTGGTGTTTTCAAGACAGGCCCTTTCCCCCCTGGCCCATTGTCCTTACTTGTTTTCATTCTGTATAGTGCTGTTATTACGGGTCAGGCCTCCTTGCACTCATGTGAAATCGTTGAGAACCTACTCAATTAGAAAGTTCTGAACAGGGCCTTAGAGGAGTGGGGGCTAGAAAGATGAACCTGGGGCCAGGCACGGGGGCTCATGCCTGTAATCTTAACACTTTAGGAGGCAGGGGCTGGAAGATCACTTGAACCTGGGAGCTGGAGGTTATGGTAAGCCATGATCACACCGCTGTATTCCAGCCTGGATGACAAAGCAAAACCCAGTCTCTAAAACATAAAAGAAAGAAAGGAGGGAAGGAAGAAAGAAAGGAATGAAAGCAAGCCGAATCTGCTCCGAGGGAACCAGTATAGCAAGACAGAATGTAATCAAGTATCTTAAGAGTGGCCTAGGCTTGGCTGGGTGCTGTGGCTCACGCCTGTAATCTCAGCACTTTGGGAGGCCGAGGCAGGCGAATCACTTGAGGTCGGGAGTTTGAGACCAGCCTGACCAACATGGAGAAACCCTGTCTCTACTAAAAATACAAAATTAGCCGGGCGTGGTGGCGCATGCCTGTAATTCCAGCTACTCGGGAGGCTGGGGCAGGTGAATCGCTCGAACCTGGGAGGCGGAGGTTGCGGTGAGCCGAGATGGCGCCATTGCACTCCAGCCTGGGCAACAAAAGCGAAACTCCGTCTCAAAAACAACAACAACAACAACAACAAAAAGTGGCCTAGGCTTTTTGGGGAACAAATTGGTTGTGGCTGGCCCTCAGGGAGCAAGCTTTGCGGCATAGCAGCGTAGGCTAAAAGGTCCTCCCCGGAGACAAAATCTGCAGGGACCACGGGGTGGGAAGCATCAGAAGGCTGCCCACTCTGACTGCAAATACAACAAGCTGGAGTGTTCCTAGAAGAGGCAATTTCTTCCGCGTGTGTGTTGGGGACAGCCTGTGTGTGTGAACATTTTCTGCCCTTGCCGCGCAGAGCTGGGTGGACCAGAAACCACCCGCAGAGGAAGAGACTTATTACCTCTTGGCCATGTCTGTCTCCAGAAGAACCGACCTTTCCTGCTCTATGTGCAACAAGACACACCTTCCGAGGAAGGAGGCGAACAGGATTTCCATCATTACTACTGCCCTATTAAAACACACACATACACACAACTGTGTAATTAGCCTCTGCAGGAAAGGCGCACAAACAGGATGCGTTCGAGCTGACCCCGGGATGAGCCATCCCTGTAAATATTAGGAAAAAGAACCTCCCCGCCGTGCCCCCGCCTCCGGCCAGGGCCTCTTGGGGATGGCCCTGCAGGGTCACCAGCCCACCGGGGAGGTTGGGAGAGAGGGGGCGGGCGACTCCTCGCCGCGCGGGTTCCTGGCTGGAGCGCCCTCCTCTGCGTCCTCCCAACCTTCCATCGCTCCCCAGGTCAGTCTACCACGCCTCAGGTGTTTGCTCGGGCTGGGCCACGAACCCTTTCCTTTTTGGCCTGCGCCCGGGGTGGCCCCTAACCCGCAGCGCACGGCCAGACCCAGCGCTACAAGGAGGGCGCGCAGGGCGGCGCAAGCGGGCACTGGCCTCCCGGGGGCTTGCGCGGGGATCCACCCACCGCAGGGCCGGGCCGCGGACCGCGGGCCACGCCCCTGGGGTCCGGAAGGCGCGGGAGCGGACGCGGGGGTTCTGTGAACTTGGAACCTGGCGGTGCGAGGTTCTCGCCGGGGATGCGGCGGCGGCAGCTGCTTCCTGGTTTGAAGCTCGCCGAGTGGGGGAGAGCGTGAGCCTTCGGAGGCGGGGGCAGGAGGAGAAGCAAGAGGAGGCGGGGGAAGAGACGCTTGGGGCTGGGGCTCACCGGACGGGTAGGTCCGGCTCTCCAGGGAGAGGAGCTGCCCGGCCCTGGAGAAGGGGCGAGTCCTGCGCGAGTCCCCGGGAGGCGCCGCGCGCTTGGAAGGGACGGTCGGGCTTCCCCGGCCCGCTGAGGGCTCGGCGGCGGGCTCCCCTCCTTTCCACCTCGGGAGGGAGGGAAGGAGGGGAGGGAAAAGTCCCACGGAGGAGGCAGAATGGCCAGTCGAGGGGCGCTTAGGCGCTGCCTTTCCCCAGGGCTGCCTCGACTCCTGCACCTGTCCCGAGGGCTGGCCTGAGACGGGACTCCCGGTTCTCCCGCTGCGAAGCAGCGCGGCCCCCCGGGGCCGGGGCAGCGGCGCCGGCATGTCGTCTGGCACCATGAAGTTCAATGGCTATTTGAGGGTCCGCATCGGTGAGGCAGTGGGGCTGCAGCCCACCCGCTGGTCCCTGCGCCACTCGCTCTTCAAGAAGGGCCACCAGCTGCTGGACCCCTATCTGACGGTGAGCGTGGACCAGGTGCGCGTGGGCCAGACCAGCACCAAGCAGAAGACCAACAAACCCACGTACAACGAGGAGTTTTGCGCTAACGTCACCGACGGCGGCCACCTCGAGTTGGCCGTCTTCCACGAGACGCCCCTGGGCTACGACCACTTCGTGGCCAACTGCACCCTGCAGTTCCAGGAGCTGCTGCGCACGACCGGCGCCTCGGACACCTTCGAGGGTTGGGTGAGTAGCGGTGACCCCTTCCCTTTGTGTCCACCCAACCCCCGTTCCCCTTATGTTTTTCAAAACTCACCCGGGTCCCGCTTTCCCATCGCTTTGTGGCTGAGGGAATTCCCTCCAGACTTTGGTCTTCGTCCACGTGGCCGCGGCACTGGTGACGCGACCGCGGTGGGTGTGTGCAGGCGCAGGTGTGTCTCCAGGAAGCCGGCCTGGACACGATCCCCTTTCAGGACAGCGGCTTGGCCTAACGGGAAGTCGGGCAGGGGTCCAGGGCGGTCACCCTTTCCGCCCAGTCTTTGGGTAAGGAGCTCCAACTTTCAGCACGAGAGTGATAGGTAGGAAAGGCAGGGAAGGAGTGATACAAAAGGGACTTGATTTGGGTAAAGTGCTTCAAGCGCTACTTAGGAGAAAGCCGTACATTCTCGCGAGTATTATTCATAATGTTTATGGATACATGTTGGTTCAGCCGCTCAGACGTGCACACGTGTTTCGGCTTGCACATCCCAGAGGTACATGAGCTACACTGGCAGGGAAATGAGCGCCTGGGTCTGCACGTTGGCAGTTTTATTATTTAGCATTTTTCCAAGGAGATGAGATTTACATATACTTGCAAGTAACTTAGTCAGTCCGAGGTGGGAGTCCTGCAGTGTGGGTTTCTGCTGCTATGGGTCTGAGAAGAGGCTGTAAGGACTCCTCAGGAGGTTGTTAACTGTCTTCCCTCCCCCCATCACCAGCCTGTGTTCCTGGGTATTGACGTGTAGCTACCCGCAGCTCTCCCCTTGCCTCTGCTTTTCACATAGTTCCCAGGAGGCATAATTTCTGCTGTAAATCAATTAAAACTTCTAGAGCGCTCTACACGGTGCTAACATGCTTTTACTGCCTAATCCTCACACTGTCTTTGTGATGCAGGTGTCATCGTTCCCACTTTGAGATGATGGAATGATAATTATAATAAAGTAGTCTGGTTTGGCAAAGTGGAGTACGCCATTTGAAGACTCTCAGGAGTTTAATAGTTTAAGTTCTGGAGGGAGTCAGTTTTGAACCCAATATCAGTATTGAAAATGTTTGAAATTTACAAGTGGTGAAATCAGATGGATGGTGATGAAGGCTCATTTAGGTATTTATTTTATACTTTGTGGAATTAGTAATTTTACCGTATATTTTCTAAAATTAAAGATGGCTTGTGGAGCTATTCCTTTCTTTTAAATAGAAGTACAAAAACCATAATGACTAACCTTAATCGTCAAATTATATTGAGTTAATTTCCCTTCAGCCTAATTTACTTTGTGGTACTTAGAAGTGGGGACTAGAGAGGAATTGCTAAAATACAGTTAGATATTTACATTTATCCTGTGAATTTCTGGAAATGAAATAGAAGTGAGTGTAGGCATCCAGATGGAATTGTTGAGTTCTATTAGTGTCTGATTAGGAGTTAGGTCGGGCAAAGCTCTAGAGGAACTAGGTTCTGAATTATGGTGGTGCAGATTGGCCAGTGGCCATGAGAAGCATCTCTTCCTGGAGATAGCCTAGACTCGTCCTTCTCAACCATAATCTTCCCACTTGAATCACCCAGGGACCTTTAAAAAATCCCCACTTTTAAAGATTCTAGATAGGAATCTCTGGCTGTGGGACCCCATCATCCGTACTTTTAGGCTCACCAGGTGATTCCAGTATGCAGTCGAGGTGGAGAACCTGCAGCCTACATGAAGACCAAAAGATGAGGACTTCTTGGTGTCATAAGTGTAGGAAGATCCACGTTATCTGACTAGGTGGCATGTACAGAGCTGCTTATTGTTCCACTGGATGAATATTCAGTGTAAATCAGATATCGATATTTATAATGGTCTGAAATAATTACACTTAGATGTTTAATATAACCCACTGGTGGTGTTTTGGAAAACGTTGAGTGGTTGGTAGGGAGGGTCAGCATTTAAATGACCTTGAAACCAGCAGTTTTTCATGCGTTTGCATGCATCAGAAGGCAGATTTTTTTTTTGTTGTTTTTTTTAAAAAGGTTTTGGGTATTTCAGAACTGTAAGGATATGGAACATAGGTTGGGCAGAGTGTTGTTTCTTTTCTTTTTAAAGAAAATCTTGTTAAAAAAATTTGGAAATATATGGAATGCATGCTTTTTTAAAAAAGTATCCTTTATAGGTTCAAAAATGCTTTAAAAAAATAGAGATGGGGTCTTGCTACCTTGTTGACCAGGCTGGTCTTGAACTTGTGGCCTCAAGCCATCCTCCCACTTCAACCTCCCAAAGTGCTGGGATTACAGGTGTGAGCCACTGCATCTGGCCCAAAGGTGCTTTTGAAGTTCAGGATTAAAGAAATACTTATTTATCTTTAGTATTTTAAATTGACATGTAGTTTATTCAGAGAGTTAAATGTGGAATAATTGAATTTACTCCATAATAAATTTATGGTTGCAAGTGGAACTACAGATTACTGACTTAAAAAAAAACTATTGAAGTTGCAGGTTCAAAAAACCCCCAAAACCTAGTGACTTAGTTTTTGCTAGATCCAGAGAAGCTCTTAGCTGTAGGTTATGGATGAGAGGATTCAATATGGTTAAGATCTCAATTCTTCCCAAAGTATTCAATAGGTTCAGTATAATCTCAGTCAAAATCTAAGTTTGTTGTAGAAATTGACAGACTGACTTTAAAATTTATATGGAAATGTAAAGTACTGAGACCAGTCTAAGAATAGTTTTGAAAAAGAACAAGTTGGGGGACTTAGAGTATCTGATTTCAAGGCTAACTGTAACATGACCGTAATCAAGATAATGTGATATTGGAATAAAGAGAGTCATACAGATCAGTGGAATGAATAGAAGAGAGTCTAGGAATAGATCCACACATATATGACCCACTGATTTCTGATAAAGCTGCCAAGAAGGCAACTCAGTGGGGGAAATGATAGTCTTTTCAACTAATGGTGCTTGAACAACTGGATAGCCACATACAGTAATATGAGCCTTGACACTTACCTCACATCCTACAAAGACATTAATTCAAAATGGATTATAGACCTAAATGTAAGAGTTTAACTGTGAAACTTCTATAAGAAAACAAAATTGTAGTGACCTTGGGTTCAGCAAAAAATTTTTAGATAGCGTACAAAAGGCACCAACTATAAAAAAATCAGTAAGTTGGACTTTATCAAAATGAAAAACTATTGCTTCCCAGAGAATGTTTAAGAAAATAAAAACCCAAGCCACAAATGGGGGAAAATAACTGCAATACGTAAATGAAAGATGTGTAACATGAATATATAAAAGAACTCTAACAGCACAATAATAATGAGAAAAATACCTAATTTAAAATCCAACAAATGACTTGTAACTTGTCAAATATTTCAATAGGCACTCACCTTCATGCCAAATAGCACATTAAAAGATGCTCAAAATCATGAGTCATTAAGGAAATGCAAATTAAAACCAAAATGAGATCTCAGTATGTTCCCACTAGAAAGGTTAAAATTAATAAGACTGACCATACCAAGTGTTGGTGAGGAAGTGGAGCACCTGGAACTCTCATATGCTATGGTGAGGAATGTAAAATGGTAAATCATGTTGGAAAATAGTTTGGCAGTTTCTTAAACTATCAAACATATGCCTACTATATAACTTACTGTTTAGTATTTACTAAAAGAAATGAAATCATTCATACAAAAGCTTGTCCACGAGTGTTCATAGCATCTTTATTTGTAATAACCCCCAAAGTGGAAACAACTCAAATGTCAACAGATGAATGTTTAAACAATTGTGGTTTATCCATACAATGGAATATTACTCAGCAATAAAAAAGATGAACTATTACACATGTAACAACAGGAATGAATCTCAGAATAATTATGCTGAGTGAAAGAAACTAGACAAAAAAGTACGGTTTCATTTATGCAAAATTCTAGAAATGAAAAGGAGTCTATAGTGACAGGAAGCAGATCAGTGGGTGCCTAAAAATGGAGAGTGGAGGTAAGGGAGGTGGATTACAAAGGAGGCAGAAACTTTTAGGGGAGATGAATATTTGTGTTATTCTGATTGTGGCAATGATTTCACAGTTATATACATATGTCAAAGCTTATTAAATAGTTCACTTTAAGTATGTGCATGTTACTATATGACAATTATACCTGAATAAAGCTGTGGGGAAAAAAACCAATCAGCGCTTATCCATATTTTACTGAAGGTGTTAAGTAAGATGCTAGTAAATGACAGAATTTCAGCTGAGCCAAGTCTGACTCTTGAAAACTACATTTCCTCTTTAGTGCAGAAAATATTTATGAGAATGGGAGCGTAGAAAAAATGAAATCACAATAAAACAAATTAGTTTCTGATTTTTGGACATGGTCTCATTTTCTAAATTATCACTGTCAGTTTTTTTTCTGCTGCTTCTAGAACATGTTTATTTTGCATAATTTCTCTGGCTTCCAAAATCTGAAGAATTGCCTCTGTTTAAACTCTATTTTCTTCTTTCGTGTACTTGCTCTTGATTTGCTGACCTTCTAAATGGGGACCAGCATCTAATGCTTAATGCAGAGTGCTGGGGACATGGGGAGGCAGGAGGAGCTGGAGGCTGCGTCATGGAAAGACCTTGGCGCCCCCTCAGGAAGGAAGGACTGGCTTGGCAGGATCCCAGGCTGTTTTCCTGGTTCAGCCCTCCCGAAGACATTGTGTTCTCTGCAGCCCTGGAGGGCCTCTTTCTCTCAATTTCTCAGTGAGGTACCTGTTTTGTAATCAGTCCTGTCAGGTGAAGCAGCCATGTTACTACTGGACAATCATGGATTATCTTTTCCCTTCCTTCCTGGATCCAGGTGTCTGAATTTATACCACCAAAATTCTTCCAGATTTTCTATCTAGTGGTTCATTCTCTTTTGTACTTTGTAGTGCCGTTGTTTATTCTCATGATTGATTTTTTTCTGAGCCAATTGGAAGGAATGTCTAACACTGACTGATCAACCCACAGTGTTTAAGAGGAAAAATATATTTTAGAATCTTGAGGGAGTTTTATTTCAGTGTATGTGAATTGTATTGGCTATGTAGCGTCTTCATTTTCATTGTAAGAAGAATTTTGCTACAGTGGGACCGGCTGCTTCTCATCACAAACAGGTTGTGGCTCAGATATTTTCCCCTTTGGAGAGCATTTTCCTGGTCATATTATTATCTTGTTGTCTTTCGTTGCACTCATTGCTCTCTGAGATCATTTTGTTAATGAATTTGCTTATTATACTTTCCTCCTTTAGATTACAAATGGCTTGAGAGCAGGGACCCACCTCTCTTATTCACTGTCCTAACCCTGGGACAATGTCTCATATGTAGTAAACATTAAATATTTGTTAAATGAAATTTTATGTGATTGGGGGACAAGTAAAGTGTAAGTACTTTGGGAGCATCTTTCCATCTTTCTAAAAGAAAGAAATGAAAATAGTTGAGGAGTTACTGGATGAACAGTATTCCTCTGTTAAATCAATCAATGACATACCAATATGTGCTTGAAAGACTGGGCCTGGGCCGGGCGCGGTGGCTCACGCCTGTAATCCCAGCACTTTGGGAGGCCGAGGCGGGTGGATCATGAGGTCAGGAGATCGAGACCATCCTGGCTAACAAGGTGAAACCCCGTCTCTACTAAAAATACAAAAAATTAGCCGGGCGCGGTGGCGGGCGCCTGTAGTCCCAGCTACTCGGGAGGCTGAGGCAGGAGAATGGCGTGAACCCGGGAAGCGGAGCTTGCAGTGAGCCGAGATTGCGCCACTGCGGTCCGCAGTCCGGCCTGGGCAACAGAGCGAGACTCCGTCTCAAAAAAAAAAAAAAAAAAAAAAAAAGAAAGACTGGGCCTGACTGCTATATTCTTTGAATATGGTAATGGATTGAAAACCTTGTGTATGGAAAATTCCCTGCTCTTACGTCATTTTAAAAGACTATGATTTTAAAACTTGTAATACGTTATAACGTTTTTCACTTATAATTTTCACGCCCAAAATGTTAAAGTCAGGGCAGAAGCAAGACATCAGCATTTAAAAGGTTGTGCCTCAGCCTTGGAGAGGAATGAGGTTGGTGGGTGGAACGTGAATCATTTTATCTTATGCAACTCTTAGTGAAGTTTTGGTATCTAGTAAGTGTTAAGAATGGTGATTAGTGGTGATGGTAAAAGTGTGGTGCATTTTTATGAGAAGAGTAGCATTTGCGTAGAATAATAGAGGTGCCTGGGATTTTTGGTAGTCCTTTTTTATTTAATAAAGCAACTGGGGCCGCGTGCTATGGCTTGCGTCTGTAATCCCAGCACTTTGGGAGGCCAAGGCAATAGGATCCCTTGGGCCCAGGAGTTTGAGACCAGCCTAAGTAAAATAGTGAGACCCCATCTCCACAAAAAAATAAAATTAGCCAGGCATGGTAGCACATGCCTCTAGTCCCAGCTACTTGGGAAGCTGAGGTGGGAGGATCACTTGAGCCTGGGAGGTTGAGGCTGCAGTGAGCCATGATCATGTCACTGTACTCTAGCTTAAATGACAGAGCAAAACCCTGTCTCAAAAAAAAAAAAAAGCTGAAAAAACAGTCAACTAGATTGTGTTCCCCTTTTGTGTTGACTTCTTAGCTCCACTTTATTAGAATGTGATAAAAATGAGACCTAAGTGGAAACAATCCCTGTCCATTGTTTTCCACTCTTATCATTACTGTATCCAAAATAGTCTTTCTCAATTGCCAAACCAATAGTCATTTCTTTATTTAAAACTCCTCCTCTGTGGTTCTCCACTGCTCTTAGATAAACTCCTGAGTCTTTTTTTTTTTTTTTTTTTTGAGACAGAATCTCTCTCTGTTGCCCAGGCTGGAGTACAGTGGCACGATCTCGGCTCACTTCAACCTCCGCCTCCCAGGTTCAAGCGATTCTCCTGCCTCAGCCTCTCAGTAGCTGGGATTACAGGCACACACCACCACGCCTGGCTAATTTTTATATTTTTGGTAGAGACAGGGTTTTGCCATGTTGGCCAGGCTGGTCTCAAACTCCTGACTTCAGGTGATCCGCCCGCCTTAGCCTCCCAAAGTGCTGGGATGCAGGCATGAGTCACTGCACCCAGCCAAAGTCCAGAGTCTTTAAAATGGTATAGGATGTTCTCCATGATCTGTACCCTGTGTTCCTCTTGAGCCTTTTCTCTTACATTTCCCCAAATTACAATGAGCATCTTTCAGTTCCTCAAAAGGAGGAACACTTCGCTTTGCTAATTCTTCCTTGTGCTTCAGGTCTCATTATGGGCATTAATTACCCAGACAACTGTCCCTGATGTGCCAGTCTGGGTTTGGTCCTCCTCCTAGTGTTCCCTCAGTATCCTGAGATCTCTTTTGCCGCTGTCTCCTCCAACCTGAAAGAACGGACGTATGAATGGATTGGCCTCTAATGGAAGCGTGTGACACTGGTCACAGGGAGTTCAGGGTGTAGTTGTTTGAATGATTGACTAAGATTCATCCGCTTGGCTCTTGTAGTAGTGACTCTGACAGACTATTACATGTTTCTATTTGAAATGCCAAGCCCTAGGTGAGCATCCAGCCACCAATGAGCATGTACTAAGTACCAGGCATTGTGCTCTATCCTGTAAAGTCAAGTGGACAGGACACACATGACCCATTCTTTCGTAGGGCTTGTAATTCCAAGGGGGAGGGAGATTGGGATAAAAAGCAAACAAAAGCAACTAGGGAATTACAGAAGTACTTACAGGCAGGTAAGCCCCTGGTTTGGGGAGGTGGGGAACATCTTCCTGGAGGAAAAACAAAGAGCTGACTTTTAAGGACCCAGCCTAGAGAGCCACAGCCTGCTTCAGTTAAATGACTGTGAACAGTCTTTGCTCAAAAGAAGAAAAGGAACTTCTGACCTGATAATGTTTCCCAGAGGGACATCGCAGATGCCCTTTTGAAAGGTAAATGTTCCTGACCCACAGAAATGTTTCCATCTTTGGAAAGTTTGGGAGGGAACTGTTTCCATGCTTGTGAACAGATGACCTGCAAAAGAACTTTTGACTCCACAAAGGCAGAAAGTAGGAACACTATATTTGAACCATCAAATACCTTAAGTTTTGTATAGATCATAAAATAATCATAGATGTTGAAGCAGGATGATCATCTAATTCAGAACAACAACAAAAAGCCTGATAGCTCTTAGGCCTGCAGACAGCCTGTAGGTCTATTCATTTGGCACAGATGTTTTTAACATTGAAACTGAAGGCATTTAGTGCTGTGGTGCTCCAGTTTGCCACAGACCCCTCCACTCCCTGTTATGAAACCAACTCTCTTGACTCATTACTTGCTTGGACCTGGGACATTTTAAATTTTGTGACACTATAGCTCAAGCCTTTGTTTTCTGAATGTGGGAACCAAAGTTCCAGCCAAATCATTACTGTTGCCCTAACAGGGGTGTCCAATCTTTTGGCTTCCCTGGGCCACGTTGGAAGAAGAATTGTTTTGGGTCACACATAAAATACGCTAACACTAACGATAGCTGATGAGCTCAAAAAAAATCCTCAAAAAAATCTCATAATGTTTTAAGAAAGTTTACGAATCTGTGTTGGGCTGCATTCAAAGCTGTCCTGAGCTGCATGCAGCCTATGGGCTGTGGGTTGAACAAGCTTGCCCTAACTCATGAGAAGTGTAATATACATACATTTAATATGTATTAATATCTATCTAATCTATATCTACAAAAATACAGATATACTTACTTAGATTTATTTAGATATGTAATAATTTATTAATTTATAAAATGCATTAGTTTAGATATATATTTACTTAGATTTTTACTTACATAAAGATTTGTGTCCTAGTATTTCAGAGAAAGCTAGCTTACTAGTAAATATATGGGGAGTTAACTTTTACTGCAAATTAGTATTATATTAACTATCCAATTTAAAAAGAAAGCAAACTCTGCCAGGCTGGTATGGTGGTGTGCACCTGTAGTCCCGTGTACTGGGGAGGCTGAGGCAGGAGGATTGCTTGAGCCTAGGAGTTCAAGGCTGCAGTGAGAGCTATGATCGAGCTGCTGCTCCTCAGCCTGGGCAACAGAGTGAGACTTTGTCTCAAAAAAAGAAACAACAACAACAACAAAAAAACCCCTCTTTTTATTTCGTTATACAACTCCCAGCAATAGGGGAACACTGTACTTTAATGGGTGTCAGGAGAACTGGGTTCAAGCTGTGACCTTAGGCAAGCGTCTGCTTATCTGGGTCCCATTTCCCCGTTATATTGTGAGGGGGCTGCACTAAACGGTCTCCAAAGACTTTTATATCTCTAAAGCCTCTGCTTCCATGTGTTAGGCAATCACATAATTTCTTCCCTTTTGGAGTAATTGGTTTGGTTTAAACTGTCAAAATGAATTATGTGTTATCAAAGTTAGTAACTCCTAAGAATTAAATTGGTCCAAATCTAAATTGCTTAGAGTTGGAGAGGATTTAGCTCCCATCTAAGTGACTTGTATAGCATCGCTAGTGATGTTGGTATTATTTTCTTGGTTTAGAATCAGCCTTAAGGCAATACATTTCAAGCCATGCAGTTGTATTTCTTGATTTATGCTAACGCACTCCTTGTTCTATGGGATGGTTGTAAGTTATGTCCCTGTTACGGCAAGTCAGAGAGAGACTGAGAATCCCACTGTTTTGCTAGAAGCCATTCTCACTAGTTTGGCAATTACAGCATTATTGTCCCAAAGTATCTGTAGCTACCAGTCTATGTATCCACCCAGGGTGATGACAAATACTACAAATCACTGTAGGACAGACATTTTAATTAGAGGGAGGAATGAGCCCAAGGGTATTGACTATGGTAGTGTTTAAGTGCTGTGTTAAAGAATTTTATGAGACAGGAAATTTTTGTTGAGAATCATGGTCCTATCTGGAGATATTTATCAAGATTATTATGTTAGTGTGCTTCTGTAGCACCAGTAAATTAGAGCAGTATCTGTCAAAGCACATAGGACTTTTGTAGTAGAAAGCCCACTTAATAGGAAGCTTACCAGCAGTGCTTTTATTATGTACTGCCTTCCCAAAAGTTCCTTTGATTGCGTATAAGTTTTACCCTTGCACGCCTTTGACCTCACAGGGAGATAAATGCTTAAAAGTTACCAAAGATGTTTAGTTTGTGCTTGTGGTAAAAAATTAAGAAATTTGCCAGAGCATAAAACCATGGTCAACATGATCCCTGTCATAATTGCATTAATAAGTCATATAGGCCAGAGTGAGCATATTCTATACCTCGTCCTGTATTTCCAATTTCAGACCTAGCCTCTGTTCTCCATGCACTTAGACAAAAACCGCAAAGCTGCATATTTATTCGTAAGTCACATCTGTCCCTTGTACTAGCATAGCTCTGTCTCTCCACCTCTCGTGTCGCAAGCCCTTAAATATGATACACTCTTTCCTTACAATGGACTTTGGTTTTTGCGTCTGTGATGTTGGAGGGCTGGGCCCCTTGAGCTCTGTGGTCCTTCCGGTGTCAGAGTTTTGTGGTTCTGGTAATGGTTCCGTTGGACAATGGAAATTCTGCTCCCTTCTGAAATATATTCAGGAGACTTCTGATACTCAGATTTGTTCTGGGCTCTGAAATTATTTTGGGAAGCGCACCCAAAAGTCATACGTGTATTAGCCTAATTCCATAAACAGAATACATTTATTTATTTGCAAGCTGTGGGCCTCTTAGATGCTTTAATATAGATTACTGTTGTTTAATTATGGTACAGAAGAGTTGAGAGCAGATTCCATCTAAATCAGTGCTTTTGAAACTGTTGTCGAGCCCTAGACCCTTTTAGAGATGATGAGAGCTATGGAGCTGTTTCTGGAAAAATGCACATATGTGCATATTGATGATATTCTGGGAACAATGTCATCTGATTAGTAGCCCTCCTAAAGCCTTTCCTAAACCTTAAGGACACAGGACCTCAGGTTGAGAAACCTCAGTTGAAAGGGTTCAAAAATAAGGCTTTTATTAATTCCTAACATTCAGGGTGTGGTTCCAGTGTTTTCCTTTGTATTTGAGGACATTTTCACTTCAATTAATTATAGAAAATAGTTACTTAGTAGAAAACAGGAGCTAGGAGCTATAAATTTTAGAGAAAAAGATGTTCTTAAAAATGTGTTCTCACTTATGGCTTCTGGTGAAATATACTAGATGATGACCCATTTTAGGACCTATTTGGTTGTGTTATTTAGGTGTTTTCAAAAGCCTCTATTTTTTTAAAGAGTTTGTTTGAGGTTTGCAGTAGATGAAAACTTAAAAAAACAAAACTAGGACAGTTTGAGTGACCCTGGCTTGGTATCTTTTGTTAATATAAACTTTTCCCTTGTAAAAAGAAATAGGATTCATCTTTTTCATACGCTTTTTCTTAAAACATTCACCCTCTTTTTGAGCTGCAGTGGGCATTATGGTGTTCTGCTGTGTTAGTCTAAGACAAAATGATGAGATTGGTGAGGCCTGCCTGATCCTCTTACCCTTTGAGCCCCAGTCTCCCATGGTCTGGGTCCCCGTGACCCAGCAGATTTTTTGGTCCTCTCTGGAATTCCAGTTCACTCAGTCAGCATCTTACAGACAACCCGATGTTGGTGGAAACTGAGCTGAATGGAGACTGTCCACAGAGCAGCCCCCTAGCTAAAGGTAAAGTGAGAATCCAGCTCTCTAGACTTCAGGCCAAGATTCTTTCCCGACTCCACCTCAGTGTGTGGTGGAGGCAGCAGGGTAGCCATCCAGTCAGTCATTCATAGGTGTTTATTAAGTATCTACCTTGTGCCTGAGCCTGTTCTAGGTGTTACAGGTAGGGCAGAGAACGCAAGACCCAGCATCTCGGCTCTCCAGCACTGCCGCCCTAGCACAGGGAGGTGGATAACAAGCAGGCAAACGCACGATGAAGAAAATGACAAATGCTGGGTAGGTACCAAGTAGAGAATCAAAGCAGGGTGACTTGATTCAGTGTGACAAGGTGGCTGCTTTATCTGGAGTGGTCACTGTCTGCGAAGGACAGGTAAAGCACTGTGCAGCAGACTTGCTGCACAGAGCGGGTGACAATTCAGCTGAGGCCTGACTGACAAGAAGCACACAGCCCTGTGAAGATTAGAGAAAGAGCATTCCAAGCAGAGGCAACAAAGGCCCTACCGTGAGAACAAGCTTGGCAGGTGGAAAAACAGTGGAGGGTGGCAGAAAGAGAGTCGGCTTGGTGTCAGAAAGCTCGGGGCATTGTCCCAGATCTGTTGCTTCCTAGGAGTGTGAACGATGAGCAAGTCCCTCCATCTCTGATGATTAGTTTTTTCTTTTGGAAAATGGTGCTAATGTTTGCTACCTTATAGGCTTGGTGTGAAGATTAGATGAACTACATTAAACATGCCCAGCACAAGATAGGCACTGGAGAAATGCTAGCTTTGGGTGCTTTTTAAATTAATTAATTAATTTATTTAATTTTTTTAGATATGGGCTCGCCATGTTACCCAGGCTGGTCTTGAACTCCTGGGCTCAGGTTATCTTGCTTCAGCCTCCCAAAATGCTGGGATTATAGGCAAGAGCCGCCACTCCTAGCCTGGTTGCTTTTTTTATTTTAATCTTTAACAAAATTATTTATTTATTTATTTTTTGTAATCTTGGCAGGCAAAGCTTTGGTTGCTTTTAATTTCCTGAGGAAATGAATATTTTTGACAAGGGCCTTCTGAAAAGAATCGTACTGGCTGAGGATAGACACCCACAGGGTTGCCTCTTAGAAAAGAGGGTGGTGGTATGAAAGTTTCTTAGGGGTGGGGTAGGGTATAGTCTTGTTGGCGCCCTCAAATGACATCATAGAAGCATCTAGTTATCTCTACCCCCTTCAGTAACATGTTTTCTAAAGAGAGGATGGGGAAAGGAAACAAAGACTCTGAAGTTTATTCCGTATTTTTCAGTTTCTGAAAAGTGTATTTGTTTTCTATGGACTCATAAATATTAATGGAAAGTTTCAATAATTTAGATGGACAGGATAATTGCATTGTAGTGGTATAACTGATAGGGCCCCAACTTGTTTTTATTTGTTACAAAACTATACATTTATGGCTGAGAATTAATAAACATACTAACAGTAATCATAAAGGAAATAAAACCTCAGCCATTGTAAAAAATAAAAATAAAAAAAACCACAACCCCCCCATCTGCCAAAACTAGATATAATTGATTCTTGCTTAATTCTGAAAGCTCATTTACTTTTTGGATTATAATTTTGTGAACTAACTCTGGATAATTTTGCCTATTTTGAATAGTTTTAGATAATGCCTATTTTGGCATCTCCCTGAATATTTCTGACCATCCCTTCAACATTTATTTGGTCTGTTTAAAGAAGACACATTAACATTTGCCTAAGTCACATGAATTAGGATGCAGAATCTATAATTATGGACTAATGATACACAAATACAGGCTTTGAGGAGTATTTATTGGACAACTACCATAATTATCAGTGCATCATAGTGTGATGGTTGGGTGTCAGCCAGATTGGGGTTCAGCTATTCATTCTGCCTCTCATTAGCAGGGATAATTTAACCCCTGCAAGCCTGTTCTCTCATCCACAACACAGTACCTGCCTCACAGGGTTACTTCAGAACACAGTGAGGACTTATGTAAACCATCTACACAGGGCATGACATATACTACCGCAGAAAAATGATTGTTGATGTCACTTTCATTACCACCACTCTACCCTCAGCACTTCAATATGAAGTGATGGGCCCAGCCCTTTTCTGAAGTTAACTTTGAAAGCAGTAAGATATTTATTTACATAGAATTCAAGAGAAGGGATTTTTGAGTACAACTTCCTCACTGGTTTTGCTTTTAATGTAGGATTCTGGAATGTAAATCAGTAGGAGATTTCTAGTTACTGGTGGAAGAGAAGATGGCTTCCTTATCCCGGAATCACAGGGATTGGGGGTAAATTCTGTACATAGGTCCTCTCTGGAAGTTCTTGTAAGGAATATGGGAAAATGAAGCTGGAATTATTATAGTTACAATGTTGGCTAAAGTTGGTTCATGGAAACCTTGAAATTAAGTTTGTTGGTTTGCTTATTCAATATTGGACAGCAGAGGGTCTGAGTTAGTGAGAACCAACAAACCAGAAATAAATCAAGTTGCAATATTTAGCTGCAAAGGACAGAAAGAGGCCTTTGAAAAGCTGAAGTGAGTACTTTTATTGCTGTAATTAAGGGAAATAATGGTAAACAGGCTCTTTCAATTGGCATTAAAATATATTTTCCTTGGTTAGTTTGAATATCCAATACAAGTTGGTGGATGTGAATTGTTCTGTCATGCTTTCAAGGAGGAAAACTCTAGTTTTAAAAGTACGTCATTAGGGCCAGGTGTGGTGGCTCATGCCTGTAATTCCAGCACTATGGGGGGCTGAGGTGGGCAGATTGCTTGAGGTCTGGAGTTCGAGACCAACCTAGCCAGCATGGTGAAACTCTGTCTCTACTAAAAATACAAAAATTAGCTGGGCTTGGTGGTACGCACCTGTAATTCCAGCTACTTGGGAGGCTGAGGCATGAGAATTGCTTGAACCCAGGAGGCGAGGTGGAGGTTGCAGTGAGTCGAGATTGTGGACTCCAGCCTGGGTTACGAAGTGACAGTCTGTCTCAAAAAAAAAAAAAAAAAAAAAAAAGTACATCGTTTGAATATGGATTTATAGATGTATTCAAGGACACCAACAATTTTTTTTTTTTTTTTTTTTTGAGACAGGGTCTCACTGTGTCCCCCAGGCTGGAATGTAGTGGTGTGAACATGACTCACTGCAGTCTCAACCTCCTGGGCTCAAGTGATCCTCCTGCCTCAGTCTTCTGAGTAACTGGGACCATAGGCGTGCGCCACCAAGCTCAGCTAATTTTTTAATGTAGAGACAGGGTCTTGCCATGTTGCTTAGGCTGAACATTTGATTTGGCTTGCAGAAAATATGAAGTACTTTTTTTCCTATGTGGACTCAATTAAACAAAAAATTTTATTTTACAGAGATAGGATCTTACTCTGTTGCCCAGTCTGGAGTGCAGTGGTACATACAATCTTAACTCACTGTAACCTTGACCTCCTGGGCTCAACTGATCCTCTTGCCTCAGCCACCTGAGTAGCTGGGACTACAGTCGTGCACCACCGTGGTTGGCTAATTAGAAAACCTTTTTTCTTATAGAGGTAGGGTCTCACTATGTTGCCCAGGCTGCTCTCTAATTCCTGACTTCGAGTGATGCCACCCTTCATGGCCTCCCAAAGTGCTGGGATTACAGGCATGAGCCACCATGCCCCACCTGGGGACTCATTTGAAGGTGATCATTTCTACTTTTATTTGTTTACTGGACACTTGTTCTGGGACCTAGATCTTTCACAGTTGATTTTAAGTGAAAGGTTTCTGAACTGTATATATACAATATTTCAGAACAGTAATTTCCTTTGCTTCATAGTACGGCACAACAGTGTTTGCACTTGATGTTTAGCGTAGCCTTGGTTTTGGTTGTTCAGAAGCCTTTGTTAGCTCTTTGGTTGTGCCAAGAATATATTGTTTTTGAGTCTCCTTGCCGGGCCTCCTCGCCTTCTTGTCATGCACATCCTGTACCTGGGTTGTGGTTGTATTGATTTGCTGGGGCGCTGCTGTTGCAAATGTCTGGAGTGAATGAGAATGTGTTTGTGGGTGTCTGCCCTCACCTTGGCCACTGATCTGCTTTCAGCCCTGAAGTACTGCCATCTGCATGAACATTAGGGACCCCCAGCCTCCCCCACCACTTAGTAAAGTACCCTGCACATGTTTGGGATTCAGGAAATGTTTGTAGAAAGGAAAAATTCCTTATCATTCCTTACCATTCTCTGTCTTGAGTCTGAGTCATGATTCAAACACTTTTGCTAAAAGGTTTTCGCTTGAAAAATTCATATTCAGGTACAGATTTACTTTTTTTTGGTGTGTGTGAGTTTAAGAGCTGCCTCAGGAGTAGTTTAGAGAGAATGAATATACCAGTATGGTTTTTATTCCCTTGATTACTTAAATAAGTATTAAAGGTGTGTGAAAAGATTAGCTGAATCCTAGGTTCCTCAAACAAAATGTTAACTTTTGTTTGGGTGGTAAGAGATGGATTTCAAAATGGGAAAAAGCGAGACTGAAACCATCATCCAGCACACACTATGTCAGGAATGTATTAATGACAGCCTGCGCTTGATAAGAACAGGACACCAACAGGGGGCATAAACAAGATCTAGGTACAACTGTGACCTTGAAGTGACCTTGAGTTTAAGTTGCCATTTAAACTCATTTTCCTTAAACTGTCCTTTTCTGGCAAAATAAGTGACTCCTGAAGTTGCCTCATTAGAACTCCAATATGCATTTTTCTCTCTGAACTGTTTCTGATGGGTGTTGACTCCTTCTGTTGTCATTTGGTCCTATAGGACCAAACTTGTATATGTAGAATTTTATTTTAAAATAGGAAAAATCATGATTCTGAAAAATTGTGCCTGTCAAGATATTAAATGACTGTTCCCATTAATATTATTGCCATTAATATTTTGAAGTCAAATTACATAGTGACAGCTCTCTGCCTGAATGATACTTACGTTAAAAGGAAGAAACTGTCTGAGAGAATTGGAAGAGATGATAATGAGGCCTCCCCACCACTTTCCCTTTTAAGCCCCTCACCTATCACCTACTCCTCCATCCCCTAGACTTAAGTAGGTTCCCTTACTTTTCTTCTGCTTGGGCCATTGTTTAGAAAGGTCTGAGTCTTGGGATGAGCTGGCCTCCTGTTCAGGCTTAGCCCTCCACCTGCTCTGCCTGGGTCCCCTCTGTGTTCTCCCTGGGCCAGGCCTTCCCTTCTGTGTTTTCATCCTCTCCTGTCCTCCTGACACCTTCATTTAATTGTAACTTTTTTTTTTTTTTTCCGAGACGGAGTCTCACTCTGTCGCCCAGGCTGGAGCGCAGTGGCGCAATCTCAGCTCACTGCAAGCTTTGCCTCCCGGGTTCACGCCATTCTCCTGCCTCAGCCTCCCGAGTAGCTGGGACTACAGGCGCCCACCACCACGCCCGGCTAATTTTTTGTATTTTTAGTAGAGACGGGGTTTCACCTTGTTAGCCAGGATGGTCTCGATCTCCTGACCTCATGATCCACCTGCCTCGGCCTCCCAAAGTGCTGGGATTACAGGCGTGAGCCACCAAGCCCGGCCTTTTTTTTTTTTTTTTTTTTTTTTATAATTAAAGTTAAGGTTGCAGTGAGCTGAGATTGCACCACTGTACTGCACTCCAGCCTGGGTCTCACTCTGTCATCCAGGCCAGAGTGCAGTGGCGCAATCTCAGCTCACTGCTACCTTAACTCCTAGGCTCAAGCCATCCTCTTACCCCAGCCTCCTGAGCAGCTGGGATTACAGGCATGCGCCACCATGCCCCCAGCTAATTTTTTAATTTTTCATAGAGACAGAAAGGTCCTCTAGGTTGCCCAGGCTGGTCTCCAAGTGCGGGGCTCAAGCGATCCTCTTGACTTGGCCTCCCAAAGTGCTGGGATTATAGGAGTGAGCCACTGTGCCTGGCGAAACCTTCATTTTAAAAACATACCCAAATCTTTCTGAGCACTCAGCCTTTCAGTCCTCTGTTGGCCTTGCCCACTATCCTTTTGAGGTGGGGCACAGTGTTTTCCTTTCCCTTCTCAGCCTCTTCCCTGACAGCTGTCTGCAGATGCCCTTCCCTGCCCTGTTCATTTTTCTTCCCGGTGCCCATCCCCAGGAGACTGCGCTGGCGAAGCCCAGGAGTGACAGTGTAGTCAGGTCAGTTCTTCTTTGTCTTGTTGGCTGCTACCTTCTTCAGATTCATTGCTCCCCTGTTTCTGTGTTTTTCCAATGCTTACTGATGTGTTTTTAAGTTTCTTTTTGTATCTTTCCTCATCCCTCAACCTAGTAAATATTGGTGTTCCCCAGGTGGGAGGGGGCGGGGTGGGGGGCGGGGGTGGGTGGGAGGTGGTTTGTCTTTACCTTCTTTTCTTTGTCATGGCGCATGGTCTCGTCAACTTTTAAGTCTCAACAATATTGCCCATATGCCAAGGACTTCCAAAGCTCTGTCTCTTGTCTTCCCCCCTGAGCCCAACTATTGCTTCTGGAACTGGGGCAGGCTTAGGACAAACCACTTTATACTCCGTCTCCTTTAATCCTCACAGTAGACTGTGAGAGAGGAGGAGTGCTGTGGCACCTGCATTTCTCACCCGAGGAAACTGTGGCTTAGACAGGCCCGATATCAGGTCCAGGGTCCCATGTCTGATATGCTTGCTGGACAGACCTGCTTGGACATCCTTTAGGCATCTCCAAGTCAACATGTCCACAATTAAATATCCCATCTTTCCCCTTGACCTGCTCCTCCTCCCATTTTCCCGGTCAGAACTGGTCTTGCCGTTGTTCAGTCACCTGGCCACCATTCTAGACTTTTCTTTCTCCTTTACCTCTTTCCCCACCTCAGTTGATTGCCAAGTCATGCCAGATTGGCTTGGTAAATACTTTCTGACTCAATTTCTTCTTTTCCCCACAATTACCACACTCGTTTGTATCATACATATGGATTATTGTGATGGCCTTGGAACTGGTTTCCATGAATCTAGTTGTATTCCCTCAAATCCATCCTCCATAAACTGCCTGGATGAGCTGTCTAAAACTCAGCCCTAACCTCCCTCCTGCCAGAAGTCGTTTAAAGGCTTCCTGTGCCCTATAAAGTTCAGGCTCCTGGGGAGGGTTCCCAATCGGCTGGCCCTGCCTTCCCCATTCCATCTTCCACCTCTCCTTGCCTTCCAGTTTATGAGCTAAGTACTAATGGACAGACTAGGTTTTCTTGCCTCTGCTCATGTCTAATTCACCTTATTTACAATAAATGTTGGAGGAGGAAGGAAGATACTCCTTTGTAATTTGTACAGAAGGACTTGTATAACATTAGAAAAGATAGGGTTGAATAAGTTACATAGAAAAAATATGTCACTCTCCATGTAACTACAAAGACATCCATAAACAGGCCTGAGCATGCCACATGCACATGTCAGCACAGTTCACAGCATTCACTGAGCACCTGCTGTGGCCAGAGACCACAGTAGATGCTGGGGGTGAAAAGCTCAAGGAGCTCTCCCTGTAGTGAGGGAGGCAGCAGAAACCCACAGTTTCATCATAGGGTAGTTGAGTTTAGGAATAGGAATGGGTACGGGATAGTAGGGGATTGTGAGCCTGAGTATTCAGGGAGGACTTCTTGGAGGAGGTGATGCACAAGTTCTGTCTTCAGGGAAAGTCAGTAGTAACCAGGTCGAAGGTAGTGTAAATTCCTTTTCTCCTTTTTCCTCTTTGGGATTTGTATTTTTCCCATGGAATTTTACCTGTACAGGTCATTTTACACTGGACTAACAATGCTTAAGTGCTTTTTAAAAGCAAACTGTGCCAGATTTATCCCATTGGTAGGAACTTTCTTCATGAGTTCAGAGGCTTTGTCTTGGTTCCCGTTGTATTGCCAGTGCATGGCCCCTGGTAGGTGCTGAGTAAATGTTGGTTGAATTGGATGCCTTGAGGTGAGGCATGAGAAAGGGTTCTCCTCCTCCCCCTGAAGGTGGTGAAGATAGTTGTGACAGTTGAGACTTGCATGGGGCTGACCTTGTGAGGTCCTAAGCCTGGTGACCAGCCTCTGCAGTGTAACTGGGCTGTCTCATGGGAAGGGCAGAGCCTTTCCTACGTGGCCAACTCTGTGTTCTGAACAGGAGTGCCAAACTCATTTGGAGGGGAAGGGAGCGCCCTTTTAAAGCCTCAACTACTAATTAAATTCAAGCAGAAGATGGTGAAGGTGGAGCTAACTCATTTATTAGCATATAATATGATCAACCTAACTCATATAAATGTAGATTATCTTGGTTTGTCTTTTCCTGGCTGCAGAAAAGGCTTGGAGAGGTGCCTTGGATTGTGAGTTAGTCAGTGAGCAGCTGCTTAAAGATTTGAAAAATCCTAGAATATGTCATCTCTGTAGGCTTTATCCTTTAATTAATTATGGATTTTTATCTGCATATATGTGAAGCTAATGATTGACTTGGTTCGGACACTGAATTGTCGGCTTAAACCTGCCATTCCACTGGGCTTCATCACTATGTTCTATGGGTGTGAAGCCTTTGTTTTTTCAGAGACCCATTTCCACCAGCGGGTTTGCACTGTAAGTGTTTCCACAGGAACTCTGCCCTTTGCCAGTGTCACTGTTGTGGCTATGCAGCAGAACCCACAGGGCGGAGGTGTTTCAGCCCTCACTGAAAATGCAACAGATCTTAACATCTCTTGCTGCAAATTTTCCAGTGTGTTCTGGTCTACCTTGGTATCTTAAAACCAGGCTCACTGACTACCACATGAGAAATGACAGTGGGGTGTCTTAAATGATCTGTTGAAGACCAGCAGCCAAAAAGATTGCCCTTAGTGTTTCTCTCTACCGGCTAACATTAGACAATGCCATGTAGAAGCTGCTGTTAGGGTTTGAGAACTGTGTCGCCTCATTCTCAAGATAGCCAAGGAAGTGTCATCTCTGGAGAAGGCAGTTCTGTCTCTTTCAGTTTCTCCATGGATCCGATATTGTTCTGAAAGAGGTGGTTTTACCAATTCGTCTCACACAGACTTCTTGCCTTTACTTTTATCTGACTGCTGACAGGGTGGGCTGGAATATAATCGCTACTTAACTGGACTTGACTTTCAAGGCCTGATTGGCGTTTCCAGTATAGCAGTTGCCTGAGTCATCTAGTTTTGGAACTGATAAATCAAAGGACTGGCTTGGAGGCTAGTGTCCTGTCTGGAGAATGGGCTTAATGTAACTTCAGTTAAGAAATTAATGAATCTGAAATAGTTATAACCCAAGGAAGAGATTTTCCTAAAGAATGTCCCTTTAGAGAAATAATGACCAGTTCCCTCAAAAAAAAAAAAAAAAAAAAAAAAGGAAAAACAGACACTAGACTGGATAGAAAAGACTTACATGTTGAGGCTGATGATTTCTCTTATGGAACTATAAAAGGACTGGACTCTAAGGAAATGAGGGTCTTCAACTTCATTGGTGATATTTCCAGTTGTTCTGGAGCTGTGATAGAACCAGGACTAGAGAATGCAGGGCACGATGATAGATTTTTTTTTATGTAGCACTTTTAAACATAAAAAATATATATCTAATGTGCCAATGCAAGACCTGGCCTTTTTGTAATCAAGTAATATTTTGAGTAATAATTGATTGCACAACATCCTGTGACACACTGTGAAAGAGTAAAATTGGCTTAAAAATTTTAAGTACAAAGACATTTCAGAAGAGTTTTGTCCATAACTTTGTTAGACTGAAATGAGGAATTACATTTGGCACCAGGAAATGGATCTGGATTATTTAGAACAAATGTTTTCCAGGTTTGAATCTTCTATGTGGAAGTACAGCCTGACTTCTTTGCCTTTTCCCTGGTCCGGGATCCTGACAGTCAGTTCTTCAGCTCTGTGCCTCCAGAATTTCATGTTTATGCTGCACAAGGCCTGTATTTTATAATGGTGGCTCTTTTGGACGATGACTTCCTCGATGGTGAAACTTCCAGTAATCTCCCTCATCATACTGAAATGATATCAGTATATCATCAGAACACCATGGAGCTTGTCATTTGAGGGACACAGCTTGCTTGTGTGCTTGGGAAAGAAGAGGTTTAGCATGGTTTCAGGTCAGTGATGAGTCCAATGATCTCTGCAAGTTCCCTTAGCTCTGAGAATTCTGATGTCATATGCACTTCTGCCGCCAGAGTTGCTGCTTACTGGATGCGTAAGAAGAAAGGAAAATAAATGTAAAATGCCTGGCACCACTGAGGAAGTAGGGTGAGGAGTTAAGTTAGACAGTGACTGGCATTTCCCAGCCACACTAGTACAGAAGTGTCCTGTGGTACGAACGGAGGCAGGCTGGGGGGTTCCATTGTGTGCCAGGTGTTTCCATGAAAATAAACTGTTGAGTGCCAGGTATGGCAGCTGCAAACAGGGATTTGGGGGGCAAAATTTAATCTTTTTTTGTGATTTGTTGAATGAAGTGCCTAATGTGTCTCAGTAACTTACTTGAGAGGAAAAGAGCCACAAGCAAGGTAGTGGAGAGTGCTGGATGGTTGCCTTGTGACCAGACCTGTTCTTTTAAGGCCTCTGGAGCCAGCTGTGGGACGATCAATCCAGCAGCTGCAGGTACGCCTCGGGTGACACTTGGGTCTGTAGTCAGCGGGGTTGCCTGTGACTGAGAGTGGCAGAGTGGTCCCTTGCACTGATGAATCCTGACCCTGCTGATCTTTGCTTGGGTGATGGCTGTTTGTGTGCTATTTCTAGAAGTTCCTCCCGCCTGCCTATGTGACCTGTTTTCACCAGATCCAGATTGCTAGCCCCTTAAAGCTTGAAGAACCTTAAAGGTCATCTGGAACAAAAGATTTATTTATTTTTAGCCCGGTGGCCACCCTGAACCCCCCAGTTGATTGATTGAGGCTAGTCTTGAGCGTGCCCTGCTTCACATGCTAGTTTTCCAGTTTCTACTTTGGGAGAATGACCTTATCATTAGGCTGGCCAAGAGGGCTTCTTTCTGTTCCTGTCACAGTACTAGGCTGTATACTCATTCACCCTCAGTTCCCTTTTCTGGTATATTTCTTAACAAATTATTTCCCTCTTTCCACTATTTTTAGGGGTAACAAGTCTAAGATATTTACATATAAATGGCTCTCCCTTCTCAAACCCTTTTCTAGCAAGCACTTTCTGGGAGGACAGTGTCTTACCAGGATCTTCTGTCACTGTGGTCCCTTTGAGGGTAGAAAGAATAGATTGTTGTGAAGTCTTTTGTCAGCCTCTTCATGGTTATAAACGTACTTAGTTTTCCAGACTATGTAGGTTTTAGACTTCAAGTGAAAAGAGTATACGTTGTTATGCAGCAATAGAAAACAAAACAACTACCACAAAATTGTATTTTTTCTCCATCCAGAGGCTTTAACTTTCAACATTTGTATATGGAGGCAAGGCTGACAGCCACAGCAGTAATTTCATGATGGCTGAAATAGCTGTGAACTGTGCATTAACTTGTTCCTTCTCTCTTAAATTCTGCTGCAGTGTTGGAGCAGGGAAGGCGAGCAGAGGAGTGATGAATAGAGTAGCAAGTGGGATAATATACAATAATAGGAGATACACAATAAGGATTAATTAGGTGTCAGGCTAAGTATTTCATGTGCATTAACTAATTTAATCCTCAGAATACCTTCAAGATATTCAGATTCTCTTATTATCCTCCTCTTTGGGAGGCAACTGAGGCTCAGAGAGGTTAAGATACTTGCCCCAAATAAGTGGTGAAGGCTGGGCACGGTGGCCCAGCACTTTGGGAGGCCAAGGCAGGAGGATTGCTTGAGCCCAGGAGTTTGAGACCAGCCTGGACAACATAGCAAGACCCTGTCTCTCTTTTTTTTTTTTTAAAGTTGTGGAGCTAGAGTTTGAGCACCTGCATGGAACCACTAAGCTGCATTACACCTGCCTCAGGTGGTTGATATGAAGAAAAGTAAAAATTTTTCAGATGGACTCTGGGTATTTGCCTTTTAAGGCTATATGCCTTTTAATTCTGATGTAAAGTGGTAGAGAAATGATTAAAGGTTTAAGAGTTGATAGGGCCCTGGGTAGCAGGGACACTTTACATGTGTTGTGTGTGCATCTGCAGCAGATGACAGCTCCCCAAATGGACATGCCTCCCTTGTTCAAGAAAGCTTGTCAGGGTGGCACCAATTTTTTTTTAGCAATTTAATGAATGAGGTATCAAATGATCACATAATACAAATTTGATTGATCTCCTTTTGGATATATCTCCCCTTAAACATTGTGCTGGCTACACTATCCATTTCTATAATACCTTTGATTTTATCCTCTTTACTCCTAACAGTGAATTCCTAGGTAAAGTCACAACTGAATTTATCAGCACAAGCATGCTGCATCATGTTGTACGTTCTGCAAACAGTAACTTGAGATAGTGTGTCATTTCCCAGTTCTTAAGGCTGTGGCCTACACCAATGGTCTTATTTTCCCTTTTGATTTTTTCAAAATTAACTGTTATTTTGCCAATAAGTTTAACATTTCATTGGAGCAATTATTACGTGTCTGGGGTTATGCAACACATGGGATGTGCAGAAATAAAAAGATAGTTTCCCTGCCCTCAAGGAGCTTGTCTTATAGGGGAAACAGATACATAAACACTTCTAGGGCACACAGATTTTCATGTATGTGTGTACTATGGTGTTAATGCAGAATTCTGTAAAGGAATAAAGCTTCCATGATCAAAGCAAGCATGGGCAAATGCTTCACATCTTTCTGCCTGTGTTTTGCGAGCCCATTCTGTTTAATGTGGACTTGATTTAAAGTCGACCTGCAGTCCTGGACTTCAACCAAACAGCCATTATAGTAATGAACATTTAAAGGAGTTATTTTTCCAAAGCATTATAGTTTTTCACATCCATCTTTTCATTCCCTCATTAGCTAATGATGTTGATGTCCTCACAAGCATTGTTTAGGAATGGCTTAGGAATTTTACCGTATGTTTACTTTGGCTTGTCTGCTGCCCCTTGCTTTGTAATCTGTTCACCGGTGATTCAGTTGTTTCTTTGAGTCCCTTTGAAATTGCAAGTTGACGGGTGGGGACTGGTGGGGAAAGAAATCCAGAATAGATATTCCTAAAACTGTGAAGTGAAAATTCAGGAGAGACTGTCATAACTCTGCTTATTTAAGGTGGTTTGGTTTGTGCCAAGCTAAAGGAGGGAATATTGATTGAATTACTTTTTTAAAATGCAATTAATTTTTATTTAATTGTTTTCCCTGGAGTTGTGGGGTTGAGGTATTGCAGTTTAAAGCAGTTTGGATGTGCTGATAATTTTTTTCTGATTATCTTCAAGTCTCCATGGACAGTGTCACTGCAGGTCTATTCATGCTTTCGTTCCTCCTTTACCTGCCTTCATCTGCTTTCTCTGGGCATTGGTACCCATACCCAGGTGTGGTCAGTTGGAGTAACTCCTGCCTTGCTGGGCTTAACTGTGGTGTTTCTGGGCCTAAGGCAATTGGAACATCTGTAGTTTATTTCCTAATCCCAATTTTGTGGAGGTTTGTGTTCTAGCTTTGATTCAATTACTCCTAAGTAGTGGCCCGTATTAAGTAGAGGCTGTGTGAGACAAGACACTTAATGTAGGCCCCTTGGAGCTGCTGGGTCCTTTTCATCAGAATTTGGCTAATGATGCCTCTCTCTTTTTTACACACTAAAGCCTAATATAACTAGTAATGAACCTCATTAATAATTTGTATTGGCAGATGTGAGGTGTCACACATTAAAACTGTTTTACACCATGAGCATTGACTTCATTCGGTCAGTGAGGGAGGATGCAACCACCTTTGCCAAAATAGGAAGGAAGAGAAGACCCAGAGTTTTCAGGGAACGGAATTAAATAGCACTTTAACAAGCTTGGCGGAGGCAGTGGGGTGAGGAGAGGAAGTTAATAGGCCCAGGGAGGAGAGTATCTCACTGGTTTCTCCAAGCTGATTCTTCTGGGTGCCAAGAGAGCTGTGGAAACCCACAGAGGAATGCCCCGGTTCCTTTCCTTCCTTCTTTCTGGTAAGGGTTTAGATCTATTTATTTGATGGTCAGCCTTCCAGTTTTATCAGCACCGGTCTCTTTGTACAACTTCCCAAATGTACAAACTCCAGACAGATGAGTACAGTTGGTGTTTTCCGGGGAGGGTGTTGCTCCCTGTGGTCTGTCACAGCCAGAGAGCAGGGGGCCAGAGAGAGGACTGATTGCCCATATGTTCCACATGAGTCGTCAGTGGTGCACCCAGTTTTAAAATGCTCTGGGGGTGTGTGGCCATGAAGTGGATTTTGAATGAATAGAAGGAAAAAGCTCGTGGATGAAAACCATGAGCCATTTGAACCGTGTGTGGTGTCTGGAAAAACAGGTGGTCTGGCAAAACTGACAAAGTTTGCTTGGGGAAACAGAAGCTTTGCCTCCACCTCTGATGCTTGGGCTGGGATGAAATAAGCCACTTTTCTGTTTAGACTGTGTTTAGATGGAGGGAAGCTTCTTCAGTTCTTTATTGGGTGCAGTGAATGGCAGAACTTTTATTACTTGCATTCTTAATTTTAGTTAGCCATGCTGAGCTGGGTTTACACCCACCTTGGTATGTAATTTCTGTGACCTGTTCCGCTTCCTTCTCTCCTGTCACAGTCACCAAAAGCCACTATGGGTAGCCATTTGTTAATATCACCTTTATTAGGAGTCCTCCAGGCTCAGTTAAGGTCTCCCTCCATCTTTCCACCCCCACTATTTTATGCCTTCGTAGCCACTGGCACTCTGCCTTGCGGCACTTGCACATATTTATAATCAGTGAGTCACCCTCCTAGACTGTAAGCACCATGAGGGCAAGATCTGCAGCCCACCAGCAGCCTCTGCTTCCAGCACAGCACTTGGCACACAGGAAGCACTCTCTTAGTATTTGTTGTACTTGTCAGTGTTTGTTGCCTGAATGACACAGAAGTGTTCCCTGCTGGAGAAGGGATTCGAGTTAAATGGAATCATCCAGAGAATTTGATAAAATGATGATGGCTATCCGTTTATGCTCTTAAAAGTATGCACTTGAGACCTCTAAGTAGATGTTTATTTGTTTATCCCTTTCCAGGGTTCATGTGTTTATCTTGTTTCCTTTTGTATGCATTTTCTGCTTTGCCCCTCACATAGTAATTCTTGGAAGCAAGTAGATCATTGTTTCCATTTCAGTTGAGATCACTTTAGGGGCATGTCTTGGACTTGATGACAGATCTTCCACTATCTTATGCTCCCTACCTCACATTTATTGAGTACCTACTATGTACCAATCCTTAACATTTGTTATTCCAGTTTATCTTCCATCAGTCCTGTTGAGGTAGATATTGTGCCCCATTTTACAGATGAGGAAATCAAGGTTCTGAGAGATTAGATAATTTCTAGGAACATACAACCAATAAAAGGGAAAGGAAGAGTCTGAGTTCAAACCCAGTTCTTTGGTGCTAGGGGTACAGCTGCTGTCTGCAGGGCATGCCAGATGACACCTTTTTGACTCTTTTGGTAGGAAATGGGGAGGAATGCTTGTCACCTTAGAAATGCTGTTCGAGGTTGCTCACACCTGTAATCCCAGAACTTTGGGAGGCCGAGGTGGGTGGATTACAAGGTCAGGAGTTCGAGACCAGCCTGGCCAACATGGTGAAACCCTGTCTCTACTAAAAATACAAAAATTAGCCGGGCATGGAAGTGTACACCTGTAATCCCAGCTACTCAGGAGGCTGAGGCAGGATAATTGCTTGAACCTGGGAGGCGGAGGCTGCAGTAAGCTGAGATCATGCCACTGCCCTCCAGCCTGGGCAACAGAACGAGACTCCATCTCAGAAAATAAAAAAAAAAGAAATGCTGGTATGTCCAAGTCTGTGTTCACTCTTATGTTCATGGTTGTTTTACAAAAGCTGTATTTAGCAAGCACTCAATGACAAGTTATGCCAGCACTGTGCTTGGCATAACTTGGATATATAGGTGAATGAGGCAGCCATACAGAGAAATATGACAAGAGTATGTTTTAAATGCCCCAAAGAAGGTTTATGGAAGGTGCTACAGGAATGTGGAGCTGGGAAAATAACCATCATTTATATAGTGCTTTATATGCTGTCTCTTGCTTTTATATTTGCCCCCATTGTATTGTCTTTCTCTCTCACCTTTCCTCCACGTCTCCTCCCCTCTCCGGAATTTCAGGATTTGGATGCATGTGTACATTTAAGATTTGTTCTAAATACTTGAAAGCACGCTTGCTTGTTAGTTACCTGTCCAAAGCCTGTTGACTGCTGGGCCCCAGAGGAACACTAGCATGTGCCCTTGCCCCGCCTGTTTCTTTGTATACAAACAGTATACAAAACATAGAGAAGAGAACTGACAGATATTTAGATCTATGGGCTTTTATAGAAAATAAGAATTACTTTTCTTCTGTAAGGTCAGTGTTTACACCTTGTCTGCTTGCTCCATACTCCTCTAGAGACTAAAACACCTCATTGCTTCTCAGAATCATTTCTGAAACTGAGGCTAGAAATTACAACAGAGACTCTCTTCTCACCTCTTCACCAGCATCCCTTGCCTCTTAAAGTCACTGAAAGAATATCCCCCCTCCCCCATGGAGGGGTCATAACACTTTTTTGTCTGTCTATTCCAGGAAGCTCGAGTGCTTTACAACGCTTTACCCAGCATCCCTGGGGGCAGGATCGGTGCATGTAGATGTTTACTGTGCCAACCCCTTAAAAGGCCTTCTCTTAGCTTAGACCCTCATCTAACCCAGACTAATAATAAAAAGTCCCCAATAACTTTGCTGTTATAGATCTTACAGTGCTCAGAGATTGGCCCTTTAATATCCATGGTTGGCAAACATTTCTGTAGAGGGATTGTAGGTTATTTTGACTCTCCTTGTAAGTGCCAGTTTGTCTTAAGTGGCCTCAATCAAGGAAACAAGTAGTTCGGCTGCTTCCTCTTTATGGCATCCTTTTGATGAAGCACCACTTACTTTACTTTGCATATTAGGGTCCCAGGATACATGGGTACATGTATTTTTAATCTATCAATCATTTCATATAACGTTAAGTAGAACTGATTTAGGAAATTGCAGAAGTTTCATAAAAAGATACTCTACTAAAAAGCTTTAAGAGAGCTATTGATTCCCAAAAATAGTTGATTGGGCCATAGCATCAGGTGTGCTGATGCAGAACCACATCGTTGTGATTTATTTCTGCTGTCTTTGTGAGGGGATGGAGGACACAGGCTTCTGGAAGAACATGTTTATAAGTCTTCCTTCTCCCAGATGGCGCTTCCAGCTAAGGTCCTGCAGAGTTGCATTCTGCCACCCTTCCTGGAGCCTGAGAGATGGGCGAGGAGTGCAGGTGGTGGTGTTAGGTGGTGGCATGTCAAGGAGGCAGGCAGGAAAAGGCAGACTGATTTTTGGTAGCATTAGTCTTTCTTCTGTCCTTCTCTGCTTTTCTTTATTCTGAATTTTAAGATTTGGATGCATGTGTACATTTAAGATTTGTTCTAAATACACGAAAGCACGCCTGCTTGTTAGAAGGACATATTTGAGGGAACTAAGTGGTGTTCGGAGGCACAGTGACGATTCGAGAGATTCTGGAGGACGCATGTTGGGTGTTGGTGGTTTTCCAGTTGGTATCATAGTGTCATATTCTCTTCAATTGTAGGTTTAGCTCTTTGGGACCCAAAAAGACAAGATTAGTCAGGATAGTGACATGCACTTGGCATGCTGTGGCTTCTGTTGAGGAAAAAGTGACCCAAATTTGAACATCCAACTTCAATTCTTAGTAATTGGCAATGGCTCCTTGCATCTCTTTCTGCTTGACTATAAAACTATAAAATGCTGCTATTAACTTTGAAGGCTGCCACTTACAAGGCTAGGTGAACAGACTTTTATATTAACAACTCAGATTAACCCTGGGAAGCATCTGTGCTCCCTAACGGAGAAGTTGCTTTCACGTTTTTCACGGTCAACCTGGGTGGCCCTCACCATCAGGAGTGTGGAATCTCAAGAGTAACAGCACAAAGGGGTGGCAACTTGAACCCCTGGGTTCTAGTCCCAGGTCAGCTGCTAACTGCTGTATGAACTCAAGGAAGTCATCCAATGGGATCATCTTTTGACAAAAGAATCAGGCCATTAATCACCAAGGTCTTTTCCACCTCTGAATTCTGTGATCTCTACTCTTGTAGGTTTCCTCCCTAATAATTTCTGTAGGTCTGCTTTTTGAACTATTTCCCTTATTTATCCTTTCCTTAAAATCAGGTTTGTTCTCATTCTTCTGGTCCCACCCACATCCACATGGCTGTTAAAGAACACAGTGAATTGATGCAGAAAGATGTCCCAGATATAGGCCGGGCGTGGTGGCTCATGCCTGTGATCCCAGCACTTTGGGAGGCCGAGGCAGATGGATCATTTGAGGGCAGGGGTTCAAGACCAGCCTGACCAATATGGTGAAACCCTGTCTCTACTAAAAATACAAAAAATTAGCTGGGCGTGGTGGTGTGCACTTGTAGTCCCAGCTACTCGGGAAGCTGAGACAGGAGAATTGCTTGAACCTGGGAGGTGGAGGTTGTAGTGAGCTGAGATTGACAGAGCGAGACTCCATCTCAAAAGAAAGAAAGAAAGAAAGAGAGAGAGAGAGAGAGAGAGAAAGGAAAGGAAAGAAAGAAAGAAAGAAAGAAAGAAAGAAAGAAAGAAAGAAAGAAAGAAAGATGTCCTAGATATATTGTTGAGTGAAAAAATATACTAACAGAGAGGCATGCCTGGTATGACCTATTTCTGAAATGAGAATGATAATAGTATCAGTATAGGCCTGCATCGTTAATTTGAAGCAGTTTAAGTCAGATGTGTTTCTGAATTCAGGATTTTTTCAGTTTTACATAGGACAATGTATTAAATACATTTACTATTAAATAACACCTCCAGTGGGGGCTGGGGTGGCATCTGTAATCAAAAACATTAATACTTCTGTGGCAAAACATGGATATTCACACTAAGTGGGGTAAATAAAGATTACACATTGCCTTATGTCAGTTCAGGTAAGATTTTGACAACAAATGTTACAAAATTTGTTTGGGTTTTGAAACTTTTTGAATATTGGGATTGTAGATAAGAGATCGTGGTGGACCTGTATAGCCAAAGTGGGGAAAAATCTGGAAAATGAAGCATCGAGCACTTAGCAATACTTTTCTTGAGTGGAGAAGTAGGGTGGAATTATGGGGGACTTTCATTTCCCAAGTTATATTCTTTACTAGTAAGCATGTATAATTTTATAATCAGAAAAAATGATTAAAGATACTTATGAGATATAAAGATTTACATAAAGTAGCTGGAAACATTTAACCAATCTGTAGCTGTTTGAGACTTATTTATATTAGGACAACTAAGACTTGTTTTCTCAATTTTTCAAACTTTTGTAATGTGATTATATTTCATACACACTTAAAATTTTTTGTAGGTGATAGTATTGGGAAAAACGAAAAGGAATATGTGATCGTAATTAAAATGTCAGTGGATAAAAATAAGGCCCTTGGAGTACCCTGTGGGAAATCAGGAGCCACTTCCTCCTGGATGCTTTATGTAGCACATTATACTGACCTATTAAATAATGAGAATCAGGCTGGGCATGGTGGCTCATACCTGTAACCCCAGCACTTTGGGAGGCTGAGGTGGGAGGATCACATGAGGCCAGGAGTTTGGGACCAGCATGGACAACATAGCAAGACCCCATCGCTACAAAAAAAATAAAAATATAAATTAGCCAGGCATGGTGGCACATGACTGTGGTCCTAGCTACATGGGACACTGAGACAGGAGGACTGCTTGAGCCCAGGAGTTTATGGTTACAGTGGGCTATGATTGCACCGCTACACTCCAGCAGGAGCAACAGAGTGAGACCCTACCTCTGAAAAAATAATAATAAGAAGAATCACATGGATGAAGCAAATGATGATAACCAAAATATAATGTATGGGAGATCACTTTATAAAGATGTAAGGCTATACAATAATTTAACGTGTTTTTGAAGTAACATTGCAATTCCTAAGGGGACCAAAATGAATGGTTGGTCTTAATGGGCTTTGTCTGAAAATTGACTGGAACAATTGCTTCCAAACAGAAGATACTTGGAATTTCATATATGGAATATAGATGAGATGGTTGGCATTTGACCATTTAATTTTATCAGTCAATATAAAATGATCTATATTATTCTTAATTTTCACACTTTTCCATATTTCTAATCCTAATATACTCATTTGTTGCCTTTTCCCACTTAATTGTATAATTGCAGTTCCCATGTTGCTTATAATAGCTGCATAATATTTCAGTCACTGGTTTACATAATTTACCATCTTCTTATTGCTGTTTCTATTTGTGTGTGTGTGTGTGTGTGTGTGTGTGTGTGTGTTACAAATAACACTTCCGTACCTATAGCTGTTTCTTTTTCTTTTCCTTTTTTTCCCCCTATATTTAGGGGTTGTTTTCTTAGGGAATATTTTTTTCTGAATGCGTGAGGAACTTAAAGTTTATTCTATAAGCATTTATTCAGCATCTACTGTGTACAGGGCCCTGGAGATACAGAGATGAATTTTAGAACCTGTGCACAAGCTGTCTCCATTTCCTGGACTCTCTTCCTCCCTCTCCCTTCACCTGACGAATTCTCCATTTAAATCCCACTTTGCCAATGAGGCCTTTATGTATTCCCCAGAGTATTTTAGGCTTTTCTGTACTTTTTCTTCTCATTTAGTCACAGTTATATTGTGTACATCTCAGAATAACTAAGATTACTTCATTTTTGCCTTCCTCATTAGACTATTAAACAGTAAACTCTGAGAACAGGTTTTATGTCTGATTTATTTTCCTTGGTACCCTCAGTACCTGGGACATTATGTCTGGCATATACCAGGCACAGAAATTCAAATGAGTACTTGCATAAATGAATTAGATGAACAAATATTTGAATATGATTCTTGCCTTGAGAAATTTAGATTAGAACTGAAAAATGGATTCAATGGATAATTTCGATGATGTGTAAGTGCTTTATAGAAAATAGAAAATAAACCTTTTCCTAGCTATTATCTTTTCCTCCTTTACAGTGAATCCCTTGGAAGAGGATTCAATTCCAGCAAGTCATTTAATGTCTTACTTTTGCCCATACTCTGCAGCAGAAATGGGCTTGTCTTATTTTCTGCTAAAACTGTTGCTTTTCTATGCAAATCCTACTTTATTTCTCATTGCACTGAACACCATTATCATTCACCTTTTTCACTTCTTTTTGACATGTTGGTTATCTTTGTTTTTTTTTTCTTATTATTAAAAATCCTGTTTCTTCAGCATCCCCTTTTTCCTGGTCTTATCTGATAGCTGTACCTATTCTGCTGTTTATGACCTTTTAAAAACTGTTAGCTCCTTGAGGGAAGGGATAGTGTGATCTTTTGGTAGGAGACTTTAAAAGATCCACTTTCTTATATTTTAGTGTATCCCTTGGGTCAAATGGAGGATTTTTTTTTAAAGGATGATCATCAAATAAATATTTTAAGTAATTTGACCAAAATTTATCTTCTTACCTTTTTACTAAAAATATACACTAAATAATTTTAAGGGAAGATTTTATAGTCTCATATTCAACATGGAAATTTCTTGATTAGTATTGCCCTGACTTTATTGGTTGCTTCACGGGTGGCTTCTGAATTCATTTCTTGGAATGTTACTATTCAGGGCCAACTTTGTTAGTATTGCTACGTTGTGATTTAATTTTTTGCCACTTACACATTCTAGCCAGTCTGGAAGATCTCCACCAAAACACCTGTATAGTTCAGTCTGAATTTAGAAGTGTCACTTGCAAGAGAGGCAGCAACGTCAGGCCCGTGAGACTCAAGAGAAGTCTCTTTCCATGATAGATCTTCTTATACTTGGTAGAAACTGGCAAGTGACTCACCAGGGGTGGAAGCCTGGAAAACAGCCTGCCGAGGAGGGTAGTCTTTCTGGTAACACATCGCCACCCCTTTGAAGCATCCAGAGAACCGGAAGAGCAGGAACTGCCTGTCAGACTGACTGAGCGCTTGGCATTCTTTCATGGAAAGATGACAACTCATCCAGGGTGAAAGAGGAAGTGGAGGGGGGTGGCAGGGAACAGGAGGGTGACCTTACATTTCCATTGTTTTGCAGGCTGCCTGGTCGAGTGCAGTGGGTTGTTTGGGGGTTGGGAGGAATTGGAATCATGTACTTCTATTGTTGCTGTCCAAAGTGGATGTCCTGTGCTGTGTTGCCAAGGAGGGGAGCTTGTACCCATTTTATCCTTGTGCTCCTTCGTAATCCAGATGGTTTGTGATCTGATATTTCTTTCGTGCTTAGCCCTGGACTCTATCGGTTAGAATCCTAGTATCATTTTAAGAACTGGGATTCTCCTATGCCAAATTTCTGTGAAATCTGAGAGCCAACAGACCGACATATTTTTCCGGGCTATCTCTGGCTTTGACAATGGCATATTTTGAGTGTCAGTTGATTTTTGTCTCAGTTTATTGGCTTAAGTAGTAAGAGTCAAGGGATTGAACTGCAGCAGTAGTGTTATTTTGATAATTTATTAAGTGTTGTCTTGGGAGATCTTGGGGGGAAAAAGAGTTTAGTTTAGTTCTTTCTTATAGGAAATTTTGTTTTGTTTTGTTTTTGAGATGGAGTCTCCTTCTGTCACCCAGGCTGGAGTGTGGTGGCATGATCTCAGCTCACTGAAACCTCTGCCTCCCAGGTTCAAACGATTCTCCTGCCTCAGCCTCCCAAGTAGGTGGGATGACAGGCACCTACCACCACGCCTGGCTAATTTTTGTATTTTTAGTTGAGACAGGGTTTCGCCATGTTGGCCAGGCTTGTCTCGAACTCCTGACTTCAGGTGATCTGCCCGCCTCAGCCTCCCAAAGTGCTGGGATTATAGGCATGAGCCACCACACCTGGCCTTATTTAGTTCTTTCTTACTATGGCTAGAACCCTCCCAAGAGTAAAATAAAGACTTCAGTGGACAACCAGTGGTGAGTTCACTTTCTAGAGAATGGCAAGTCATCGGAACACTGGTCAGTACTCCCAATTCTATGGCATATCTGCACATCTGCCATCTTTGGTCAGCAACCCTCCAGGACTGCCTTCTTCACACCTGTGCGTGAACTTCCAAGCTATACTGGGCAGGTTGGTGCTGCCCGTTTCTCCCATGCTATTTAACGATTACTCCATGCAGTTACTGTTCTTCTTAAGGCCTCTCCACCCGCCTCACTCTTTTAACATATGACTTTGTATCTGACTTTACTAAGCAACTTGAAACTTCTTAGAATGAGCTCCTCCATTTCCTGTCCTGATGCCTGCAAACTTATGTGTAGTCACAGTTATCTTCATCTGGTTTTCTCCAGGGGTATCCCATCTGCTCCTGCATCCTCCTAGGCCTTGCTCTGTTAGTCATTGTCCCTCCCTCTCTTTCTAATTTTCAGCCACATTTATTTACTGTCTGTTTCTCCCTCCAATGTGTTACTGTCTCTTTCTCCTTGGCTGTCAAATGTTCTCTGCGTTTTCCATTTTTGTGCTTCTCGTACCTACTAATGACTTACCTATTTGTCAACTCCAGTGGACACGCTATAGTCCTTATCTTTCTGGAGCTTCTTCTTGTATTTAACCCAACACATCCACTCTCTTCTCTAGAAGAGTTTTTAGCTTCTGCAACCGTCCATGCTTCTGTTCTCTTGCTGCCTCTATGTCTTGTATCTCCTTGGTGGGCTTCTCTTCCTTTGCCCACCTGTTACTGTTGGAGTTTAGTTCTGGGAGTGTTGCTTTTCTCTCCTCATATATACTCTGGCCTTGGGACTTCATCTGCTCTCTAGGTTTTCACTCTCTGTGTGCCAGTGATTCCCATGTCTCTGCCTTGCACTGCCTGGTGACCAGATTCTGCTGGTTGTCATGTGAGTATCTGAAAGCCTCCTTAAATTTTCCAGGAGCTGAATGCATGACCATTTCTCCTAAACCTCCCCTTCTTTTCTGAATTTAGAGACCATATTATATATGGTGGTTAAGATTGGGGCTCTGGAATCAGATTTGGATTTGAATTGGGGCTCTGATACTTCCTGGATGTTTGAGCTTGAACAAGTCACTTAATTCCCTGACCCTCAGTGTCTTTCTTTTTAAAATGGGGATAAAAATACTATCCATCTCAGAAATTCTTATGAGGTAGATTGTAATGCATTTGTACAGTGCCTGGCTCAGAATAAGACTGGAATAAATGTTAGCTGCTGCTGTTCTCTTTCAGTTTCCCTCATCCACGGAGACATCCAAGCCAGAAACCTGGGAGTCATCTCTAATGCCATTTTCCTTTAGCTCCTTAATGCCTGTTTTCTTTAGCTTCCATACATAGCCAGTTACCCAGTGTGGCTGATTTCTAATCACTGTTTACTTCTTCCTTCTGGACATTTCTGAGTTTTCCTTTCTCTTGATTCCCATTACCACTACCTGTGTGAGGCCTTTATCCTTACTTTCCAAGATGAAGCCACAGCCTCCTGCCTCCTTTATGTTCCTGTGATCCTCCCTCCAGTGTGTTACCAGGCTGCCTCTCTGTGTCTAACAGGGTTTCCACCCTGGTTGAAGCCCTCTTGTGATGCTCCATTATATGCAAATCAAAGGCCAATCTCCTTAGCATGGTATTCCTGGGTGTCCTCCTGGCCCTTGGTGGCATTCTAGCCTCCCTTTTACCACTTCCTGATTCCGGCTTCATCCTTGAGCAACACAGTCTTGCTGTGTTCCCTGTGCAGGCCCTGCTCTTTAGGCTCTTTCCCACCTTTGTTAGCGACACTGCTTGGAATGCTCCCTTCCCTGCTTTTGACTTAGTAACTCCTCATCCTGAGGACTCAGCTCAGCTATCACCTCCTCCAGGAAGCCTTCTCTGACCCTTCCAGGATAAGTTAGGTAATCTTCCATAGAGTCCTGTCATTCTCTGTGCCCATGATGCACTTACCACGTTGGATCATAATCTATTTATGTGTCTTTCCTCCCAGCCTCAGTCCTGAAGGGCAGAAACCATGTGTCATTCCACCTCATATTTTTGTGCCTAGCTGGATGCTTGACATGTAGTAAGTGCTCATGAAATGTTTGTTCATTGAATAACTGAATTCAAGAACCAGTAGACCTCTGGATGACCCTGGTTTCCTGTTTCTGTGGACCACAATGCTCTGGGGCAGTGCTGCGTATCAGAGGTTCAAGCCATGGCTGGAGCAGCCACCCCTGAAGTAGACACCCTAATATCCTTCCCACTGAGTTCCTAGTTCTACATGCTGGAGTGAGGCTGTCAACTCTGAAGTGTCAGAGTGTGTCTGAAAATGATTGCTGTGAAAAATAAAATATTTCACATTGCAGGCCTCATTTTTAAGTTATTTTTCCCAGAGAACATTTTCATATTTTAGAACTTATGGTAATGTTAACACTTTCTATTTGCATAAGCACTTCCCTGTTGGGAGATACTGCAGGTGTAAGTTTTTCTGAGGAGTGTCATACCACCATGGAACTATTTTCCATCGATCTGGAGATAGGGAACTTCTTGTATACTCTGAGAGAGAACTTCTTTGAGATGTAAACTAGACTGACCTACTTTAGAGGCTGCCTGTATCCTAATTTTCTATTTTAAAAGAGTGATGGCTGAACACTGAAAAGCTCGGGACATTTTAGAACTGTGCTGCCCAATATGGTGGCCACTAGCCATATGTGGCTATTTAAGTTTAAATTGAATTAAAATAAAATGAAGTGGAAAAAATTAAGTTCATCAATTATATTAGCCACATGTAACTGATGACTAGTGGCTACCTACCATATATAGAACATTTCTATTATTGCACATTATTCTACTGGACAATGCTGTTTTAGGATGTAGAAGTCCTGATGGATAATATCAAAGCCACCTTACCACAGACAGAGTTTTACAGAGCTGTGAAGTAATTCTTACTGGGAACACCAGATACTTACTTACCATTTTATATAGCGTATGTGGCATTCTCTCATCTTATCATTAGAGCATGCCTGTATCTTTAGCGACAATAGCATTCAAACACCAAATGTTATATTGTCTGTCTGGAAATGTTTTCTTATACAACTCAAAGGGGAAGAGAGGAATATGTCGTGAGTAAATGGAATTATTTTTCTCTGCACCACATCATTATAAAAACTCGAAGAGGTTGGGTGCAGTGGCTCACGCCCATGATCCCAGCACTTTGGGAGGCCAAGGCAGGTGGATCACTTGAGGTCAGGAGATCAAGACCAGCCTGGCCAACATGGTGAAATGCTGTCTCTACTAAAAATATAAAAATTAGACGGGCATGGTGGTGGGCGCCTGTAATCCCAGCTACTCGGGAGGCTGAGCCATGAGAATCATTTGAACATGGGAGGCGGAGGTTGCAGGGAGCCGAAGTCGCGCCACTGCACTCCAGCCTGGGTGTCAGAGTGAGACTCCATCTCAAAAAAAAAGAAAAAAGAAAAAAGAAAAACTCGAAGAGGCTAAAACGTATCCTGGAACTAAATATTTACATTTCTTAAAGCCATGTGTGTTTTCTTTGGATGAAAGGATAACAAATGATTTGTATCGTTGGATAATATAAAAACACTTCAAAAAGTTAAAATTGAAAGAAAGGCAGGATCTTCTACTTTTCTTTATTTTCCTCCCCAGTTACCCAACCCACTTGGCTTCCAGGAGCCTGAGAAGTTGAAGAAGTAAACAGAGGTTTAGTTCAGCTGTTAACCATGCTAGGAAGTTCTAGCTATCTGGTAATACCATGGAACTCACCAGAATCTTTCATCATGGACCAGCTGCTTTTTACACTTGGATACCAGTACCCTAGATGGTGGGAGAGACTGGAAGGATCGTTCAGGTCAGGGGTGATGGACTTCTGCAGTCCCTCTCACATACACTGTTCAAGTTACCTACAGTAGCTACGCACGGAAAGTAGGGTGTGAGTCATTCCATGATTGACAACCCCAGTGGACCACAGGTGACTCCCACCTGGGTGGCTTCGGGAACTCAGTTCAGAGGCTGCAGCAGGTGGGATATTTTTTGGATTATGGAGAGCTGTTTGATTTCACATCAGTGGGTTCTTCCCTCAACCTTGTTCAGATCAGTGCCTGAGTAAGTTCTAATATATTAACCTTTTCTGAGAGAAGAGATGTGAGGATGAGGGTGGAGGGTGTGAATCTTGTTTTTTCACCATCCTGTTACTCTTCTGCATGCGGTGTCCCCTTACTGAGGAACAGAATAGAGGAGCTGTAAGTTGGGGTATAGTGTGGCAAGGTTTGTGAGAGACTTAAGAACAAAGGGTGTTTATCATAGGTAATTATCACAGTGTTGTTAGAGTGTAGGCAGAGCAGCTTTCTAACCAACATTACAAGTTTATTTTGCTAGTGAAACCTTTTATTTACCAATGAAGCATTAGAATTTCAGAGAGTTAATTGTTTGTGAACTTTGTTCATGGTCTTTCTGAAACTTTCAACTCTCTGTTTAGTTACAATAAGGCTCATTTTATAGCCTTTATTGTCCTCTTTTGAGAAGAGGCAGTATAGGTAGATAGGAACATGGGCTTGGGATCAGATAGACTGGGAATAGAAATCCATGCCTGACGCTTGGACAAATTGTTTAAACTTCTGAATGTTAATTTCTTAACCAGTAAAATGGGAATAATAATGCTTACCTTACAGGCAAGGGGACAATTTCTTTGTGTGGAATAAAAAAAGGAAGGTAAGCTGACTCATTTTCAGAAAGATCTTTAAAAATTAATAAACATGCCATATTCCTTAATCTTATTTATGATTACATTTGGTTTATTTAAGTTTTACCATGCATATCTACTTAGTGTTATCAAACTATAAGGAGGAAGGGCTCTTGGTAAAATCAGTGAGATAATCTCAGAGTCTGTGCTCTTAGGAAATTAATAAAAAAATTAAATCTGATAAAAAAGATCTGTTTTAATAGCAAATTCCTTTTTAAGACTAATTGCTGTATTATCTAAAAGGAAACAAGCTGAGTGCAGTGGCCCATGCCTGTAATCCAAACACTTCGGGAGGCTGAAGCGGGAGGATTGCTTGAGCTCAGGAGTCTGAGACCACCCTGGTCATCATAGCGATATTTCATCTCTATGTTTTTATGTTAAAAAAATAGCTAAGTGTGGTGCTATGTACCTGTAGTCCCAGCTACTTGGGAGGCAGAAGAGGGAGGATAGCTTTGAGCCCAGGAATTCGAGGTTACAGTGAGCCAAGATTACATCACTGCATTCCAGACTGGGCGACAGAGTGGCATCTTGTCTTAAAAAAAAAAAAAAAAAAAGGAAACAAGGGGCCAAGGGAAATGGGGAGACTAGGAAATTCAAAGGATTATTTATTGGCAAACAGCAAAACCCTTGATTATTTGAATGTTTTGCTATTTTGAGTAATGTTATTTACTGATTACAGTGCAGTCTGAGTAATAACAAATCCATCATCCAGAGAGTTTTTGAGGCTAGACCACTCAGTTTTGACTGTTCACATACATTATTACATATTTGTAAAAGTTGAGTTTCATGTGACTGACACAGAAGAGGTGGAGTAATCAAATGTTCCTCTCTAGGATACTATGCAGTGATCATAAGGAAAGGAAATGAAGGTTCCCTTTTCCCTAATGCCTATATTGCTCAGGCCAGCACTCCTGAAGATGCTTGTTCTGTTGAAGCTCCATAATGTGTCGATGACCCTCTTTGCATCTGAGGCTGGGTTAATCCCCAGAGGTACAAAGACAAGTCAGGGATGGCATCTGTCTTGGAGATGAGGTTATCCTGAAGGGGATGTGGACATTGGCACAGGGGATACCAGTATCAAATGATTGGTGTTGAACAGGGAGCTGGGAGATCATAGAAAACAGCCTCTTCCCTCATGTGAGAAGAAGGGAGGTTAGGGCAAGACTTCCTGGAGAAGTCGCCTAGACGGAGTCTTGAACAATGGGTAGGACTTAGATGATGAACGGGTGAGAGAGAAGGAGGAAGGCATTGTAGGCTAAGGGAACAGCATGAGTGTCAGTGCATTAAACAGTCTGTGTATGCTTGCAAGGGCAAGCCTTTCCATGTCAATAGCATATAAAGCATAAGGGTGGGAATCAAGGACTATAAAGGGGTAGTTGGGGGCCCAGCCATGAAAAGCCAAGTATACTCTATGAAGGCTTAGAGCATATGCTTCTAGCTGATGGGGAACTGTTGAAAAATTTTAAGCAGGGGTGTAAATGGCCAGATTTTCCTGGTTTGCTATGGCAGCTCATTGAGTCATAGATTTGTGGCTGGATAGCAGGAACCGATCATGATAGGCTCAATGTGAGATGATGAATATGTGTAAGAAAGCAGTGAAAGTCAGGGCTGGAGAGGAGAAGATGGGTTTGAGAAGTACACAAGATTTGGAGTTGATACAATTTTGATCAACTGGCTACGGGGAGTGGATGAGATGGAAGAGACCAGAATGACACTTGAAGTTCTGGTGGCCATTTTGAACCTGGGGAATATAGGAGGAAGAATGGGTATGTAGGGGCCAAGGTAATATACTGATTTTAAAAAGTGTCCATCTGGCAATTGAATGTGAGTCTGACGCTCTGGGAAGATGGCGTCTGGAGATGGGAATCTGGGAGCCATCACCTAGAGGTGGTAGTTAGAGCCATGTGAGTAGGTTGGTGCCCAAAGAGAACTCTGAGGATGAAGAAGGCAACGGGCAGGGGATGGAGTCCAAGGGAACACCAGACAGAAGTGGAGGGATGGAGGGAAGAGGAAATTTCTAGAAAAGACTCAGAAGAATGGGTCTGGAGGTAGAATCTGTGGTGTCACAGAAGCTGGGGCAGGGGACAGTTTTATTTTTAATAAAAATTTTTTACATATATATGTAAAAATATGTAAATATATAAAATTTTATATATATACGTGTGCATGTGTGTGTATATGTGTGTGTGTATATATATATTTGTGTGTATATATATATTTGTATATATATAATATATATATATATATTTGTGTGTATATATATAAATAAATTGCCCAGGCTGGTTTTGAACTCCTGGCCTCAGGCGATCCTCCTGCCTTGGCCTCCCAAAGTGCTGGGATTATAGGTGTGAACTACCATGCCTGGCCTGGAGACACTTTTAGGAGATTTATAGCTGAGATAGCTAACCCAAGTCACCCTTAGTATTTGATGAAGTAGCAGGCAAGATAGAATGGGATTGGGAACTTGAAGAGAATGGAGACTGTTTGGAATATCCCAGTCACTGAAGGAAATGGGAGATGAGATGATTGAGGAAAAGTAAAAGAAGTGTGAAGAGATGCTGAGGCTCAGCTGAGATTAGAAACTGAATTTACAGTGGCCCAAGTGTGTGTGGCTCCCCAGCCTGTGTGTCAGAGGCAGCAGATACTGAGACTGGTCCAGGGTGGATTTTTACCAGTCAGATGTGGCAGAAAGAAGGTGTGAGGACGTGTGTATGTGTTTGCAGGGGGTGCTTTTAAGAATAGGAATGGCCAGGTGTGGTGGTTCACACCTGTAATCCTAGCACTTTGGGAGGCTGTGGCTGGTGAATTGCTGGAGCCTCAGGAGTTCGAGAGACCAGCCTGGGCAACATGGTGAAACCCCATCTCTACCAAAAAGTACAAAAACTTAGCCAGGTATGGTGGTGTGTGCCTGTAGTCCCAGGTACTAGGGAGGCTGAAGTGGGAGGATCACCTGAGCCCAGGGAGGTCCAGGCTGCAGTGAGCCATGATTGCACCATTGCGCTCCAGCTCGGGCAACAGGGTGAGACCCTGTCTCAAAAAACAATTAAAAATAAAAATAAGGAACAGGAAGGAGTGTGGCTAGGAGGGACCTAAGAGGATAGAAGGAAGCAGTTCGTAGACCTGGATGGCTTGTATGGTTAAAAAGCAGATGTAATAGAAGGGCAGGAGGCGGTAGGGTGATGTAGTCTCCAAGGTAGAGCAGTTTGAGGGAGTGGCCATGGGAATGGCTGAGAGAAGTGGCCTGGAAGTGAAGGCCAGTGAGGTAGAGGATAGCCCACAGGGAAACCTTTGTAGAAATGGGACTTTTATTCCACTTGTAAGATTCACACTGAATTATAGCATTGGATGTGTAGAATAAGAAACTTCATTTTGGTGTTTGAGAACACAGTAGATAGGTGTGTGTCCTAAATGTTTTGAGCCATATGCAGGGGCAGGTATAGGATAGTGTATCTGAAGATGCTGTTGGGATTCTATTGTCATTTATTTATGATGTGGTAAAAAGTCTGACTTTGTGTCTCTTTAAAGGAAAGTTTTGACAATGAATATAACTTATAATAATACTTTTATGTATTTACACTTTTCAAAGTCATTTCATAATGTTTGCTATTCAGTTTAGTTTAGTGGCTCTGGGTAATCTATTTAAAGTCCATTTTCAGTTTGTTAGTTTCTGTAGACTACAAGTGTAGAGGGAAAATGTATTTCACGTATTTCACTGGGTAAGAGAATGGATTATTAGCAAGAACTTAAATCTAAAATTTAAGCAGTTTCTAGTGCTGAGGGACACGATAGATTTATGCTGAATTGTATATTTCTGTATTTGATTTTTTTTTAAACTGCAGGCATCTGTGTCTTCCAAGGTGAGAAAAAACGTTAAAACATATCATGTATTTTCTGGCCTCCTACTATGTACCAGGTGGTATGAGGACATAAAGAGGCAGAAGATACGATTCTTGCCCCTAGATAGCTTCACATTTAGCTGAAGAAACAAGACATAAACACAGGAAAAGTTAGCTAATCATGCAGGGTTTAAATAGCAAGGCATGACATGACTAATGGGGAGATGCATTGTTTAGGCAGTAATTCCTACAGGAGTTCAGAAGAAAGAGATTATTTTAGGCTGTGACAGTAAAGGAAGGGTGTAAAGACTTAAAAGGAGAAAAGAGAAAAGGCTTATGTAGAGGAACTGAAACTTGGGAATGACTGAAGCCTTGTTCTACCACTTATGCCTTACCTTGTGCCTCAATTTCCCAATCTGTATAACATAATGATGATGTGTTACCTCCCAGACTGTCAGAAGATGAGACAGTGATTGCAGAAAAGCTCTTTGCAAATAATGCCTGGTCCCTCCATACTGTGTAGACAGTAAAAATCGTACACTTTTTGAAAGTCTTTGAAAATTTAGGTTACTAGGGTATAATTTCTGTCGTTCAAGTTTGCCAAGTAGGATTTTTTAAATTAGCATATTGCCAGAAGTTTGACTTTCTTCTTTTTCCCAGTAAGGAGAGATTTGTAAGACTCTGAAAAAATTTTAAGCAAGCAATTAGACACATTATTACTTTGGGAAAATTGCTTTTATGGCCAGGCATCCTTTTCTGTTTCTTTATTTCCTTGAGCAAAGATAATGATTGATAAGGAAGTAAAACTAGAAAGAAGCCAGATCCAAACTTAGAAGGAAAATATTTTGTCACGTATGGAAGTTCAGTGGAGGTTGCAGGTTGGCTGATGACCACTTTGGGTGAACCCAGCCTGACACTCAGCATTTTGGAGATGATAGTCTCAGAGTTCACAGGTTTCCTGTGTATAAGGAAATGGATGTCGGTCATTTCAACTGTACTGTTAATTGCTTTGGGAAAATGAGTGGTATTCATTAGGCAAGGAAGCTTGTAGCCAGCCCTGTAATTAATGTGAAACCTTTTCATACAGCCAGTGGCTCTTCAGCATCTCTGTACTTTATGTTTATGTGTATACTTAGGCTTGCTTCAGTGGCCAGAGGCTTCAAGGCATTCAGGGCTCTGGGGGCTCTTATTATAATGGTAATGAAAATTGGACCCTAGAACTTTGGACCTCCCCAGCCTTAAATCCACTGAGAGGAGCTCTCTGTCTAGGGATGTGGCTCCTTCTGCTGGCTTCTTCCCTTCTCTAAGATAGCAGTGAGATGCACTAAACATGAGATTTCTAAAACAAATACTTCGATGAGTAGGAAAGTCTGTTTTCCTGAATATATCCACTTTCCTACATATTCCATTGCTTGTGGAAGCAATGACCCAAGGGTTATATGCAGGACTTTTTCTTACTTTGGCAGACTGGAGACCCAGAGCTCAGAGAAGGCAGAAAGTGTGTTAAAGAACAATAGGAAAAGTGGTGAGAGACAGGCAGATGAAGGAAGCATGAACTACCATCACAGAGAAAGGGTAGAGTCAGCAGGTAATTCTCAAAGGGATGTGCATCTGCCCCTAACCCAATCTAAATGCCTGACTCAATGTCCTCAGAGGACACGAACCCTGGAAAACAAGTATGAGATGATACTACTCAGGTATTGCGTGTGTGTGTGTGTATGTGTGTGTGTGTGTGTGTGTGTGTCAGAGGTCAGCCCTGATGTAATTGCCACCGAGGTCACCGTGGATGAGGTCATTGTGGGTGAGGTTACAGTGCAAGAGCTGTCTTTTGGTGCTGTTCTGGTCTTGTGATTTCCCTATTTTCAGCACCCAGTAGGTAGGTGCTCAATAAATGTTTGTTGGAGGAATGGGTGCTGGGGCCAGCCCCCTAACTCTGGCCTCTGTTGGACGTTTTGTGACCTGGAATCATTCTAGAAGGAAAGAGACTGCCCAGAGTGGATTTGTGTCCTGCTTGTGACTTTCTTGGTAACAACTACAATGAATATGCTCCCCAGGCTCTTAATCTGGAGAACTCCTTTTTTTTTTTTTTTTTTTAAACAGTCTCGCTCTTTCACCCAGGCTGGAGTGCAGTGGCGCAATCTCGGCTCACTGCAAGCTCCGCCTCCCAGGTTCACGCCATTCTCCTGCCTCAGCCTTCCAAGTAGCTGGGACTACAGGAGCCCACCACCACGCCCGGCTAATTTTTTGTATTTTTAGTAGAGACGGGGTTTCACCTTGCTAACCAGGATGGTCTCGACCTCCTGACCTCGTGATCCGCCTGCCTTAGCCTCCCAAAGTGCTGGGATTACAGGCGTGAGCCACCGCGCCCAGCCTGGAGAGCTCTTGATCTGTAGGTGAATCTTAGTATGAGGGCCTTGGAGGAGCTTCCAAGTGTCTGAGAGCCTCATGAAATGGGATGCAAAGTTAGGAATTTCTAAGGAGAAAGTCAGAGGAGCCTCTGATTCCCAGCCGGCTGCTAAGCCCTTCCTTAACCAAGGTTCACCCTCCCATGTTGCCTGCTGGGCTGCCTTACAGCAGCCTCTAGTTCCAACATCTGCTGTAGATTTCTGACACTCACAGTCTACCCTTCACCTCTTCTCTGGCTATTACCAGTACTTCCTCACTATCCCTAGTCATGGGAAAAAAAAAAAAGAGAACCGTGTCCCCAAGATGATCTTGCCTTTGAGCCTTGTGTGTTTCCTGACAGGGAAAAGGCCCTGTACTGCCATGTCCTCCCCTCTGGCTGCTTCATGCCGGGTCTTCTGCCTAATACCTGACACAAGGAGACTCCTCCAGACTGAACTGCGAGGAAAGGCTTTACAGGCAGAACAGGCTCTGCAGAGTTGCTGCTCAGTAGGCCAGGGGTCAGCAGACTTCATGCTGTGTGCCTTAGGCCACATGAGTGATCCTCCTGTAGATATTTCCCATCAGTGAAAACAGAGCTGGCACTGATCACCTCCTCTCTTACAGACTGCGGAGCTAAAGTGGGCTGCTGGTTGGAATGTGCTGTGAAAGTTGGAATGTTTTTGCAAATTTTATTTTATTTTTTGAATTTGAAGTAGAAAGCTGTTTGATTATAAATGGTGACTTTTCCCTTCTAAAATCATTTAAAATTTTTGTACCCTTTGAAAATGACATTTAATTATAGGCACTCAAAGTGCAGTTGACAATTATTGTTATTTTTGGGGAATTGTTTAAAGGATGTTCATTCATGCATGCATTTTTTTCATTATTTACTTATTCAGAAAGATGTGGAAGTCTAATATGTGCCAGGCACTGGGAAACAGTGATCCTGCTGCTCATATTTCCATTCTACACCCAAGCTGTGTACTTGGTCATGTGGCTTGGATCTTTGTAAATCTCCTTTACCCTCTTTGCCCTGAAGAACGTTATTAGAACTTGGTATGCAAAATACACCATTGGCTGATTGTTGGAATACTTTTGAGCAGGTTTGTAACCACTTTCAGTGGATGCTGTGTGAAGACCCACTAAAGCAGTGGTTCTCAAGGTGTAGCTTGCATCAGTATCACCGGGAGGGTTTGTTAAAACAGCTTGCTGGACCCCCATGCCCAGATTCTGTTTCAGTCCCTGACTGCATTTCTAACAAGTTCCCAGGGGATACTTATGCTGCTGGTCTTGGGGATCACACTTTGAGAACCTCTGCATTAGAGACATTTCTTTAGACCTAAGGGCTTTGAAGTCTCTTCTCCTGAGAAATTGGTGTGGTTTCATTAGGGTTTATCGTGAACCTTGTTTGTGAACCTGGTTTTCTTTTTGTTTGCTTTGCTTCGCGTCAGAAATTCAGATTCAAATTTGTAGCTCAACTTTAAGAAAATTTTAACAGTTACATCTTAACTTTTCCCAGCCTTGATTTCCTATTTCATTTTCCCCATTCTGATTTTACATGTTTACACAATATAAGTTCCTGTATACTGACTGTTTTGTGGAATGTAGTATATATTGAGAAATATGATTGCAGTCAGTGTTCTTTTCTTGGACATTTGTCTTTCGAATCAACTCTAAAGTATTACATGTTTTGACTGTTTAATGCATTAGTTATGGGAGTAGATTCCCCAGAAGAATTATATTATTAATAGCAACTAACCAAAGGATTGGAAAGAAAAAATTGGGAAGAAAGTGACAGAAAGTTCTTGGTAAAAAACAGAACTTTATTTTTAAACTATTGATGCATAGATAGTATCTACAAGCAGTAATACATATGCATATATCTGTATGTTTATATGTGTATATATATGTGTGTATGTATGGTTTTTTATTTTTATTTTTATTTCTTTTTGAGACAGAGTCTTGCTCTGTCACCCAGGTTGGAGTGCAGTGGCGTGATCTCCGCCTCCCAGGTTCAAGCGATTCTCCTGTCTCAGCCTCCCAAGTAATTGGGATTACAGGCGCCCATCACCACACCTGGCTAATTTTTGTATTTTTAGTAGAGACAAGGTTTCACCATGTTGCTCAGGCTGCCTCGAACTCCTGACCTCAAGTGATCCGCCTGCCTCGGCCTCCCAAAGCGTTGGGATTACAGGCGTGAGCCACCGCACCCGGCCATGTGTGTTCTTTTAAAAACTGAGAACCCTAATACATAAACAATATACTTTCTTTGGTTGTTGGAGAAAAAGCGAAGGGATGAGGTGGTGATGAGAACAGTGAAGGCAAACTACAGTGGTTGCCCAACTTTACTGGAGTCACCTGGAGTTTGTTAAGTGCGATGCCAGTTTGCTAGGCCTGGGGGTGGGGCCTGCATTTGTAATAAGTGTATCAGGAAATTCTGACCCACGAGAGGTGGGAGAGGTTTAGCACTGGGTAGAAAAATGAAAGGCCCAATCTGTATTAAACCTGCTCCAAATCTTTGTATCCATTTTTGGATGAGGAGTTCCTGTTCAGATTTTCTGCAACTTTTCCTGAAATCAGAGTGTAATGGGCACAATATCATTCATATTAGTCAGTCTTAGCTCCAGAAAGTACTCATTATGTTAGATGTTCATTGGAAGTAGTTTGTAGCTGATTTTTTTCTCTTTCTTCGCTCTCTGTATTTCTGTCTTCTACTTCTGTTTTTAGTTGAAGAGAAGATACTTTACCAACAGCTTGTCTGAAAACAATTTGCAGATAGGAGTACTCATAGAAAACTCTTGGGGTTCTCACTGTGGGTCTTCTCCAGGGGTGTGGATAACACCAAACACTGCAGTATGGAAACTAGCGCAAAATGGGATGTGCTGTGACACTGGCCAGCTGGAGACAGTTGGGACAGGGGATGACTTAACGTTAACATGGGAATGTTACATACACAGTCTAGAAAGGCCAGATATTCTTTTGCACTGCTGCCTCTGGCTCTCTTTTCATCTATTTAGTGAATAACCAAATTTATCACCTGTAGTAATCAGTTACTAATTTAGAATTTAATTTCTTTAAGAGTTACCTGGATTTAGGGCTCAGTGAAGGCAGTTTTTATTTAAAAGCATTTTCTTGAATAAACATTTTAGAACAGTTTTAGTATTACAGAGAAACTGTGAAGATAGTGCAGAGAATTCCCATATACCCAACAGTCAGTTTTCTGTATTATTAATGTCTTAGGTTAGTATGCTACATTGTCACAGCTAATGAATCAATAATGATACATTATTACTAATTAAACTTCATAGTTTATCAGATTTCCTTAGATTTTACCTACTGTTCCATTTCTGTGTTAGGATCCCATTCAAGATACCACATCATGTTTATATGTCTGCTTAGGTTCTTCTAGTCTGTGACAGTTTCTCAGACTTTCCTTGGTTTTGGTGAGCTTGACAGCTTGACAAGTCCTCGTCAGGTATTTTATAGAATGTCCTTCAAATTGGGTTTGTCTAATGTTTTTCCTGTGGTTCAAGGGTTTTGGGAGGAAGACCACACAGGCAGGCATAGTACCACATTTCATTCCATCATGTCATATCAATTGCATAATTAGCTTTTACATGCATACATGCTATCAAAACGACCTATCACTGTTGATGTGAACCTTGATTGCATGGCTAAAATTATGTTTGTCAGATTTCTCACATAAAGTTCCTCTTCCCCTTCTTTCCATACTGTACTCTTGGGAAGGAAGTCACTGTACATAGCTCACACTTTAGTTGTGGAGAATTATGCTCTACCTCCCTGAGGGAGGTAGTATTTAGAGAAATTATTGGGAATTCCTCTGCTTGGGAGATTTGTCTATTCTCCCCCATTTATTTATTCTATCATTTATTTGTATCAGTATGGACTCATGCATATTTTATATTTTAGGTTATAATCTAATATCACATGATTGTGCTCCTCAAATTGTTTCAGATTTGGTTTTTGGGAGCTGTTTCAATAGGCTCCTGTGTCCCTTTGTGACATGCCACCCATCCTGGTGGGTTTTTGTTGTTGCATGTGTGCTTTTTAAAATCACATCCTTATTCTTTCTGGCACTAAAAGATGCCCCTGGCTCACTTTGTATATTCTTTGCCCCATCCCTAGAATCAGTTATTTCTCCAGGGACCCTGGTTCCTTTTGTTGGAGAATGGTTTTAGAAACCAAGTTCTGGGCACTGCGTGTCCTTGTTGCTACTGAGGTGTCATTGCTTTTAGGTCTGTTCAGCTGACGGAACAGAGAAATAGGTGTATACTCACCCTTGTATATACACATATCTGTAAATATTTCTATATGTATCCATCTGTATCTATATTAAGTTGAACATGAGTTCATGCTAATGTTTTCAACTCCGATACAGTGTTACAGACCTTTTTTTACTAGCCTTTCTCCCTTGTCTGCAAACTCCTGCTCTAACAGTGAAAAACTGGTTCCTACCACCCACCATCCATTTACTTACATGTATAGTGGTTTCAGAATTGTTAACTTGTATCCCTTATGAGAAAGAACTTTATTGGCTAGAGTTCAGTGGTTATGTGAAATTCGTTATGTAAAATTCATTTTGCCCTTAGATCTAGAGTCCATACTCATTTCTGAAGGTCCTTAAGCCAGCATCTTTTCCCTCACTTCTTTCAGTGAGGTTATTTCATGCATTTTGATACAGTTGATTCTCATGTCATAGTCTGCATTTCATATTCCACCCCAGGATCTCTTGATACCCTAACTTTTTAAATTGCATATATTCAAGTTCTGTGTGCTATAAAGTTCTATGGGTTTTAACAAATGCTTAGTGTTCTCTGTCTACCATTATAGTATCATAGAGAACAATTTCACTGCCCTAAAAAAAATTCTCTGATAGGCCTCAACTCATCATTTGGCTTAACAGTCCTGCTGAGAGAGTCCTGCCAGTTGCATCTGAGAGACAGTCCTGCCAGTTGCACCTGCTGAGAGAGTCCTTCAGTTGCATCTGAAACCAGTCTGGTTTTTAATTTTACCTGATGTTCAGAAAATGCTCTCAGGCTGTCACCGGGCTGAAGAACTAGTTGGGTTGTAGCTGTGGCTGTGAATCTGGTTCCCAAGAACTGGCTGTATTAGTCTGTTCTCACACTGCTATAAAGAACTACTTGAGACTGGGTAATCTATGAAGAAAGAGGTTTAATGGACTCACAGTTCCACAGGCTGTACAGAAGCATGACTGGGAGGCCTCAGGAAACTTATAATCATGGTGGAAGGCAAAGGGGAAGCAAGCAGCATGACGGAGCAGGGTAGAAAGAGAAAGGGAGAGTAAAGGGGAAAGTGCCACACACTTTCAACCAACCAGATGTCATGAGAACTCACTATCATGAGAACAGCAAGGGGGAAGTCTGCTTCCATGATTCAATAACTTCCCAGCAGCCCCTCCCCTGACAGGTGGAGTTACAATTTGAGATGAGTGGGGACACAGAGCCAGACCATATCATTCCGCCCCTGGCCCCTCCCAAATCTCATGTCCTTCTCAACCAATTATGCCCTTCCCAACAGTCCCCCAAAGTCTTCGTTTTTGTTTTTGTTTTTGAGACAGAGCATCAGTCTGTCACCCAGGCTGGAGTGCAGTGGTGTGATCTTGGCTCACTGAAACCTCTGCCTCGCAGGTTCAAGCAATTCTTCTGCCTCAGCCTCCTGAGTAGTTGGGACTACAGGCATGCGCCACCATGCCCAGCTAATTTTTTTGTATTTTTAGTAGAGATGGGATTTTGCCATGTTGGCCAGGCTGGTCGCAAACTTCTGACCTCAAGTGATCTGCCTGCCTTGGCCTCCCAAAGTGCTGGGATTACAGGCATGAGCCACCATGCTTGGCCTGTCCACCAAAGTATGAACTCATTGCAGCATTAATGAGTCCGCAATCCAAAGTCTCATCTGAGACAAAGGCAAGTCCCTTCCACCTATGAGCCTGTAAAATCAAAAACAAGTTAGTTACTTCTAAGATGCAATGGGGGTACAGGCATTGGGTAAATGCTCCCACTGCAAAAGGGAGAAATTGGCCAAAACAATGGGGCTACAGGCCCCATGCAAGTCCAAAACCCAGCAGGGTAGTCATTAAATCTTAAAGCTCCAAAGTAATCTCCTTTGACTCCATGTCTCACATCCAGGGCACACCGATGCAAGGGGTGGGCTCCGAATGTCTTGGGCAGTTCTACTCTGTGCCTATGCAGGGTACAGCCCCTGCGACTGCTTTCGTGGCGTTGAGTGCCTGTGGCTTTTCCAGGTGCAAGATGCAAGCTGTCAGTGGATCTACCATTCTGGGGTCTGGAGGACAATGTCTGTCTTCCCACAGCTCCACTAGGTAGTGCCCCAATGGGGACTCTGTGTGGGGGTTTCAGCCCCACATTTCCCCTTTGCAGTGCCCTCATAGAGGTTCACCATGAGGGCTCCATCCCTGCAGCAGACTTCTGCCTGGACGTCCAGATGTTTCCATACCTCTTCTGAAATCTAGGTGGAGGCTCCTAAACCTCAACTCTTGCCTTCTGTACACCCACAGGCCCAACACTATATAGAAGTTGCCAAGGCTTGAGGCTTGCACCCTCTGAAGCCACAGCCCGAGCTGTACATTGGCCCCTTTTAGCCATGGTTGAAGCTGGAGTGGCTGGGACACAGGATGTCAGGTCTCAAGGCTGTACAGAGCAGTGAGGGCCCTAGGCTTGGCCCCCAGAACAATTTTTCTCTTCTAGGCCTCCCAGTCTGTGATGAGAAGGGGTACTGTGAAGATCTTGGAAATGCCCTGGAGATCTTCCCATTATCTTGCCTATTAACATTTGGCTCCTTGTTGCTGATGCAAATTCCTGCAGCTGGCTTGAATTTCTCCCCAGAAAATGGGTTTTTCTTTTCTACTGCATGGTTGTACTGCAAATTTTCCAAACTTGTATGCTGTGCTTCCCTTTTAAATGTAAGTTCCAATTTCACACCATCCCTTTCTTCACTCATATGAGTGTACACTTTGAGAAACAGCCAGGCCACATCTTGAATGCTTTGCTGGTGAGGAATTTCTACTGCCAGTTACCCTAAATTATCTCTCTCAAGTTTAGAGTTCCACAGATCTCTAGGGCAGGGCCAAATGCCACCAGTCTCTTTGCTAAAACATAGGAAGAGTGACCTTTACTCCAGTCCAGTAAGTTCCTCAGTCTCCATCTGAGACCACCTCAGCTTGGACTTCATTGTCCATATCGCTATCAGCATTTTGGTCTCAACCATTGAACAAATACTAGGAAGTTACAAGCTTTCCCATATCTCCCTGTCTTCTGAGCCCTCCAAACTGTTCCAACCTCTACCTGTTACCCATTTCCAAAGTTGCTACCATACTTTTCAGATATCTTTATAGCAGTACCCCACTCTTGGTACCAATTTTCTGTATTAGTCTATTCTCACACTGTTATACAGAACTACGTGAGACTGGGTAATTCATGAAGAAAATAGGTTTAATTGACTCAGATTTCTGCAGGCTGTACAACAGCATGGCTAGGAGGTGAGGGGGAAGCAAGCACGTCTTATCATGGCAGAGCAGAGAGAGAGAGAGTGAAGGGGGAAGTGCCACACACTTTCAAACAACCAGATCTCGTGAGAACTCACTGACTATCATGAGAACAGCAAAGGGGAAGTCTGCCTCCATGATTCAGTCACCTCCCAGCAGGCCCCTTCCCCAACATGACTGGATTACAATTCGAGATGAGATTTAGGTGTGAACACAGAGCCAAACCATACCACGGGCAAAAATTGATTTTATAAGAAGTGAGAGAATGAGACAGGTGAATATTTTGAAGGCTTGTGTGGCAAATATTCATTAGCCAGGTTTATTAAAAACTCAGCTACTTGGGAGGCTGAGGCAGGAGAATCACTTGAACCCGGGAGGTAGAGGTTGCAGTGAGCCAAGATCATGCCACTGCACTCCAGCCTGGGCAACAAGAGTGAAATTCTGTCTCAAAAAAAAAAAAAAAAAGCTCATAAATACATTAAGATTTTATTCACAGTGTGGTGGGTGTGGTACTCAAGGCCTTTAATGGGATTTTAATAATCCAAACCTAATTCAGTCTCCAGATGACTGTGCAATATAATGGAGATAATGCTGCTTTACTTTTCCTTACTCAGAAGGTGGTTGTGAAGGTCTGCTCAGGGTAGCCAGCGTGCCTTTCCCAACACCCTTCTTTCTGTTTTGCTGGTTCTGCTTTCTCTCATTCTCTAAACATGGCTTTGGTCCTTGATTCTTTGCTCTTTGAACTGTACAATTGTTCCTTGAGGGTCAGTCAGCTGTCTTGTGGTTCAGTTATTCCTGTGTGGATGACTCTACCTGCAGCCCAGCCCTTTATTTTAAGTTTCAGGTCCCATTTATCTTTTTGTCACACATTTCTAATCTCCCTACAAATCAGTATTTTTAAAAACCAGAGTCATCCCAAACCAACTGACCCTCTAGATTGCCTTACTTCTTGCAGATTTAGTCTTACCGTCTTCCAGATACTACAGCTGCCTTTGGGCTTTTCATCATCCCTTATCCTTAGCCACCAAGTCCTGCTGAGCTTCTTTTGTAATACTTCTCTCCTGCCTCCTCCACTGCACACTTGTACCACTGAGACAGTCTCTTAATTCTGCCCAGCACCTCCAGCCCCATCTACACCCCTCTAGTTTGTCCTCCAGCATGTTGTTTTAGGACTGTTGCTAGCCTAATTATTTGAAATGAAATTTCAGTTCTTAACTTGGCATCCAAACCTTTCGTCCATTGCATTTCTAGCTTTACCTTCTAATTTCTAGCTTTACCTTCTAATTCACTTAAATGAGATACAATTTAATTAAACCATGTATTCCTTGCAGCTTCTGTGCTGTTTTCCACATCTGTCTCTTTCCCCATGTTGGCAGGGTAAATTTTAGAGGTGTAATGAAATTTGCAGGTGGAAGTTATGGGGATATAGATTGTCTTTAGCTTAATGTAAGGATGACCTTTCCAACAGAATTGCTAATGATGGGGTGGGTATCATGGAAGAAGTCTACCTGTCATCTCCCAGGTCATCTACTGTCATCTCCCCTTTAAAGACCTCATCTTCCATATCTGCACATTTGGCTTCTCCTCTCTTTTGAAGCTGCTTGTTTCCATGTCCCATGATGCTAAACTTGGGGACTCCTCCCACCTCTCAGATTGTATTTTCTCTGGTTCTTTCTTTCACTCCTTTAGTGAATTTGCTTTTTCTTTTCTTCTTTTCCTGTGCTCTTTCTTGAAAAATTTCACTGCTCTTAGACTTAGTGTTTACCTTTTGAGAAAAATTCCCAAATGATAACCCCAGCCGTATGTTTAACTACATGATTTGTCTTTATTTCCAACATCTTGCCAGATATTTCTATTTGAGTACTTTTGTGTCCAAATTTAAACTCATTTCTTTCCCTTTAAAACATGTTCTTTCCCTGAGTTCCCTGGCTGATTAGTGGCAACAGAGATGGGCAGATCTTTCTGTAAAGGGCCAGAGAGTAATATTTTTGTCTTCATGGGCCATAAGGTCTCAATCACAGCTACTCATCTTGTAGATAATATGTAACTAAAGGGTTGTGACTGTGTTTCAGTAAAACTTTACTTATCAAAATAGGCAGCAGCTGGCATTGGCCTTTGGGCTGCTGTTTGCTGACCCTGATCTAGGATACCCAGGCCCCAAACTCCATACTCCTTTGGCCTTTCCACTGCTTTTGTTTGCTCTCTTCACATGATTATTAATTTTCACTGATTTCACCCTTAGCAAACCATTCATACTTCTAGACCATAGCTGTCTGTCTATTCATTCATCTAGTAGACAAAATCTTCCTTTTACATGTTAATCTCTATCATTTTACATAATCAAAAACCTCTAGTGGCTCCCCTTGGCCTGCAATCTAAGGTTACAGTTCTCTGGGTGTAGCTCTTTCTGTGTTTTGCCTCCAGCCTTCTCTCTTACTCCTGTATGGACATTCCTCCAATGACACTGATCAAGTGTGTGTTCTGATATTAGTTCTATCACTTCTCACAGGTTGCTCCTGACTCAGAATGGTCTCACTTCCCACTAATTGAAACTTGCCTTCAGGCCTCAATTCAGGGTCTCACTTCCCAGGTAAAGCTTCGCCCTAGCCCAGTGATTGCTCCTCTCCTAGGGCTTTTTTTTTCTTTTTCTTTTTCTTTTTTTTTTTTTGAGACAGCATCTCTCTCTGTCACTTAGGCTGGAATGAAGTGGTGTGATCACTGCAGCCTCCAACTCCAGGGCTCAGGTGATCCTCCTGTTTCAGCCTCCCAAGTAGCTGGGATTACAAGCATGTACCACCACATCTGGCTAATTTTTTTTATAGAGATGGGGTCTTATTTTGTTGCTTAGGCTGTTCTGGAGCTCTGGCCTCAAGTGATCTTCCTATCTTGGCCTCCCAAAATACTGAGATTACAGATGTGAGCCGCCACACCCAGCACTGAATAGTGCTTTTGATGTTGCCACTGACCTATTCAGTTGAGACCGCATTGGGTTGTAATTTGTGGTGTTCCTCCCTCTCCATCTGAATTTTCAGAAGCTGTTAAGGACAGCCCAGTAGATGCTCAGATGTCATAGGTAAAGGTCATACATTGAACTCTTTGTCTTTCCTCCAGTTCTGCTTCCCCCTTGGAGTCCCTGTCTCAGTTAATGGCACCAGGGATCATCATTGCCTTGTGATTCTGACTCCTTCTCTTTCACCTCCACCCTACCTGCATCAGTTACGAAAAGTCCAGCTGCTGCTCCCTCCTATGTCTTTCTCCTATCTGCCCTCTCCTCTCCATCCCTTCTACTGCTGCCTTAGCTCAGGTCACCACTGTCTTTCACTCAGACCATTGGACTTGCCTTGAACATGAATTCCCACCACCAGCTTCTCTCCTCTTATAATCCCAACAGTTATGTATCGGGATCTGACATGTAGGTATGACCTTGTAACTTTCCTGATTGAAACCCCTCAGTGGCTCCCCATTGCCCTGGGATAAGGACCAGCCTGCCAGCATGTCGTGAGGCCATTATTGATTGGATGCACTTTCCTCTGCAGTCCTATTTCTGACTTGTCTCATTTACACAGCTTACATTTGATCATCTGTAACCCCTATACATCTTCTGTGCATTTGCACACTCCCCGTCTCTGTGTAGATGCCCCCCCTCCCCAGGTCCACTTGGAAAACCATCACCTGAATTTCTAGGCATTGTACAAACGTTCCCTCTTTTGTGGAGCTTTCGTCTCCTTCCCTCCAGAAGACCAAGAGGAGTAAAGGTGTTATCATAGAATAACTGTTGGGATAGAGATATAGGCTTCATCTATTTTCTAATGCCTCCTCAGATTCAGAGTCTTCCAAAGTTTCCCTGCAGACTGAGCAATGAATAATTAAGCAAACAAGTCTCTAAAACATCTTGAAATGCTTATGTATGCTAAATATGTAGTTTTGAGTTCTTGTTTTGGTTTTGCTGGAGCTTTTGCCTTCTTCCTCCATTACAATGGATGATGAGAATCAACAATGTAGAATTATTCTCGGTTAGTTTATATCTTGTTTTTAACCTGGTATCTTCAGTGTGTTAAGACATTTTTCCTTTCTTGTGGGGGTTCCCCTGCAAAGAAGGAGGCTCACTTGTGGGGCCGATGACCACTGTCTCTAGGCAACCCAGAGAGGTGTGAAAGAAAGAAGGGGGCTGTGAGGCTGCAGGGAGTATATTCCCCATCTCCAGCCAGGGTCACACCTGTCACTTCTGTTTAGTACCTCTTCCTAGTAAGGAGAACGTATGCTCCCTTTCTGGAAGGGTCTACTTAGCAGAAACGAGGAGTGGCGAGCTCATGTGGAAAGTGCTTTTTTGATGTGTTCTTTCATGTAGGGGACACACGGTGTGGAGGGGATGCACAATTACTCTTCTGTGGTTCCTCTTTCTTACTCCAGGGTCTCCTTTGCCATGAGGTCCCTAGGGACGTCTTATCAGAGGAGAAGAAAAGTACCTTCTTAGTTCTTTTTTGTTTTGTTTTGTTTTGTTTTATTATGGGGTTTCACTTTGTCACCTGGGCTCTCCGGGGTGCAGTGTTGGAATCGTGGTTCATTGCAGCCTTGACCTCCCAGGCTCAAGTGATCCTCCCACCTCAACCTCCCAAGCAGCTGGGACTACAGGTGCATGCCACCACACCTGGCTATTTTTTATTTTTTATAGAGATGAGATCTCCCTGTGTTGCGCAGACTAATCTTGAACTCCTGGACTCAAGTGATCCTCCTGCCTTGGCCTCCCAAAGTGTTGGGATTTCAGGTGTGCCTTGGCCTCCCAAAGTGTTGGGATTTCAGGTGTGAGCCACTGCAGCCAACCCCTTCTTAGTTCTGGAGAGCAGAGTCTTGCCTGGCATCCTGGTGCTATACCAAGAGTCCTCTCCTGGTTTCCAGAGAGGACATTTGACTTCTTCAGGAGAACTCACCCCACTCCTTTTGGTCCATTAGGAGCACCAGAAGCTTTGGACCTGATGGGCTGGGCTTGGTCTCTTCAGAGCCTCTGTCCTCATTCACAGAGGAGGTATCAGGTAGGCCTTCCAGCACAGAATTACATTACCTGGGAATTTAAGTGGGAGGAATTGCAGTGGAGTATTTTGAAGATCCTAAGGCATCCTTCATTTAATTTACATTTTCGATTCTTCAGATATTGGAATCAAAGATTGAGACACACACATAACACTAGAGCACACAGTAGACCATTTCTACCTTGAGCTATCTCCTTGTTAGAGAAAAAATAGTTTTGACTGTTTGTGATTTTTTACTACGGGCAGAAAAACTTTGAAAAATTAATTTCAATGTAAAAGAGTTTTACTTTTGCCAGATGATAACACTTCCTATGCTAGAACCTGGGGGTACTGGGATCTGACTTGAAGTAATTCTAAGTTTAAATTTATAGCAACCATGTGGGTCTGTTCAGCTGGGAGGGGAGAAATATTGCGAGCCATAAGGATGTATTTTAGAGAGTTTCTTTAGTAGTCTTCAGATGTCTACTTGCCCTGTACAAAGTTCAGAAACTGTTTAGGACTTGGAACCTTAGAATATCAGATAGAAAAGGATTGACAGGCTTAGTCTACTCTGTTTTTGAGATGCCGAAGCCAGGTGACTTCCCCTAGTGGCAGGTAGGCAATGTCAGAGTTGTGATCATGGCCTGGGGCTCTTTTCCAACCTGCTCTCTGACCTCACATAGGATCCGGATTGAGCAGGGTAAAGGGTGGACCAGTAAAGGCTTTAATCAGTAAAGTAATGACAGTGTTTTCCTTCATTTGAAACCAGTCAGATTTGATACTACTTTTCTGTTCAGTTTTTGCCATCATTGTTTTCTGGAAGTTTTTAATCTGTAATACCTCTTAGTATGCTTTAACACATAACACCTAGTGTCATTGTTATAGAGATGAAAGTAGAAAATTAGCAGGGATGTAGTATTTGCCTATTGCAACTTCTTTTCCTTTAAACCCCTTCCCATGTCGGGGGGATACCTTGTGTGTCTGCAGCATGTGATGCTGACTCGGACTCTCCAGGCAGCTGACTAACGGCACCTAAACTGCCTGCTGCATTTTCCCTGCCCCAGCACAGACTTGCTTAGCAGCTCCCGCCTCGGGCCCTCATTGAGAACCATCCAGCGGCACATCAGGCTGGTGCCACTCCCAGTGGCCTTGGCAGTGAGGAGGTGAGGCGAGAGCACCCTCAGGTGCTAGTGGCACGAGTCTTGCCCAGGCTCCCAGGGGAATGAGTGGTGTGATGACCTCATGTGCCAGAAGCCAGGGCAGGCATGCTTGAGGCTGAGAGAAAGCAACAGATGGACCTCAGGCAGAAGCAGTCAGAGCAGCCTCAAGGGAGGCTGGTGCGGCACCAGCGTGGCATCTTCCCAGCATCTGAATGTTGGCTTGACCTTCGCTGTTTGTGTGACCTCACCCAATTCAGTAACCTCACTGAGCCTCCCTTTTTCCATCTGTGCAACGGTGATGGTAGTACTTCACTCTGCAAGCGGTGGAGGTGAGAGATAATATAGGTCAAGCATTTAGCAGTTGGCCAAGCTAAAGACATAGCTGTTGTTTTTGTTATTAGAAACACAGCCTCAGCCAGGCACAGTGGCTCACACCAGTAATTTTAGCACTTTGGGAGGCTGAGGCAGGTGGATCACTGGAGCTCAGGAGTTCGACACCAGCCTGGGCAACATAATGAGACCTATCTCTACAAAAAATACAAAAATTAGCTGGGCGTGGTGGTGTACACCCATAATCCCAGCTACACTGGAGGCTTAGTTGAGAGGTTGGCTTGAGCCCAGGAGATGGAGGTTTCAGTGAGCTGTGATTGTGCCACTGCACTCTAGCCTGGGTGACAGAGCCAGACTCTGTCTCAAAACAAAAAAACAAAAACAAACAAAAAAAAACAAGAAAAACCAATACAATCTCATTTTTCCTGTTAGGTTATTCATACAAACCTGTTGGAATTTTTTTTCTTTAGGAATTTGAATGCTCATTTTTAAGCCAGACAGTTTCAGGTGGAAGAGAATCATGAAATGCTTTATCATGTTTTTGTTATTTATCGCTAGAGTAAGACTTAGGAAAGCTATAGAAAAGAGCCATCCAGCCAAGAATTTGAATTTTGTCAACTTCTCTATTACAGAGGTTTGCTCAAAGCCCATAGAGTCTAGATGAACCTTCTACCTTTGCCCCCAAAATTGCTTTTTTCTTTTAATATGCTAGATCCCTTTGCTTATTCCAGGCTGAAATGAATGTTATGTAGCTAGAAGTTTCCTGTCTGTGATCAATTCTAATGGCTTTTGTGAAGGGAAATGGTTGTAAATTATTACCAGTTAATTAAATGAGTGTTTCTCTTGAGTCCTTTGTGTAGGCTTTTATCCAAGCCTGTTTAGAATCATGGAACATTACAGCTAGAATATTTTTAGACAACTCTTGTTTCATGGACAAGGAGACTTAACCAGTGATATAAGTACTTGCCTAACTCCTGCAAAGTGATGCCAAGGAAAAGCAAACTTTGGCTGAGGGTGTAGGAGTGGCTGTGCTGGGGATCCGGTGGGTACATCAAGCTAACAGAGTATAATTTCTAAGCAGTGAGCCCTTGTCATCCATATGTCACCGGTATTCCTTGGAGCCATCTTGGAGTGCTTTTATTTTTTACAAAGTGCTATCTTGTAGGACTATTCTATAGTAAATATTACCTTTCCTATTTTTATAGGTGAGGAAATTGAGGTGGTCAGATGACCTTATTTAGCTCTTAGATCAACTCAGCAGATATGTATTGAGTGTTTACTTGGTTCAAGGAACTCTGCGAGGCTCCTTGGGAACATAATGTCAGATCCTGCTGGAATGGAGGTTACAGACTTATTGCAAGTGATGAGATATGTGTATGAAAATGTAAGTAATTGTTCAAGGTATAGATAAGTGTTAATAATAGTTGAGATGTGAATTTTGAGACCGGAGGGATCAATGTGAATATCAAATCCTGGCACCAGTTTCTTCCTTCTGCTGCTCATGAAGCTGTGTCATCTTCTGTGCTCGGTAACCCATCCAACCTGTAGCCCTAGGAGCTCCTCTGGGGAGTCTTGAGTACCTTGCAGTTGTCCCGACCCTGGGAGTCATTCAATAAAGGTTCAAATGAATGAATAGATAGGTGCGGTGAAGAGAGACAGGTTTTCCAAGCAGAGAACACGGCATGAGCAAATGTGTGGCTGAGTGATAGAGCCAGGAGAGGGGCCTGACTAGGACAGCAGGTTTTAAAAAGTGATTTTTTTCTTCTTTTTGTATTTTAACTTTCTAAAGTGACAATGGAAGGAAGGGAATTTTGAAAACAAAGTTTGGATAGATTAGTGGGAAGGCAGCAAAAGGGGAGCCCAAGTGGTCCTGAAAGCCAGGTGGAGCAGGGTGTTTTATTCTGAAGACTCTCGGAGACCAGCGGAGGCTTTAGAGGGGGAAGTTGATGAGATCAGCACTTTAGAAAAGGCTGCTTTGTTTTTGGTGGGGTGTTCCATGACTGCAGGAGAAAGGATGAGGGAGGAGGCCTGCAGTGACAGGGATCCTAGAATGATGGAGGGAACGAAGGGAAAAACAGATGGTCACGGTGCCTCAAGTCGGAGTGGCTCCAGGATTTTAAGCCTGGGAACGCAGAAGAACAGTGGTTCTAGTGATTCAGTGATGACCACTGGAAGCTTTAGGAGGAAACATGGGATTGGAGCCCTTTAAAGCTGGAATTGGCCCCTTAGAGAGAATCTGGCTCAGGCTTCCCAGATGGTGGTCCGTGGTCTGGCTATATCAGAGTTACCTACAGAACTTTTAAAAACAGCAGATGCCTAGACCCCGTTCCCTTGCCCCAGAAAATTTAAAATCAGTAGATCACCTGTGGGGTCTGGGAATCTTATATTTAATCCCTTTCTGTGATTCTTTGGCAAAGAAGATTGAATGGCCTTCCTGATGTCGCAGATTGGTCAGGACAGAGCACCAGGACCCAGGTCTTCTCTAGCATTGCTATTACTCAGCCACAATGTGGGAGATAGGGGATAAGTTCAGATGGGGAGGTATAGTATTTGAGGCAGCGCTGATTCATGTGAGTTCAACACTGATGGCTCTTTGAGGAAGGGGTTACTTGGCATGAGAACTCAAGGGTTAGATGGCTCTGAGGGTGCACGTTGGGAATCATTCAGTCAAGAAATGCTTTCCCGAGTGGCTGCTGCAAACCAGGCATAGGATATTTTCAGTCCACTTCGGGGACTCAAAAGTGTAGAACAGAGTAGTAGAAACAACATAGAGAACCCTAAAGGCTGAAGTTGTGTTTATGTTTTCTTCTCTGAGCTGTTTTGAGTAAATTTAGGTGTAAGTTACAATGTATGGGTTGAAATTCATTATTTTGGGTATGGATGTCCCGTTGTTCTAGCACCATTTGTTGACACTGAGTTTTTATACTTTTGTTCATTTGTCTATTTGTATAGAAGAATCACATTTTTTTAAAGACCACTGTTATCTGGGTTTCAACAAGGGCCCAGGAGTTGTTCTTTTTACCAAGAGAAGTGGTCTGTAGGGGAGGGGGTTAGTGTGTTTATTGCTCCTTGAATGACTGTTATAGTAAGAATGCTAAGTGTGTTCATTTCTATGTGGGGCTGCCCTAGACTCTGACCTCAGCTCTGTTCTATTAGACACTCTGTCAGTGCATTAGCCAATGACATAGGTAGCCTGAGGCCCTGATTTGGGGAGCCATAAAACTGAGAAGGGGAGTGAATGAACTGACTGGATTTGCGATCCAGTGAACGCTATGACCTGGGACAAGCCAAAATATTGCAGAAAAAAAAAATGAAGCACTTAGGTTTTTATGAAGGTTTTGAGCCTAACCACTGCACGAGCACAGGATGTGGGAAGCAAAGCCTTATGGCAGCTAGAAAAGATGCAGAGGTTTTAGTTCATTGCAAGCTCAGCCTGGGTCACTGGGGCTTCTCAGAGCGCCCATGTATTCTCGCTGCATTGGTAAAGGGCACTGTCACTGTCAAGATCAACGTTAATGATAATCTTGCTCTTGCTGGTGAAAGTCAGGTCACACACTCAGCCTGACTTCACCCTTTAATGGGGGTGTGAAGAAATTGGGGCATGTCAGGAGGAAACTGACTAGAATGGTGAAGGAGGAGAAAATCATGTCCTACATGAAGTTGCTGAGAGTTTGAGATACCCAGGTCTATTTTATTTACTCATTTGTTCCACAAACCATTTTCTGTCCCCTTATATGCAAGGTAGGGTCTCCTTTGGGGACAGGGCATAATGACTACAACATGATGTGGGTTCCAGCAGTAGTCTTCATAACAGGTGTGGAGTTGCCCACCTGTCTGAAAGAGGTCTGGAAAGGTCCCCCTATACAGGTGGGTCTTGAATTGATGGACAAATAGGAGTTGGACAAGTATAAAAAGGAAGAAAGGAGTTTCCAGCCAGAAAGATCACATACCCCAAATCACTAGGCAATAAGCTACAGATGGGTAATGTGTAATTTTCATAATTTTGACTATATTCCCCAGTATGCTGCTTGATCCATAATGCGTTTGGTTGCTCTCTCAGAATAAATGAAATAACATACCTCCCTGGAGAGTGTACAAGAATTAAGAGATGGGGATACTGGTTGTATGCAGCTGCAGTGGTGGGAAGAGCTTAGGCTGAAAGGTAGGAAGGGGTTTAGTGTCTAGGGCTATGTGCTGTGCTAAAGAATTTGGACCTTATCATGGACAGGAGAGGAAACACTGACGGTTTCTAAGTTAGGAAGCCACATGGTCAGATTTTAATTTTTGAAACATGTCACTGGCAGCAGCTGGAGGACAGTAGTCTGGAAATAGAAGGCAGCTAGAAGCCCGTTCAGGGAGGCCAGATGAACCACGGCAGTAGGAGTGGAGCAGGGGTAGATCCAGGAGAGACTTCGAGAGTGGACGTGTTGGGATCTGAGAGCGATTCAATGTACCTGCTGAGGAGCTGGGCTTCTGGCGTGGCCTACTGGGTAAATACAGGGCTCAGGAGTGAGAGGAGGGCCAGGAAAGGGTGGTGTCCTGGAAGTAAGGAATGAGAGATTCATGAAGAGGAAGATGTCAAGATCAGATGCGGCAGAGAGATCAACTGAGATGAAGACAGACACATCTTTGTATCTGACAGTAGGACTTCATAAAAGTTGCTGGAGCTGTTTCAGTGCTGGTGGGAGGCAGGGAGGCAGACGGCAGGGGATAGCACGGATGTTAGAAGGCATAGAGGGATGTGATAATTGTTGTCGAATATTTGACCTATTCTCTTTGGCTGACAATTTGAATATGTTTTTTGAGTGCAAGTGATAGAAACCCCTACTCAAACTGGCTAAGACAAAAGGAATTTATAGGCTCAAATAACAAAAAAAAATCCCAAAGAATCAAGCAAGGCTTGATCTAAGGGTTTAAATGATGTTACGAAGAGCTGTTCTCTTTCTGTCCCTCAGCTCTCCCCTCTTTGTTGGCTTCATTCTGTAGCTCAGTGGGGGGACAACACAGGTGCCGGACACTCCCAAGTTTGTGTCCTTCCAGATTGAAGTTTAGCAGAAGCGAGATCTTGTCCCTTCCTTGTAGATCCAGGATTCCTAGTTGGACCTACTTGGATTTTTGTGCTCAAACCTGAACCAGTAGATGCTGATACCGGGTAGGGAGTTGTAATTACACTGATAGCCAGAGAGAAGGAATGTGCCTGCCCCAGGCCAGCTGTGCAGAGTTCAGTCAGTGCTCTGATCTGCTAGGCCTGCTCACATGTCCACTCTGGAGTTAGGGGCAGAATCCCAGATGAGCCATTTGGACTACATGTGAGGGAGGAGTAGTTCTCAAATAAAGCTCAAGTGTTATTCCCAGAAGCTGGGATGGATGTACTAGCTAGAGACAGTGTCCACTGGAGCTGTAGAGGGCGAAACTAAGGTAAATGAGTGGAAATTATTGGTCTTGCTGCGTTTGTATTCATAGAGAAAGATCTGTCTATATTGTACAGGAATGAAATAGGCCAGCTGTTAAGGTAGTGAATTGGTTGTCACTGGGGGGTATCTAAGCAACTACCGTGAATAAATGATAACAGCCCATCAGCAGTGTATAGAAGGAACAAATAACCTCCAAAGCCACATTTTTCAAACTGTTTCTCTGTGACACAGTAAGGAATACATCTTTACATTAAAACCTACTGTACCCTTTTATATGTATACAAAACTACACACAAAAGTTGCATGAAACAGTGCTTTTCCTTACTACCTGTAGCATGTTCATATTTTCTGTTCTGTTTTTATTCTACTTTGAAATCCCTATTGTCCGCTGGGTGTGGTGGCTCATGCCTGTAATTCCAGCACTTTGGGAGGCTGAGGTGGACAGATCTCCTGAGGTCAGAAGTTTGAGACCAGCCTTGCCAACATGGCGAAACCCCATCTCTACTAAAATTACAAAAATCAGCCAGGTGTGGTGACATGTGCCTGTAGTCCCAGCTATGTGGGAGGCTGAGGCAGGAGAATCACTTGAACCCAGGAGGCAGAGATTGCAGTGAGCCGAGATGGTGCTACTGCACACCAGCCTGGGTGACAGAGCGAGACTCTGTCTCAAAAAAAAAAAAAAAAAAAAAGAAAGAAATCCCCATTGTGTGCAACCCACTAAGTTGCTTTCATGTCTCTCTAAAAAGTTTCAACCTGCAGTTTGTAAAACCCTGTTCTAAGGTCCAGTGTCTTACCACATCTGCCCTAGGTGGACAACACTTGAAGACCGTGTTTAAATCCGGCTTTTCCACCACAGTGGGTGACATGGGTCAAAAATGCGGAAGGAAACCTGTTCTACTTGTGAGAGCTCCTGCTTCTAACTGGTGGAATCTCCTGCTGTCTGTCAGAGTAGCTCCTGACCCATCTTGGGGTGGAAAGGCCTTTGTGGGCCCTCAGGGAAGTGTTGAAGGGAGTTTACGGGCTGGCTGTGGGCTGCAGGATGGCGGAGGCGGCCAGGCAGCAACTGTGCCTGTGCCAGCAGTAGTTTATGTTGTGAGGTCGAATGTATGTGTATGTATGTATTCTCTGGCAGGCCTTTATATTGAAGATGAGGGAGTGTGGCTTTTAAAAATAATGTATTTTTGACTTGAAACAAGTCAAGGCAGAGAGTGGAGACAATTAGAGGCTGATATCCTGTTTAGTCATCTCTCTAGAGAGCTCTATTTTCAGAGCTGTTCTATAAAGGTTCACAAGTGGTATTAAGATAGTTAAGAGGATATTGTTAACAGTAGTCATGATGCAAGTAGCTGATTTGAACAGGGAGGTGATTTATAGTGTGGTAACCACATTGGTAACAGGTTTTATGCAGAGAAAGGGTGGGTTGTAAGAATAGGTTGTTATACAGGTTAAGCTTTCTGAATCTGAACAAAGCAGGCATCTTTTATTTTGAAAAAGTATATAATCAGGGTGTGGTGGTGACCTAGGGTAAGTCCAGTGCATTTTTGGGGGCTTTGTCATGGGTAGATACAATAAATTTTAAAAAAGTAAACAGTACTGTTAAGAATCTTTGAGATTGGCTGGGCATGGTGGCTCTCGCCTGTAATCCCAGCACTCTGGGAGGCCAAGGCGGGCGGATTGCCTGGTCTCAGGAGTTCAAGACCAGTCTGGGCAACATGCCTCTCTAAGCCAGGCATGATGGCATGTGCCTGTGGTCCCAGCTACTTGGGGGGCTGAGGCAGGAAAATCACTTGAACCCAGGTGGTCGAGGCTACAGTGAGTCATGATTGCAGCATTGAAGTCCAGCCTGGGTGACAGAGGGAGACTCTGTCTTAAAAAAAAAAAAAATCTTTGAGATCATATGTGGAGGCTGTGTTAGAAACGCTAGGCCAATGCCAGGCACAGTGACTCACACTTGTAATCCCAGTGACTTGAGAGGCTGAGGTGGGAGGATTGCTTGAGCCTAAGAGTTTGAGACTGGGCAACATAGTGAGACCTTGTCTCTACATACATACATACATACCTAGATAAGCAGGCAAGCTGGTTATGGTGGCACATGCCTATAGTCCTAGCTACTTGGGAGGCTGAGGCAGGAGAATCGCTTGAGGCTGGGAGTTCAAGGCTGCAGTGAGCTATGATTGTGCCACTGCACTCCAGCCTGGGAGACAGTGAGACCCTGTCTCAAAAAAAAAAAAAAAGAGAAAAAATGCTAAATAATGATGCCATAGACTTTTCAGATTGGAAGAGTGAGGCTCAGTGTGGTAAAGGACCTTGCCCAGGGTCCAGAACCAGCTGTGACAGAATCAGACTAGAGTTCTTGGCCTGGTCTAGTAGGGGGGCTCTTTCCACTGTACCATGTGACTATTTGCAGCTTATTTTAAATTTAATATTTGACCAAAAATGGTCATTCGTATCTCTAGTGAAACTTCTCTATATGCCAGTCTTCCTCTTCAGATGAAAGGTCAAAGGCAGAAATGGAGCCACAGCCAAAGAAAGAGAAAAATAAAATAAAAATGGAGCCATGGGCAGAATCTGAAAAGATTTATTTAAGGACAATTGTAAATTCATGTATTTGAGTCCACAAGAGCCTCACAATGCAAGGCTTAGAGGTGTTCATGGATAGTGAAGTTAGCATCCGGTAGGAAGAGGGGAGTCCGCCCACCTAAGCTAGTGGTGATCAGAACAGAGCCAGAGGTGCTGTTCATCCTGGGCGCCATGCTGTATGGGGTCTTTCGGAAACTGGACTATATGCAGAGGACGACACCATATGAAAAGACTTCAAGCTGCATTGCTTGCAGAATGCATGTCTTGATATTTCAGCTGATAGGTAACTTCAAGGTATGTTGATACTCCCGTGACTAATTAAGAGTAGCAGTCCGACACAGTGTCTCACGCCTGTAATCCCAGCACTTTGGGAGGCTGAGGCGGGAGGATCATTTGAAGTCAGGAGTTCGAGACCAGCCTGGCCAACATGGTGAAACCCCATCTCTACTAAAAAATACAAAAACAGATCAGATGTGGTGGCACACGCCTGTAATCCCAGCTACTCAGGAGACTGAGGCAGAATTGCTTGAACCTAGGAGATGGAGGTTGCAGTGAGCTGAGATCATGCCACTGCACTCCAGCCTGGGCAACAAAGTGAAACTACCTCTCTCTCTCAAAAAAAAAAGAGTAGTGAATGCAAGGCTCCTAAACTTCCTTCCCTAGTGCTTCCTTAAGATTGACCAGACTTTGGTGGAAATATGTAGCAGAGACTCTTTATACTTTTTACTCCATAAAACTAAAGATTTGCAGTTGACCAAGCCACATGTGTTCATTACCTTGTATGTTGCCGTTATTTCTCTATTTCATATTCTTGCCATGTGGTTTAGTAAAATGCTGCTCTTATAAGCCATATGCATAAGATATGGAGGTCTCAAAAACAATTACCAAGTATGTGGATGTGCCTGTCTATATTATGACAAGCCAAAAATGGGAGAGAATAAAATTCAAGAGGAAGGAAACTGATAAAATGTGGTTTCTTTTCAGTCTTTACAGTTTTTTGAGCTTTCACTTGTTTCCCTGCCACTCTACTATTTAATGAAAGACTTAGATTTATTTGATTTGTGGCTGTGATTTACACATTAGGCCTCTCTGTGATGAATTGTTTAAGGCCCACAAAAATATTTTAAAACTAACATATAATATACATTTTTTTTTCTCTTTGTAGGTGGATCTCGAGCCAGAGGGGAAAGTATTTGTGGTAATAACCCTTACCGGGAGTTTCACTGAAGGTAAGAATGAGTTTTGGGTAGTTTCCAGAATACATGTAATCTTGGTTTACACTCAGTAGGAATTTCTATCATGGACATTATAAAAAAGAGCATGTTGTAAGAGATGCTTAAAAAATCACTTTCATAAGTTGGGCTGGCTAGTATTTTGTTGCCCAGTGGTCTATTGGTTCAGGTTGCCAAATTAAATATATTTGCTAAATCTGGCAATCTCACGTTTCATTTAACACACTCAATGAGTTTTTGTTTTTAGCCAGTGTCATCGTAGCTGAATGGTTTTTGCGTCTTTTTGGTTCATGACTGTGGAACTCTACGTCTTTGGTTTTGTGCCATCTTTTAGTTTGCCTGTGAATGTCTATGAAAGAAATTTAGGGATCCAGTTATCTTCTTTATAATCTCTATCTCATTTGTGACCTGTAAGGGATTCTGTTCTTCATCTGTGGCTACCGTACTCCCTACTCCCCCATCCAATATTTTTTTTACTTGAGGTAAAATTTATATGGGGGTGAAATGATAGATCAGAAGTGAACAATTTGAATTTTGACAAATGCATACAACTGCATAACCAGCACCCCAATCCAAGATACAGGACATTTCCATTATTGTGAACATTTCCCTGTACCCTTTTTCAATCCCCTGCTCCCAGAGGCAATAAGTAAAGTGCTTTATTTCACCACAGGTTAGTTTTACCTACCCTAGAAGTTCATATACATGGAATTATACAGTATATTCTCTTTTATGTCTGGTTTCTTTCACTCAGCATAGTTTTTAGAAGATTCATATCATTGTGTATATCAGTATTTTTTTCATTTTATTTCTGAGTAGTAGTATCCCATTATATAAATGTAGCATCCATTTGTTTACCCATTCTCCTCTTGGTGGACTTTTGGGGTTTTTCCTATTGTTGTCTATTATGAATAATGCTTTTATTAACCTTCTTACACATAAATTTTTCTGGACATAACACTTTCATTTATCTTGGATAATTATATAGGAGTGGAATTGCTGGGTAATAAAGTAGGTGTGTGTGTAACTTCAGAAGAAACTTCCAGATGGTTTCCAAAGTGGTTTTATTATACTCCCACCAGCAATGCATGAGAGTTCCAATTACTTCATATCCTCATTAACACTTTCTATGGCCATTGCTTTTCATCGTAGACATTCTAGTGGGTATGAAATTATATCCTGTGGGTAAATTTGCATTTCCCTGATGGTGAGTACTTTCTCACATGCTTATTGGTCATTTGTTTGTTTATTTGATAATTTCCAGTTCCAGTCTTTTGTCCTGTTTTCTAAAATTGGATTTGTCTTTCTATTATTGATTTAGAGGAGTTCTTTGTTTTCTGGATATGAGTCCTTTGTGAGAAATAGGTATTGTGATTACTTTTTCCCAGTCTGTGGCTTGCCTTTTCATTTTCTTAATGGTGTCTTTGAGCAAAAGTTTTAAATTTCTATGAAGTTCAATTTGTTAATCTCATCTTTTGTAGTTCATATGTTTTATGTCTTCAGAGATCTCTCTGTCATAGGATCACTAAGATATTCTCCTGTTTCTTTTTTTGTTTTTTTTTTTTAAGAAGCAAATAGTTTTAGGTTTTATGTTTAGGTCTGTATGCCTTCTTAAATTGATATTTGTGTGTGATGTTACAGAGGAGTTGAAACATTTTTTTTCAATACACGAATGCAGTTGTTCTAGCACCATTTATTAAAAGTCTCCCCTGGCCCCTTGAATCACCCTGGAACCTTTGTTGAAAATCAATTGACCATATAATGTGGGTCTGTTTCTGGATTATCTGTTCTGTCCTGTTGATCTGTTTGTCCATCTGATCTCTCTTTCTTTTCTCTACATTATGCCAGTATTACACTGTCTCATTACTGTTGCTTTATAGTGAGTCTTATGGTTACATAGTATGAGCCCTCCAACTCCGTTCTTTTTTGTATGTTTAAGGTTATTTTAGCTATTCTCAGTATTTTGCAATTTGATATCAGTTTTAGAGTCAGCTTATATATTTCCAGACAAAATCCTGCTGTATTTTGAATTGAAATTGTGTTGGATCTATAGATCAGTTTGAGGGGAATTAACATCTTAACAATCTTGAGTATCTTTAAACCCATCTGTAGTCAAATTAGTCAATTCTGTAGTCCGTGGACATGGTCTTTGCTCGTAAGGCATAGCCAGTGTGAGGTTTCAGTAGAAATCCCAAGGTGTTTTAAGCCCATTAATTTTATGTCACTCAAGCTTCTAACTCTTTCTCCTATGGGTGGGAAACAGCTGAAATCTCAGTTCCTATCTTTCAGCATCCTAGCTCTTGCTCCTGTCTGGACCTCTTAGAGTTTCCCTTGCACATGCACAGTTTAGGAAGATGTGAGGGCTTGAAGAGTTTACATATGTGGAGGTTCTTCTTTCTGTGGCCCCATCTTTCCAGGTTTTCTCCCCTCAATATCCAGTCATCTGGTAGGCTTGAATTTTGTCAATTCTGCCTTCAAGCCAATAAAACTGTGGTTCCATATTGAGTTCTATTTACCCAATCCTGCACAACCTGGGGAATAATCTGGAGAAAAGCCCTACAAATGTGGGTCTCACCTAATGCGGTTTCCCTCCTTCACGTGTCAGATTCTCTCTAGTTTGTATGTGTTTTTGGTTGTTCTCTCACATCATCAACTAGTTGTTTAAAATATATTTTCCAGGTATTTTAATCTTTTGGTGGGAGGGTTGGTCCATATCAAGCTACTTCACCATTACTAAAACCTCATGAAGATTTTTAAGCATGTGGCTTAATTGTTTGTATTTTTGGTATTGGCATTTTGCAAAATTGGTTACACTTTCTTTGAGAAATAGTTTTCTCCACTCCTTTCAGCCAACCATTCCCATTCATATGGGTGAATTGTTTTAATGTTAAAGTTTTTCAATATATCGTCTGCATTATTAAATCTTGTCTTTTTGCACAAACCTGGATTTAGCAGAAACCTAGAATACTTGACATAAAAAAAAAAACTGTTCAGGTTACAATTTGGGGGGGTGTTCTGCCTGCTCCAAGGTCTTTTTGCTTTGCTTGGTATCTTTTATGTACAGAGAAAAATGAGTCTGTTCCTAGCCTAGTCAAATAAAATCAATGTAGTATTATGGAACATTGTTGATAAAACATTCTCATCATGCACGTAGAACATGGATCAGCTATGGTAGAAAGAAACACAACAGTGAGAAAGAGGTCAGGAGGAGGAGTGGGTAAGATTCTCTCTCATTCGAGCTGAATCAACTCTCTGCATTAAGTTACAAGGGACTGGCGAAGTAAAGCAATGCATGTTAGACCAGGTCTGATTGTGCCATAATCATTACATGACTTTTTTAGAGCCATGCCAACTCTCTAGGACTAAATGCTCACCAAATACATCTGATTGTTCTCATTGTATTTATTTCTTAGTTTCAGTGATAATAAGAATGAAATGGTAAGTCATACTAGAGGTGAGTTCTTACTAGGTCATTGCAGTTGTGTCTTTCAGAGCTGACCCTGGGTAAAATTGTGAGATGAGTTGAGTTTATCTTTGGTAATTCCATCTTTGCTTTAAGCTAGTCCTTTGTCTCTGCCTACAGTTGTCCCTTACTGCAGCAAGAAGCCCAGTGGTCCCTGTCCAGAAAGAGTTGCTGATAAGGAAAACAGTTAATTCATAGGCTAATTCACACTACAGTGATAGAGATTGATGTCATAGTACTCTATTCCTCTTAGGTGTGTTTGCATATTTTAAAAGATGCTGGAAGAGCTGCTTTATCCATGAGAAATAGACTTTTAATGCTAAAATTTTAATATTGAAATCTACGGGTGGGGTATATTTTAGGAACCCCATATCTGTTCTCTGTGTCTCTGTGCGTGCATTGCTTTTTCATTTTGGCTCCTAGACTGGGGCTCAGCTTGAGCTTGCACGTTGCTGCTGCCTTTAAAACACCGCTCCCTTGTCACATGCAGAGGACGTGATGGCTGCCTGTCTGTGTTAAGTAAGAAGGAAATGGAGCCCCCCCCCGCATTTGCCTGCCACAGCTGTGGCAGCAACCTGGACCTGGCACTGAGAGCATGTCCCTAGCTTGACCTCGCTCCTGGAAGCCACCTTAGATTATGTCCAGCCATAATATGACAGGTTGGCTGGTGCAACATTTGGAGCTCTAGTTCCCATCTTGGATACTGAAAGCCTTCATGGAAAAGCAGTGTAAGGTCAGGCCTGCCCAGTGTGTTTTGGACTGTGAAAAGGGCATTGTCCTAGGATCCTGGAGGCACTGTCAAAGCTCAGGAAATGTTGGCTGATCCTCAGTCTGTCTCACATGGTTGTCTTGAAGGTCAGATGATATAATATATGGGGAAGTGCTTTGCAAACTATAAAGTACTATATGAAGGTATGTTAGTGGGATTTTCATTTCCATGTTCCTATTGTCACAGCAAGGAGATCCCAGTCATTTCCCCTACCCCTGCCCTGGGACCATCTTGTATACTCAGCAGGTTCGTTTTATCTTAACATTGACTTTATGGCCAGGCGTGGTGTCTCACACCTGTAATCCCAGCACTTTGGGAGGCTGAGGCAGGCAGATTGCTTGAGCTCAGGAGTTTGAGACCGGCCTGGGCAACATGGTGAAACACCATCTCTACAAAAAATACAAAAATTAACCAGGTGTGGTGGTGCACACTTGTAGTCTCAGCTACTTGGGAGGCTGAGGTGGGAGGATTGCCTGAGCCTGGGAAGTGGAGGTTGCAGTGAGCTGAGATAGTGCCACTGCACTCCAGCTTGGGTGACAGAGTGAAACCTTGTTTCAGAAAAAAAAAAAAAAAAAGAAAAGAAAAGACTTTATTTTATACAAGAAGCCTCAAGAATTTCATGGACAGTGGCTAGCATAATGTTGGCTTATCTCCATGCCTGTTTTCATGATCTCCTATGCGGGTTCTGCCATAAGCTCAGATTCTATAATCTCAAAGCACTCCTTTAAAAAAAATTACTTAAATTGGACGGTGGTCTGTGATATACAAGGCTGGTATTGGGGCTACTGACTGCTACTTACCTCATTTTTTAATTTTTCATTAATTATACTGAATTAGCTCAGGCAAAACTATTTTGTTAAATGTAAGACATGATTGAGAAGTGACATAAGAAAAACCTGCTGGGTGCAGACCTGTAATCACATCATAGATGCTGGAGAGATAAAGATGAACGAGACATAGACACTCTCACAGGAGCTCATAGGAGGGAAGGCAGATACATATTATGTATGCAATGCAGGGAGCCAGGTCCCATGGCAGGAATAAGCCCAGTGCATAGTGTTGGCACATGGGACTACATAATCAATTTGGCCAGGAGGGTTTAGAGAAAGCTTTTCTGGGGAGGTGATGTTTAAAACAAGTCTGAATGATAAATAGGACTGTGCCTAGAAGGGAACAGAGTTCAAGAGAGGGAGACAGTTTGTACAAGAAACGAAAAGGAGTGTGGAGGTGCTAAAGGTAGGGGGTGTGGAGGTGCTGAAGATTGGGGAGTGGGATGGGGGGATGTGGCCAGAGATTTCGGAGGGCTTATGTGTGGGCTTGCCCAGGACAGGCTCAGTTTGTTGGTTACACCAGAATAATTATACAACAGCGCCACTGTTCACTTTCAAAAGGGTGCCAGGTCAGACAATAAATTGCATGTTCACACCACTTGTAGGCTAATAGAAATGATAAGATACCAGTGAAGGGTTTTAAGCAGAGATCTGATTTGGTGGCAGTAAGTTCAAGGGTGGGGAAGGGGTGTTAGTTGATAAGACTAGATCTAAGGTGTGGAGAACCATTATAGAGACTTGGAAGGTTGTCTCAGGGCAAGATTATTAGGGCCTGAATTAGGTTGGAATATGTAGGGGTGGAGAGGAGGGGGACAGCTTTGAGAGATGTCTGTGTAGTAAAATCAGTAGGAATTAGCAATCCACTGGATGTGGAGGATGAAGAAAGAGGAGTCTCAGATGATGCTCAGATGGTGCCTCAGAGTCATTTACCAGGGTAGAAACTGGGAGAAGATGATGAATCCAGCTTTGGACAAGTGGAGTTTGAGGTGCTTGTGGGAAATCTAAGTTGCAATGTCTGGGAGAAATTGGAAATAAGATTCCGGAGTTTGGCAAGATGCCTGGGCCTGAGATGTAGCTCCAGGTGCCAGGTGGAAGACAGGCACATGGATAAAGAGGCCCATTGAGAAGATTTAGCAAGAAAACCAGCAAGGCTGACCAGCAGCAGAACTCTGTGGAGCATCAACATTTAAGTACTTTGGCTCATGAATTATAGTTTATCAAACCAACCAAACTATGCTGAAGGTTTACTTAATGAACACCCATTTTGCTAAGATATTACTTGTGAAATAGTATCTGAGTGCTTGCTGTATGCCAGGGACTGTTTCACCAGATTGTTTACCGTCTTCCAAATTGGCACCAAAATGTTTGATAATGAAGTTAGAAGAAAGAACAGAACACAAAAGGCTTTGAAAAGTAATGTTTGCATTGGTGGTAACAGTGGTTTCTTCAAAGTTTGATGATACAATGTGCTGTGTGAAGGTTTATGCCTAATGCGGGGGTAAAAAGAACAGATGAACCTACTCAAAACCTGCAGTGAGGGGTCTTCACTGAACTTAGATAGAGCAAGAAAAACTCTTTTACATTCATTGCTTTGTGGAAGTCTCTCACAGAGCTCAAGGCGTATAAAATTATCAACTGGATCAGAAACCCCTCACCACTGTTCATCTTGTTAAAGGTGTCACTCTGCATCTGTGCAGAATTCCCCTAGGCACTGAGGCAGAAGTAGAAGTGATTTATTATTTTGAAAAAGCTGCCTAATGTCAATCTTTATTCTAACTAAGCCTTCCTGAAGCTAAGAACTGGATCTGAAGTCTGATCAAATTGAAATTTATTATAGTGATGAAACAGCCCTGGATTTTTAATGCAGCCTTCAGATTCCATCATTGTTGCCATGTGTGTGATTGTCACTATGTTGGACTAATTTTTGTCTGGAAGAGTGGAGTAGCAAAAAAAAGAATAGATTGAAACAATGGAAACTGAGGAAAATGCATTAAACTAAATTCATAACTGCTTTAATTGGAAGAGAAACAACAGAAAGAAATTAAAGTATGACATCATCTTATGTGAGGACAAAAAGATGTAGCTGGATTATTATGCTACTAAGAAATATGGTGTAAGATTTTACGATTTGAAGAGAACATAGTTTGCAGTAAATGAAGTTTGCTTGGACTCAGGGAACCACAAACTTAAATGGTTGGCCCACAAATAAAAAACCAGACATGATGTGTCTCCTGATGGAAGCCCACACAACATCGTGATCTTGCCAAAAAGTAGAGGTAGTTTTGCCCAAAACTCAAGCCTTAGACCAGTCAGGCTTCCAGATCCAACCACCAGTTAAGAGGAAATATAGGGGACAGAGGAGCATTTTAAGTTACACCATGGGATGTAATCAGCAAAATCCAGACTGTGGAAAAATTTTACAGGAAAAGAGACTTGGTTTCTTCTACCAAACATTGGAAGAAAAAAGTAAAGGAAAGAGAACCAAAGTAACAAGAGAGAGGCATATTAATCATTTGCAATATATGGGCCACATTTTATCCCAATTCAAACACAAATTATAAAAGAAACATTAACTCCCAGGAGGCAAGTGAAGAAATGGAAACCGTGCCTGGATCTGTGAGGATATTACAGAATTGTTGATGTTATTTAGGTGTGATTGTGGTATTGTGGTTACTTAAAACAAAAAGAACATCCATTAGAAATACACTTAAAAATATTTACTGATGATATGATATGACATCTGGGCTTTACTTCAGAATAATGCAGAGGTGGGCAGAGGAGATGGGATAGAATTGAAACCCGATTAGCCATGAGTTGTTTACTGAAGCTGGGTGATGATTATATGTTGCATGTGGTTTATTATAGTATTCTACTTTTGCATGTATTTGAAATTTTCATTAATAAGTTAAAAAGTAAAATAAAATGACAAATTTCAAGAATATCTGCTTCTTAAACAAAAACCAGAATCTGGGTTATGACATCAAAATGATGCTTGAACTTGAACATTTTACCTCTTTCCACTTACAAATTAAAGCTGGAGGGTTTTTTAATGTATATGTTTTATCCATGATTCTCAGTTTTTATGTATGATGAAAAAGTAAGTTAAAAATTTTAAATGACTAAAGTACTGTGCTTCAGAAAGACTTTTTTAAATTGCTAAATAAATAATAAGCTGTGAGTCAAAAACTGCAGGTAGGAACAGGTGAGTAAGATAATTCCTTTTGTTCCGTCATAAAGTTCTCACTCACAGTGAATGACAAGTAGATTATCTCCTACTAATAATTACATAACATTTTGCAGTTGCGAAGTTTAATTTTAAGGTAGTTTCCTAAAAGAATAAAGTAAATCAGAAGGATTAATGGTAGAAGTATCTTTATAAAGATAGTAAGAAAAAGGTTCTTAGTGTACTTGTTTCTTCCCCAGAGTTCCCAAGGCAAACATAAAGGTATTCTATTTTGTACAAGTTTTTGGGGAAGGAAAACTTCCTCAAAAACAAAACCCTGACAAAGAACCTGTTATTTGTGAATTTGAAGCTTGTTTAGAAAAAAAAGGCCTTTTACTTCTGCTAAAACCTTGAATTGTTCCTTATTTGAGACATTTAATATGTAACTTGGAAAAGATATACATTTGTCCTGGGGAGACAATGGAAAGGCACTTGAATTTTGGCATCTGCTTTTTCTCTCTACTAAGGCAGTGCACAATGGTGCAGAATAAGAGTCTGATCTTTTTCTTTTTGTCCCATTGCCTCAGTTTTTAGCTCACATTTCTTGTCTCAAGCCCACTGGTTTACAAATAATTACGTTCTCTGCTAAGTCATGTGGCACATGGACCATCAAGGCAGATGAAGCATGTGTTACTGCTTTGAAGCTGCAGCCCACAGTTACCCCCTGTATCAACACTTCAGATGCATGTCATTTTTAAAGAGAAAAAGTGATTTCTGGTGGTAGTTGATTTATAGCATTCCTTTCTCAGATTTCAAGCCTGGTGACAAGTTGTTGATTTAATTTTTTTAAAATGTAGCTTTAAAAAAATTTATTCTTTTGGCATATTAGCTTGAAGAATGAGTGACCACTTTAGTTTTTGTGTTTGTTTTTTGCTGGTCTAAGCAATTGTGGCTATCAGGTTGAAGACAGGGTAGGAGAGAAAGAAAGGAATTGAGGGAATGGGAGAATAGGAACTGGAAACGGGCGAATGATGTTTTTAAAGGATTGAGACTAATTGTCCCTTGTCATAGATGCTCTCTCGTCTTCTCCATAATATCTAGCTCATTTGTTGAATGCCTTCTGAGGACCAGACACTGGAGTTGGCTTGTAATTTAGCAAATAGCAATGGGAGCCCTCATTTTATTTTCTGGTAGCAGGATAAACTCTTACCTAGTAACTGAGTACCTCTACGTGTTCATACCATGCTATATATTATTCCATTTTCTCTCTATAACAAATTTCTGAGGCTGTTGTAATTCTCAGTATGCAAATGGTGAACCAGACTCAGAGACGCTAATTTACTATGGTCTTTCCTGGATAGTAAGTGCCAGAGCCCAGACACAAGCTCAGATTGCAATGCTGAGGTCCAAGATCTTTCTACACCATCCAGCTATCTGAGGAGTTGGGGGTGGGGGGGCAGCATTTTAGTTTTTTTCTTTATTCCATCTTAGAGGAAAACTGTCCTCAGGATAGCATAATCCCACCCTCCAGAGAGTCTTGTCTTTTGGGATGATGTCTTTTTGCAAGGCTTCCCTTGAGTTCCTCCTCCTTAAACTGGAGGACCAACATTCACCCAGGAAAGGTGCAGCATTCTCAGACATCAGGCATGGATGGGCCAGAAAGCTCTAGGCAGATTGAGTTTAAGATTTGCTCAGGTTTTGTTGTCAGTAGGTTCTCTTAATGTACATCTTAAGCTAGAACTCAGAAGATGAAAATACAATCAGTGAGTTCAGCATAGGTATGATAGCTCTATTTGCCTTTTTATACCCCAGTCATCATTGGCTTCACTGTACCTACTTCTCTTATTTTGACTGACTGTAAGTGAAAAAACTAGGTGGTGGCTTTGTTGGAAATTTTAAAATTCATTCTCAAAGTGTGATCCTGCAGACTTCTGAGAGTTCCAGAGACATTTTCAGGAAGTCTGCAGTTCCAAACTGTTTTCCTTATAATACGAAGATTTTATTCATCCTTTTTTCCCCACTGTGTTGACATTTGCCCCAATGGTGCAAAAGAGAAATGGTGGGTAAAAGCATGGCACCAAACTATAAAGTCATCATTGTATTCTTGATGGCCACGTAGTTGCAGGAGGAAGAAATCTAGTTTCACTTAAGAATGTCTTTGATGGAACAGTAAACATTATTCATGTTATTAAAGGTCAATCCTTGACTATATACCTTTGTAACATTCTGTGTGACAAAATGGGAAATATGCTAAAAGCATTCCTGCTTCATACTGAAATACTGTTGTGTCTCAAGGAAAAGCACTTGTGTGATTGAGTTGTTAGCTGAGCTAGCCACTTTTTGCATGGAACACCATTTTTACTTTGAAAGAATGACAGACAAACCATACTGTGGAACTGGCAGATTTTTCAGACATTGTCTAAAAAACGAATGAACTGCGCCTGTTACTTCAGGGAAAACAACTGTAAGTATTTGGTGCCAGTGATAAAATTAGAGCCTTCAAAACATAATTCGAATTTTGGAAAGTTTATATCCACCATTGTGAGCTTGACAACTTCCCAGTACTTATTCTTTTCTCATGAGTTTGTTGTTATTAACGATTGTAATTTTTAAAAATTGTGTTATGAGATATGTCAACATTTAGAAGATGACTTCCAATGATTCAGTGAACACGTATTTTCACAATGGCCAGTACGAGATGTTATAAAATCATTTATGGGTCAAGGATCTCTTGAAAGCGTAAGGTAGACTCATGTATATTAATTTAAAGTATGAAAAGTTCATTGATACAGTTTTATATTGCAACCAACTTTTGAGAAACTACGCCTTGTTTACTTTTGTGTGGTATTAAAGAAGAATATCTGCAATTATCTGAAAAATCTATTAAAATTATATTTTTAAATTACTCTGTGTGAGGCTGGACTGTATTCATGTACTTCAACTAGAACAACATTACAGTGGCTTGAATACAGAAGCAGATATGAGAATCTAGCTGTCAGGCTGGGCGCAGTGGCTCACGCCTGTAATCCCAGCACTTTGGGAGGCCGAGGCGGGCAGATCACGAGGTCAGGAGATCAAGACCATCCTGGCCAACATGGTGAAACCCCGTCTCTACTAAAAATACAAAAAAAAATTAGCTGGGTGTGGTGGTGCGTGCCTGTAATCCCAGCTACTCGGGAGGCTGAGGCAGGAGAATCACTTGAACCAGGGAGTCAGAGGTTGCAGTGAGCCAATATTGTGCCACTGCACTCCAGCCTGGTGACAGAGCGAAACTCTGTCTCAAAAAAAAAGAAAAAAAGAAAAAAGAAAGAATCTAGCTGTCTTTTTTTTTAATTAATTAATTAATTTATTTATTTTATTTTTATTTATTATTATTAGACTTTAAGTTTTAGGGTACATGTGCACAATGTGCAGGTTAGTTACATATATATACATGTGCCATGCTGGTGCGCTGCACCCACTAACTCATCCTCTAGCATTAGGTATATCTCCCAATGCTATCCCTCCCGCCTCCCCACTAGCTGTCTTCTTTTAAGTCAGACATTAAAGAGATTTGCAAATTGTAAAATAATGCCACTCTCTCTATCTTTGGGGGGATGTTTGAAAATGTAGTTATATTTTATTAAAATGTGTATACTAACATGTAATGGAATTGTTATTGTTTTTAATAAATGATAAATATTTTTAAATGTCTCCATTTAAATTTCTAATTTGACAAATATCAGTAGAATCCATTCAAAGGGGTACTTGGACCAAAAAATTTTACAATTTCTAGGTTATTTTTTTCTTACATTCTTTCAAAAGCCCAGTGCTTTAAATTTTAATGACCACAGGGAGAAGGAACTGACACATATTTGTGTATGTTATAATCAGAAAAAAATATGTACAGTTAGGTGATACAGGTGACAGAATTGTCATTTTTTTGAAACTTTCTTTTTGTTTCTGATTATTTCTGCTGTGCAGTGTACTTTTTCAGCCAGTTTTTGTTATAAGCCTGTTCTCATAAAAATAAGGTCAGGAAGTGACACCAAAACAACTCAGAAGCCTGTGGTGGTTTCTAACTTTAGAGCTGCCTGTTACAGATAGCTTCATGCTAAACCTTTGCTTGATTTGAGCAGAACAAGGCAGTCACGATACTTCTGAACAAGTGATCAGTGCTGTGAGCACTAAAAGCTGAACCTCAAAAACAGCTCAAGATCCATGGACAGAGCCTCAGGAGACACATTTCTATGGCACTCGCTTACTGACTAGCATTCTCCTTTTCTAATCAAGGTTCTTGAAAAACAGAGGCTGACTCGTTTGTTAATTTTTTTCAAGCTTTATTGTTTTTTCCTTGAAATTATAGTGATGTGGTATTCTCTCTATGGAACTGAGGTTTGGGTAAAACAAGAATGATTTAATTTTTTGATAGAAAAGTTAATTGCTCCAGTGTCTGTTTTCATTATACTTCCATTTTATTTCCAGCAACCCCTTATCTCTCTGCTCTCTTTGTTTCAAATGAACAAGACAGTAGAGTTTGTTTTCCAGGCCACTTGTGTTGGTAACCCTTTTCCTAAGCTTTCCCTAATAACACCCTGTGTCAGTGGACAGGTAGTAGGTAGGAAGACCTGCTTCTTCCCTTCTACCGTGAAACTCGTCTTCAGCATCATTCTTTCATCCTGATGGCTGAGAGTTGTGTTCTGGTCTCAAGTCAGCAGTGGATAACCCACTGCATGAAGTTGATGGGGAGTGTGGGCATGGACAACAGTGGCCTGAGGTTGCAGATACATTCTTTGTATATGTAAGAGACCACCTTATATTTTGTAAGTGGAAACTTAGTTCTCATAGGATTTTGGAGAAAATCAGTTGCCTCCTCTAGGAATTTTCATTTGTTTACAAAATGTCCTGGGTCAAGCAATACTTTTATGTTATCCCCACTTAGGTTTAGTGGATCCATCCATCCATCCATCCACCCACCCACCCACCCACAGAGTATTTATGTAGAAAACTATGTAATGGATGTATATATTCATGCATGTGTGTATGCATGTACTTAGTAATGACACTGGTTTGTTCTCACAGAACTCAAAATTTGGTGTGTATGTGGAGACATAAACAATTAGAAAGGTTAACATAATATGTACCTCCACAGGTGGTACATGCTATGGAGAAAATAAAACAGAGTAAGAGGACAGAGATGGGTCCTATGTGTATGCTGTTTTGTTCAAATCAGATGGTCAGGGAAGGCCCCTCTGATGAGGTATCATTTGAGCCAGAGGTCTGAAGAAAGGGAGGGAGTGGACCTTGAGTCTGTCTATTGGGATGGGGAACAGGAAGTGCAAATACTGTAAGGGTTGCAGCAGGGAGAGGAGTGTAGCTGGGCCTTGAGGTCAGGGGAGGTGCCCACATGGTTGTTGGCACAACTTTGGTGCCCTGCTAATGTCACTTTCCTCTTCAAGAATACCCTTGTCACTTAAGTGATGTTCACTTATGCTTGCTGCTGGCTTACCATTTGGCTCACTGAGCACGTCTTTTCCCCTTTGGTTAGGGGCTTGAAGAGCACAGCATCACATCTATTTATGACTTGATGTATTTTGCTAATGCGGAAACCATTCCAAATTCATGATAACAACTTTCTCCAGTTCTGTGAATTCCCTCATGGTTTCTTTTTGTTCTAAGCCAAATTAGGAGCCAATCCCCAGCTTAATAAGCATTAAAAGTTCAAATTGACTGTCTGGAAATCTATAACAAGTCCATGCACTCCTAAATATAATTAGCTGTAATTCAGTTCTAGTTATGGATTATTAAGAAATTACTCTTATTTGAGCACCTCACTCATCAAAAATAAAGTCAGAAAATTTAGGCGCAGCTGGAATCTTCTGCTCTTTTTTTTTTTTTTGAGACGGAGTCTCACTCTTGTCGCCCAGGCTGGAGTGCAGTGGCGCAATCTCAGCTCACTGCAACCTCCACCTCCCGGGTTCAAGCGATTCTGCTGCCTCAGCCTCCTGAGTAGCTGGGATTACAGGCGCGCAGCACCACGCCCAGCTAATTTTTGTATTTTTAGTAGAGATGGGGCTTCACCATGTTGGCCAGGCTGGTCTCGAACTCCTGATCTCAGGTGATCGGCACCCCTTGGCCTCCCAGAGTGCTGGGATTATAGGTGAGCGCCACCATGCCTGGCCAAATCTTCTATTCTTGAACTTGTGGTGAACTATCATTTGTTGAGGAGTTTTAATAAGTGTTAGTGATAGATCTCTACTAAATAACTGGAGAGGTAAGTAGGTTGGAGCTCAGTCTTGGTACCTTATAGGGACTTAGTATATAGCTTTTGGAAAGTTAATTCTTACTGAATTTTGATGATACTTCTTGTTTCATGTAAATGTGGATGCTTCCGTTATGTGAGTCCTAAGATTTGGGATTTACCAAGTACTGAGAATAGGACCTTCAAAAAATATGAAATGCCAAGAGGATCTGTTTTAAAGCAATGGAATTATTTGAGAATTTTGAAAAATACAGATTCTCAGGACCCAGTCTGAATGAGAATCTCTGGGGAAGAGGCCAAGGAAACAGAATTCAGGTAAGCACCTTGGCTGCTTCCAGTGGTTGGCCAATTTGGATATCCCTGTTGTGTCCTAAATTATACCTAATTTGATTAAAGTTTTGGTGGCTGGGAGGTTTGCTAGTTGAAAAACACATACAGGAAAAAAAAAATGTACAGGGGAGTGTATTGCTTTGGTGTAGTCGTTTAAGAGTTGACAAAAACCCCAAATGTATTCTTTTAAGAACCTTTTAAAATGCTGCGACAAGGGTCAGGTTACAGTTTTTGCGTTGTTAGGGGGGCACATGAGACTCAGCAGCTACAGGCCTTGTTAATGTCTGCAAACACTCAGTGCTAATGTGGAGACTCAAGCCAGGCTTGAAAGTGATAAAATCAGGATGGGAATGTTGGCTTTGCTGCCCATCAACTGTTAGACTGGAGACAAGTTACAGGCATTTCCTTTTTTGTGGGGTAACTGAGACCAGGAAAAGACAATTGAAAGTGGTTCCAGTTAAAATGGGAGCCACAGTTTTTTCGTAGTATATATCTTTAAAAAGGTTTGATTAATACTGTTCTTAAAATGACAACAACAATTGTGAAAGGAAATTTCATTCATCTTATATTTATCAGTGTTTGGGTTCCAGTGGCACCTGTGTGCTAATTCTTAGAACCAAGAATGGATCACATAACTCAGTAGGTATTTCTCTGACTGATTTGAAAGCATGATAACAGCTTCCACTTCACGCTGACTTTCTCAGCATTGTGCCGAGCAGAGTTATTTTTGCAAAAAGGTTTGAAGATTTCATCAGTTTTTCCAGTAGACAGGCATGGCTCCACCAGTGTTGGTCTCCTCTTTGTTGGTGATGAACTCGACATCCGAGATTTACTCTGTCAGGGGTTTGCTGTGATTGGAGTAGTGTATTAGTCAATTTCATGACTTCCCGCATCCACTACAAGATCTCACTTTTTGATCCGGGGCTGATTTTTGTGGCACAGTTTGTATTATGGGATGTATCTGCTACTCAGAAAGGGAGAACAACAGCCATTTACATGGTGGGCAGGAATAGGGTAGTTTTAAGCAAGGAGGGGTGTTAGAGTAGGGACTGATTTAAAAGTGGTCATTCTGTTCATCAGAGACTATTCTCATGCTCTGACCATTTAGTTTATCTAAATCTTAGGATTATAGGGATTTTAATAATTAATACTCAGATGATGAGTTCAGGTGTCTCTGTAAAATGAATAATGCATTTATTATTAAGTCTAAATACCCTACCATTCTGAAGGCGGGACTGCATGTCTAATACCACCATCTTATCTAATGGTTCCTTGGGATCCACCCAGGCACAGGAGAACATAACAATGCTTGGAGGGGTTCTAACCTAGGACTTCAGAAAGAATTCATCGACAAAGACTGAAGCTTAACTCTAGGAGGGAACTGTATTGATTTCCTTAAACATACTAAGGAATGGCAATTCAGTAGGACTCTGCTGTCCCCTTCCAGCCCCTCCTCAGTGAGGACCTGGTGGGGACACTCAGCCAGAGTGTGAAAGGAACAGCTTCAGGGCCCTGCTCAAATGTGTCTGGGAGCTGTCACTTTTTCCATGCCTCTTTCTCGGGTGTTGGACGTCCTCATTTGAGACTTTTAATTCCTACATTCTTGGTCTTTGCCTCTCTGAATGCTTGAAGGTCACACTTAGGTACAGCCTTTATAGAACCTTTTGTCTGATATGCAGAATATTGACTGCATGCTGGCTGTGTCTGTCTGTCTGTGCCTCTGTCTTTCTCTAGCCAGGGATTACAGACTGCCCATGGGCTGAAATCAGCCTGCAGACCAGTTTTGCTTTGTATGCAGCATGGAATAATGCTTTTGAGGTTTTCCAACTTGAGCTCTTCAGACAGGGCAGGGTTCTCCAGTGTCCCACATCCCCTGTTGTCTGAATTTCCTCTGAATTCACACCTCTATGCCTCCTTCTCTGGCCTCAGTTTGCAATCCTGAATCTGAGCATTTGTCCCATGTGTTTACTGGGCAGTGTGCAGTGGCCTTGGGGGAGACTTTGAAACATGTTTTAGTGAGAAGGATCACTTCTTTACTGAAGTCAAAACTGAAAATACTTTCCCTTCGTGGAATACCATACAGGCGTCTCTCTTGCACTGTTCAGCATCCCATCCTACTCAGTGGCATTCCCACTCTAGGTTTTGGGTAGTACAGAGTCTCACTGCTTTGGGGAGCTTTTGGGGGCATGGTGGAGAGAGAAATCTCTTCATTTTTTCAATTTGTTTGGATCAGAAGATTAGCCTGCTTTCAGGTAATAGGTCTACTTTTAGTGATGCCTACAGTTCCCTGAATGCCCCCCAAAAGTTAATTTCTGGTGTCACTGTTAATCCTTACAGTCAAAATTTCCTGGGAATTGCTATTGGGGATCTGTAGCTGTGCTGGAGATAGGGGCATGGGTAGGGGAGGACCATCAGTTTTGGATCAGATGGACTTGGTTCTGCTGCCTGTCCTTCCTTGCTGCGTGACCTTAAGCAATGGTTGCCTTATGTGTAAAACAAGGGGCTAATGATACCTAAACCCAGGGTTGCTGCAAAGGTTACATGAGCTTATGCACACAAGCACACACCCACAAAGTGTAGCATTAGGATCTGATGCAGACTATGTTCCCACCCACTTGGGAAGGAAATCCGTGCCCCATTTACTTCCATGTACTTGGTGGTGAATCATCTAAAAGATACTGGAAAAATGTGATTACAGATGCCCCCTTTCTCGGCCATTGCTTCAAATCCTAGACAGCTATTGAACGTCACCGGATAGACGTCATATTCTAGGAGGGTGTCAAGTACATACAGGTCTGTGTTTCTATGTGCTTTTTGTAGGAGCTATCAACTATAAAGCTGTGGGTATGAGAATTTCAGGGCAAGGTCGGGAAGGTGTAGGAGGGATTCACTAACTCTGGGGAAAGTGTGTGCTGCTTTGTCAGTTTCCTGTTCGCTAGGCCACAGGGAATATGTTGGCTCTTTCTGAATCTGCCCACCAGAGCCAATGTCATACCTTTTCCCAAGCCACTGCTTGAGGGTCCAGCTAATTGATGCCACCGCATTGCCTCTCCTGGTGAGGACCGACTGTGCCATGGGGGTGGTGGCTGTGGGCGTAGACAGCCCTGTTCATGGGCATGCACACTGCCATGGGTGCTCCATGGGAATGCTGGTAGATAGCAGAACATGGATCAGGAGTTCTACTCTCCAGGATAGCATGACCCAGCCATGGGCTCAAGGAATTGCTCTTTGGGATATGTTTGAAACTCATCCCCTACTCTGGCCGATTCTTTCAGTACAGATACAGAAATGCAATGAGAACCTTCTCCCTGTAGTTCTGTTAAGATAAATGAGTGGTAGTGGCTCATACCTGTAATCCTAATACTCTGGGAGGCTGAAGCAGGAGGATTGCTTGAGCCCAGGAGTTCAAGACCAGCTGGGCAACATAGTGAGATGCCAGGCATCTCCACCAAAAAAAGAAAAAAAAATCCAGGCATGGTGGTGTGCACCTGTATTCCCAGTTACTTGGGAGGCAAGAAGATTGCCTGAACCCAGAGGTTTGAGGCTGCAGTGAGCCATGATTGTGCCACTGTGCTCCAACCTGAGTAACATGAGTGACACAGTGAGACCCTGTCTCAAAAAAAAAAAAAAAAAAAAAAAAAGAGTTAATGTTTATAAGGTGTTTCTAGGTCCCAGGAAAAAGAAATGTTTTAAAAGTAGATTGTATATGCTACTTGTTATTAATTTCTTATCTCTAGAGATTGAATGGTAAGAGCCAGGGCCAGCATTGTACATTGTCAGGCAGCATTGCCCCTGTCGTCTGCCTTTTCCTCCTGTTACTAGGAGCTTGTTAGGTTTGGTCACCAGCCTGATGACCTGATCAAATGTTGCCTGTCAACTTGGAGTGACTGTGGTTGTTTATTTTGTTATTTATTCACCAATAAATTGAGTTGGTTCACTCTGTGTATTTTTACAGCATTTGGCCTTTTCCCAAATATTTGCCTTAGTTTATTAAATTAGCTTCTCAGTTATAAGTTAAAGTGTGTGTTGACTTTTATGATTTTAATTTTACAGGCTTGGTTGGCTTTGAATGACCAGATGGCATCTCTTGAGTCTGTGAGCAGGTTTTGTTTCACTTAGGACTTCACCCCCACCCCGTTCTTAAAAATGGTGATATGTTAAATCCACTTTAAATCTAGTATTTGATTATTAATTAAAATATCTCTTATGCATTTTGAAGGTAAAATTACAATTTTGTTCCATGTGAAATGGGAGCATGTGTTGACAAACCGTTGATTAACTTGAGTGGATTTGGGTTAATCTTTTTACTCTGCTCCATGCTGCCTGCCTGTAGGGTAATATAAATCCGTTGGGCTGTTGCTAGGCTCAGCTGCTTCTGAGTAGTTTGACAGGTTTCATCCTGTTAAAGGCTCTTTTTCTCTAGGCCCTAGATTCTAGGGGTATTGGGGTGATGCTGGTGAATGGAGTCTAACTGCGTATTTGCTTCTTGCTTCCAGCACCAATTGTGGCCAATGGAGTGAGGCAAAGAGCACTGGTGTGGCTAAATTACTCCTTCTGCAGTCCCCAGCATATTATTGGATGCTCTTTTTCCCTCTCCCAGAGCTTTCCTTATCTTCTAATTTCAAAGATAAGCGTTACCTGTAGGCAACGCACCCGACCTCTATCCCTGTTGTGGTAGCTACACATAAACATAGCCATCATGGCCAGGTCCCTTGGGTGGTCACATTTCCTACTGTTCTGATCACCTTCCACTATCAACACTGACCAGTGTGCCTGGCTAATTCCAAACCGTGCGAATGGCTGTGTTGCCTGGGCTCATGAAGCCTGTCAGGAAGAGCTGTGGACAGATGATTTTTGAAAATGAGGGTGATTGCAAAGGGACAGAAAGTATGAGACATCGTGGATGCTGTCTTTTCCTTAGGCCTTCAGTCATTTGAAGTCAGGACTTCCAAGCCTGGATATCCAGTGGGCTTCTGGGGAAAGTGGATCAGAGCTCAGCAAGGATTGAGCCCCAGCGACTTCCAACAAACCATCCCATCCAACAGAGGCTGTCTTCACTATGCAGACCTTTGAGCCACCTCAGAAGACACCAGCCTTCATGCTCATCCTTTACACGTCTCTTTGGTTCATGTACCAGTCCCTTGTCCTCCTCGGTGACCAAGATAGGAATGGTGTCAACGGATGATTATGGCATGACATAGAGTAACTCTTTGCATAAAAGAGTGGACAGGGCAGGCACTTAACACTTGAGGACCCCTGTTCCAGTCAGCCACAGATGTATTTATTAGGCCTTAAACTGATGGGATGGTTCTTGGATTTTTCAGTTTAAAACCTATAGGGGGACTTTACTTTTGGCCAAATGCTGAAACAAGTATTGGATTTATCTTCCCATGTGAAAAACAAAATATGGACAAAATAAATGAAACAATGATTTGTAAGACACTGGATACATCAGACAACAAAGGCCAATGATTCCTGAGAGATAGGAAACAAATGAGGTGAGACCTCTGAGTTTTTTCAAACTGCCTTAAAAGAGTTTCCAAGCTATAGCACAGGAAAAGGGAACCATGTGGAGCCCAGCAGACTCCCTGAGTTGAGGATTGGATCTGAGAGTCCAGAGAGACTAAGGCCACTAGAGATCATGGGATACAGTACTAGAGAAGAGACAGCTGCACCAAGACATAACTCTGGAGGTGTACAAAGTTCTGAGAACTGATCAGTGTAAAGAAGCTGCCTGAGTCTGGGGAAAGCACCATTCAAAAGGAGCAAAGATAACTGTTTCTGGTGCTCACACGGGGCCAGAAATAGTGCTTCTGCCACCAACCAGACTGGAAAACTTCAAGAGTCATGGAGCATTGGGTAGAGTAGAGTACATAGAAGGGCCTTGCTTGCTTAGTGGGGAATAACTAACCCAACTGAGCATGGCTTTAAATCTAAAAAGCAAGATCTGATAGGGCCGAACTATTTCTGAGTAACTTAGCTGTGTCCCAGATCAAAGCTGATTTTATAGAAATACAAAACTATCACTCAATAGGCAAAAACCAGTGTCTGGCATCCAACCAAAAATTACCAGATGTACAAAGAAGCAAGAAAGTACAACCCATAATGGGAGCAAATCAACCAATCAAAACTGACCCAGAATTAACGCAGATGTTACAATTAGCAGATAAGGACATTAAAATGGTTATTATAACTATATTCCATATGTTAAGCAGAAACATACTTGTCTTTAAAAAGACAAGTAGAAAAGTGAAAATGGAGAAAATAAACAAAAAGACCCCAATTGGATTTGAAACATGGGTTGCTTTTCTATGACTCCATCCTTATGTTACTTCAACCGAACCCATATGACCTGAACCTGGCCCCTGCTAATTTATCTGAACCATAAGCTCCTACTTATCTTCTCAGTGCTCTCTCTAGCCAGGACTGTGGGGTCATCCCTGCAGTGCTAACTCAGTGATGCCCAGGGGTCACTTGACCCTTTAATCTTCCTTCATGCCTGCTGTGCCAATGCCTGACCTGAGCAATCATCTCACAGATGATTGGATGTTGCTGGCTGGACCCATGGCATATAAATTTTTGGCATTAAGCAGATACTTAGCAAAAACGGAAGCATTCTTCTTGTGTTGGTTTCTCAGCAATTCTAAAACTTTTACACCTGAAAGCCCCTTCCCACTTTTTTTCCCACTCATATTCTCTTTCTCTTACTCTGCTGAAAAAATCCTGCAAGATCTGCCATCTTTATGTGCCTGCTGTCCCTCAGTGTGGCCATCTCTTTTCTTCCTTTCTGCTGGCTGCCAGGGAACCTCTCTTCCTACAGAAGCTACACCTTTTCCTGGGTGGATCCATCCTCTCTGGCCTCTTAACACATTCTCACATGTTCATTTACCTGGACTGACCACACTTTGTTTAGTCCCTTGCTCTCCTTTGGCTGCTTCTCCTGTGGTGATTTAAACAGAAAAAAAAAATTCTTCACCTGATCATAGTATCCTCAGCTACCATCCTATTTCTTTCCCCCCTTTGCAGCCAACTATCTTGACAAACGTTTTGTATCTGCGTCTCACCACCAACTTTCTACTCAGCTCCTGCTTCGCTCTTGCCCAGACACTTTCTAATTACAAAGTGTACCTCTCCTTTCTCTGCAATCTTTCGTGTGACCGTGATGCTGCATTTGGTTCTGTTTCATGTTCTCCCTTTGGGCACCTCAAACGACTGCAAACCCTTGGCCTCTATTCTGAGTGGTGGTCCCCAGCACCCCAGCTCCTTTTCTCCCATTCCCTTCAGTGATGACAACCTTCATCATTTCTTTTTAAGCGCCCCCCCCCCGCCCCGCCCATGTACCCTGTGCCTATATTCTAAGCAAGTGGCTTAGATCCTACTTAATCTGGAAAATTGCATCAGGTGTGAGTGACTTCCCTCAACTACACTGACTTTATCTGCATTCCCACCCATCCTGAGTCCTTAGCCTCTGTTCCAGAGGATAGTTGTCATTGCTTTTGCTAAAGACCTGTGCTTCCTCACGAACTTTGCTTCCCTTTCTTTAACTTCTCCATTTCCTTCTCTCATTTTCTTTCTCTGATCTGTAAACATGGCCAGGCCTCCTCCTCCTAAAAATCTCCTTGGGTACTTTCTAATTTGTCTCCTTTTTTTCATCCGGATATGTTGAGAGTACAGCCTACATACTAATTCTTCACTTCATTGCCTTCTATTTTCTCTTCCAGCCGCTACTTAAGCTCTCTGGCTTCCCTCACCACTATTCTGCTCAAGTAGCGCTTGATAAGGTCACTGAGGGCATCTATATTGCCAAATCCAGTAAGCAGTTTCCAGGCCCCATCTTATTGGACATCTCTGTTGTGTTTGGCAGTGCTCATCACTCTTCCACCTCAGAGCCCACACTTTTTGACTTCTGCAACTCTGAAGTCTGGATCATCCCATTCTTCCCTTCTCTTCCTTTCTCGTATCTTTGGGCTTCTCTACCACCCTCTGCAGTTTGTATCCTTGGGGGATCCATCTTCAGCCCGCCGCTGTCCCCATTCACATCTCTGGTCATCTGTTTCAGTCTGGGATTTCACTCTGCCTGTTGCTCTCCACTCCTCCGTCTATATCTGCAGCCCAGGTCTCTCCCCTGAGTTCCAGCTTCCTGTGTCCAGTCGTGTGCTGGGCACTCTCAATGGGCTTCATTTAATCTTTTTTTTTTTTTTTTGAAATGGAGTCTCACTCTGTCACCCAGGCTGGAGTGTAGTGGTGTGACCTTGGCTCACTACATCCTCCGCCTCCCAGGTTCAAGCTACTCTTCTGTCTCAGCCTCCCTGGTAGCTGGGATTACAGGTGCCCACCCTCATGCCCAGCTAATTTTTGTATTTTTGATAGAGTCGAGGTTTCACCAGATTGGTCAGGCTGGTCTTAAACTCCTGACCCCAAGTGATCTGCCTGCCTCAGTCTCCCAAAGTGCTAGGATTACAGGCATGAGCCACTGTGCCCGGCATGGGCTTCATTTATTCTTTTTTTTTTTTTTTTGAGATGGAGTCTCACTCTGTTGCCCAGGCTGCACTGGCTAAGTTTTTTGTATATTTAGTAGAGACGGGGTTTCATCATGCTGGCTGGGCTGGTCTTGAACTCCTAACCTCGTGATCCGCCTGCCTCAGCCTCCCAAAGTGCTGGGATTACAGGCATGAGCCACTGTGCCTGGCCCATTTAATCTTTCAGTTAGCAAACATGCATCTTCTGTCCCCACACTCTTGAATATGAAATGTTGAATATAATGAATAAAAGCATTCCCCCTCTGCCAAGCACCATACTATCCTGATTCTGTTTCTATCCCTTTGTCCTTCCTCTGTTTCCTTCCTGGGCTCTTGTGTTCTTCACTATCTTAGAAGTGGGCGCCCATTCTCATAGGGCCTTTCATCTGCAGGGACACTCTCAGTGGTTACCTTCAGGCCCCATTTTTCCTGTGAGCCCTGGTTCTGTGCTGTCTTTCAAACTCCTCTGGCTCAGACCCCAGTTGTCATTTTCCTCCCATATCAGCACTGTCTTCACTCCATTTCTGTCATTGCCTTCTTCTGAACACTGAAGCTTGAACACACACATTTTCCCCACCTACACATTTTGTCTTTCCTACTAACTTAAAAGCAATTTGAAGTGTGTGTTCTATTGTGTACCTGTGCACCTCTCCCTCCCCAACATGGTGATATGTGAGGGTATAAAGTGAGGCAAAGAAAAGGCAAAAAGATGAAGTTCCTGTCATTTCCCATTTTAACAAGAGTTGCAGAGGGTCCCCCTACCCCCCATCTCCCACAGCAACTTTGACATTAAGTGATCACTTCAGGGGTGGTATTTGTGGAAGAGGTTTCACCCACACTTCCATTTCCTTAGGAGAGCTGAGGAAGGGGGTTAGCCATTGAAGGATGAAGATATGTAATCAATTTAATGAGGACTGTCATTTGGGGATTTTACAGGAATTTTTGACAGCATTTACTTTAGGCTACACTATGTGGAATCTTCCTTTCCCTTTGGGTAGTGGATCCCTTAATGCCATATTTGTCTGGTTCCATATCTTTCCTGTCACCTTCAGTTTTTTAAAAAAATTGTGATAAAATGCACATAAAAATCTACCTTCTGAACCATTTGTAAGTGTATAGTCCAGTGGTATTAGGTACACTCACATTATTGTAAAACCATCACCACCATCCATCTCCAGAATTCTTTTCATATTGCAAAACTGAAATTCTATACCCATTGAATACTAATTCTCCATTCCCTCTCCCTCCAGCCCTTAGCAAACACCATTCTGCTTTCTGTCTCTATAGATTTGACTACTCTAAGTACCTCCTATAAGTGGAATCATACAGTCTTTATCCTTTTGTGATTGGCTTGTTTTGCTTTGCATAATGTCTTCAGGGTTCACCCGTGTGGTAGCATGTGTCAAGATTCCCCTCCCTTGCCTCTTTTTTCTTTTCTTTTCTTTTCTTTTTTTTTTTTTTTTTTTTTGAGACGGGGTGTCACTGTCACCCTGGTTGGTGCAGTGGCATGATCTTGGCTCACTGCAACCTCTGCCCCGCCCCCGGGCTCAAGCCATCCTCCCACCCAGCTTCCTGAGTAGCTGGGACTACAGGTGTGCACCACCAAGCCCAGCTAATTTTTGTATTTTTTGTAGAGACAGGATTTTGCTATTTGCCCAGGCTAGTCTTGAACTCCTGGGCTCAAGTGATCCACTGGCCTCTGCCTCCCAAAGTGCTGGCATTACAGGTGTAAGCCACCATGCCCAGTCAATTTCCTCCCTTTTTAAGGCTGAATAATATCCCATTGTTAGTATAGATCACATGTTGTTTGTTTATTCTTCCATCAGTGGGTGCTTGGGTTATTCACTTTCAGTTTTAAAACAATCTCTTGTTAGTATTTAATATTGGATTTTGTTTATGTTGAAAACTTTGGTCTCAAACTCAGTTGAGATCTCCTTGGCATATATCTCCCAGCTTGGCTCAGCTGCTGGGCGTGAAGAAGATGATGAGGCCTTGTCCTGAGATACAACACCCCCTAACCTCTTCCCAGCTCTCCCTCCTCTCTCTTTCCTCTCCCCACCCCTGCTTCTCTCTCCTGTCCCTTTCCCCCTCCCCCAAGAGTGATAGTAAGTAAACTCACATTGTGGCAACACCCGTTGGAGTCTCCTGCCCTTAGCTTTCTGTTGGGGAGAGAATAGTCTGCCACCTGAAACACTGCATGCCCTCTAAGGCCAACACCCCTTTCCTTTCTCAGACTCATTCTGACTTTGAGGAAGTAGTCCAGAGTAGTGGAAGGGCTTAGCGGTCCTGTCTCCAGGAAGCCCTTATGGGAGGAGGCTCTCAGAACTTAAATTGTGGGGTACTTTGTGCCTTTGTCCTCAGGTGAAATTCTGGGACAACAGGAAAATTGCCACCCAACATTGTTTTAACACTTAAAAATTAGAGGGGACCTAGACTGATATGATATTTATAAGGGCTGTACATAGGAGCCCTGAAATTCTGTCTTCTCTCTCCATCCCTTTTTCAGTATCCTTCATACTTGAAGAGGAGGGGTTGGGGTCCAGTATAGAATGGGATTTTAAAGTCCCTTTATTAATCATTATTTCCAGAGGCGAGACTGCTCCTTAAGGATAGACGTCTTTGAAAGGGCTTCCTTCCTGTTGTCTGGACCCAATTGCTTTACCACATAGAACCGTCATTACTTTCCCTCTTTTTGGCGGTCTTTTTTGAGCTCTCATTGTTGGTCTAACTGAAAGCACCTGATTTCTAGGGCTTTAACTGAAAGCACCTGATTTCTAGGGCTGTCAGTGCAGCACAGCAGAGACTGCTCTTCAAATGGTCTGGCTTAGTGGTTTCTAACCCTTTTGATTAAGAAGACCACTGCTAAATTTCCCAGAGCCTCACCTAAGTGTTGTACTTTGTGTCTCTTTTGACTAATCATATACTTAATGACAAAAATTTGGTAAATTAGTGAAGCCTTTAATTGGGCATATTTTTAATTTATGAAAGTATATCGGCACTTGTGCATATGTTAGGCTTATTTTTCATTCGGAGACAGTGCTTGGTGCATTGTAGATTTATGGTTCCTTATAAGGAGTCCTCCTTCTGTCTTTGAAGTCTTAGACACACAGCTTGGGAATGGTCCTAATAGACTGTTTCCTTTAAAAAAAGAAAGAAAGAGGAGCCTGTAGTGTGATTGAATCTCTATCTGACAAGGCTTAACAGTCTAAATGAAAACATCTAGGTTGAAAGTGTGTTTGTGTTTGCAGTACATTTGTGTATGAGGGTTTTTGTGGATGTTTTCAAGGACTGATGAGGAAGCCACACATGGGTTATTTCTCTACTGAAAGGGTAGAGGCCAGGTCATCTGACCTACTGATTAAACTTGAAAAGGGAGAGTGTGTCTTTTGCCATCTCAAAGGCCAGCTGTTTATTGAATTTCTCCACCCTGCAATTGTCTTACATACGGAATAGTTCCTGGAGAAAGATCTAACATCTGCGCAGGTCTATCCTGTTCTGTGGCTGTGTTTACTAAAGTGAGTTCTGCGCTTACATTCACACACTGCAAACTGCACGTACGATGTAAGTGTACTTGTCATGTAGAGTTTTACCAAAACTATATTAGATTATACTCTGAAGCATGTTTTGCATCTGACAGGTCGAGCTCATTCATTCAGTATTAAGTCCCTCATGGGCCAGGCTCTAGCCTGTGTCCTGGTGATAAGGAGGTGAATGTGACAGAATTCCTATTTTCAATAAACTCACTGTCTGGAGAGGAAGGTGATCATCAAAATAAATTTTAGCACGATGTGTAATGATTAATGCACAGAGGATCTTTGGAATCTCCAGGAAGAAGGCCTGACAACCTCTGGATGAAGGATGGGATGGAAGATAAAGTGGACTTAGAGAGATGTATCGTGTGGCTCTGTCTTTATCCCTGGAAAGGTTAGCCTAAGCATGGGGTAGGTGCTGGTTTCTTTTGCTGAGAAATGTCTCAGAGAACCTCAGAGTAGCAGGAGGCCTTTGTGATAGATTGGCCAGCAGTTTTTATTTCCCTGACCTTTCAGCATCAAAAAGTGCCAGTTGGACCCTGGGTTTTGCCTTGGAATTAGTAAATAGATAGTTCAACAGCAATGGTTGAAAAGCCTCTTGGAGTCTGTCCCATGAGAGTAAGGATGTTAATTCTGAAGCCTGGGCCATTTTCCATCCTGGGAATTATACTCTGCCCCTTCCTAAATTCCCATTGTGGTTTCAAATGAAGAGGCCATTGTTCACTTTCCTTCCTAAAAGAAGCAATATATTTAACTTCTGGCTCTTTGCCTGACTGATGGCGAGTTGATCTCTCTGAAGCCAACACCCGTGGCTTCCTATCAAGAGAAACACTCTGCCTCCATCTGATTTCCTTCTTGGGTTGAAGTTATTTAGATCCTACACTGGCTCAGTAGGAGGCTTGCCTGCCGTTATGTCCTACTAGGTGGTGACAGGGCCCTTGATTCCCTCCCTGTGTTTAATAGAAATAAAGACAGAGTCTTAGCGCTTTAGGGCAGCTAGTTGTTCTCCCAAAGACCTATTATAGGAATTTAAAAGCAAATGTCTGATGTGAAAATCTATGCTATTTTAGGGACTTTGAAGCACAACACAAAAGAGTATCACTTTGTTGAATAGTTTGGGTCCAGGCAGGTGTCCTAGAGCAGAAGTTTTCATTTATTTTTAAGCAACAAAATTCTTTCTTTCCCAAATGAAATCTCCTACAGAATCCAAATACTGAAGGGTTTCTCAACCCCAGCATGCTTGGTATTTTGGGCCAGATAATTCTTGTTGTAGAAGCTGTTGTGTGTGTTGGAAGATGCTTAGCAGCATTCCTGGCTTCTACCCTCCAGATGACATAAGTGGCACCCACATTCTCTAGTTGTGACAACAAAAATGTCTCCAGACATTGCAAAATGTCCACTGGGGAGCAAGATCACCTCCAGTTGAGAATCAATGCAATATAATCTAGAAAACAGACTTTTAATTAAGCTCCTCCTTTAGAACTCTGCCCAGGGTCCCTGACTGTTAGTGTTTGAGACCTGGTGGGGCGTTCTGGGCTACACAGATGCACTATCCTAGAGGGTTAAGTTGTCATTTTAAAAACCTGGGACATAGAGAACTTGTTATAAACAAAGCAAAAGAGCTAAAATTAGACAAATCCACAAGTACTTTGAACCCACATGTACACTAAATATTTCTGTCTATGTATTATGTATACATTGTGTACTTGGATGTGTAGCATAAGGGAAGAGTCGAAGGGTGGTGTCTGCCTTACTCCTTATGTGTTGAGGTTTGGCTACCACAATTTGCCCTGTTTTGCCAGAGATGCCAGTTGAAGGCCTGTGACTGACAGCCCAGTGATAGAGTCACCCTCACTGCACAAAATACTCAGCTTCTGTGGGATTCAGTGGCCCTGGCCCTGCTCATGGGCATTCCGTGGTGAGTGGGCCAGCACCTGCAGCCTCTTTCAACCAGACTGGTTGGTTGGAGCTTGGACCATGGTTATTCCAAGGTGGATTTTTATCCTTCTGCCCTTTGTACTAAATGGGTCATGTGTGCCTCTGTACGTGTGTGTGTGCGTGTATGTGTGTGACTACACGTGTCTGTGTCTGCTCTTCTCCTTTCAGAAGCCCAGAGCCACTCTGGGCCTGGCCACTCTGAGCATTGGTTGTGTGGGGGATGCTGGGAGCTTGGCACATGCTACTCCTCCTTTTTCCTCCCTTAGAATGATGAAAGTGTTGTTGGAGCCTGTCCCACAGACAGAAACTGTACCTCATTTATGTGGGCATCAGTATAAACAAGAACAATACCACTATGTGAGTCACCCTCACCTGCGGGGAGACGCATAGGCTCAGGGAGGGAATTTGCTGCCAGAGGGTCTCAGCTTCAGTCTGTCTCCCCGGCAGACTCATCCTAACTTCATTCCACAGCTCAAGTGCAGTGTGAATCAGCAGGCAGCCTGTGCCTAGCTAAAGGACTCTCTCTGTGTTTTGTTTGTTTGGTTGCTTGTGAAGATCTCTGGGCACATACAGCAGTGTTTTATTTTCCCAAAAGATCGCATGACCACTACAGTTAGCCTTGGGAACAGATTGAGTAAGCACAATTCATTTGATCTATCTGCAGATCTCCAGCCCTTCTAAGAAACTCACTTCCAAAAATGTTTCAGGAGTCCTGTAGAAGTTTGCTTAGAGTTCCTTAAAGAGGCTAAGCGTCAGTTGCAATATCTCTCTATCAACCCCATTTCCCCCAGTGCCACTGCCATGGGCTGGAGGAGTGGGTAACTTGCTTAGGAACTTGGGTAAGGGACCTGAAGCTCCCCACCCACTCTGGCCCTAGATAGGCTAAAGATTTGAAATTAGTTTGATTTATGTAAATCTCTGGTGTGAATTATTGCTATCAGATAAATACACAGACCATTGAACTGAAAACAGAGCCTCAACACAGGTTGCCATTGCTAATGTTAGTTTATAGTAGCCATTATCTAGTAGTGCCTTTATCAGTGACCCCAGGTGTATAATTGGTTTGTTGTGAAAGAGGAGTGGAGTTCCCAGGATGCTTTTTGTCCCCCATGGTTCCCTTATAAGTGACTGTATTTCCTGAGCTCTCTGCACTTTTGTCACCTTTTGTCATCAATATATACAATCAGTTTCAGGCAATATTGATAGGGATGTGAAAACTAAACACTATAAGATTGAATGGACTTAATAGCTAGGAGTTGCAGAAAATATTCCTACATGTATACATAACTTTTATAATGTACAAATTGTTCTTATGTGCATACTCTTGCATAATCATCACAAGTCAGCCTTGTGACTTAGGCTCTCTCTTGGCCTTATCTTGAGAGAATTTATGAAATCTGATAATATTGCAGCCCCGTAGGAAAACTTTTCAGTGCCTTGCTATGATCTCTGAAGGCCTATACTCCTCCTTCCCTTCCTAGGCTGGTATTGACCTGCTTTTTAAATCTCATCTCCTACCAGACCTTCATATTCATTGTAGTTCTAGCAGTAGTGTACTACTTGTAGGTACCTGAATGTGGCAAGCTCTTTTCTACTTCTTACTAATTTATGGAAACACCAATCTACCCATTCATTCTTTCACTGCTACTTGTATGCTAGGCATTGGTGATATCCCCTAACCCCCTGGTCCTTGGTCTAAGCAGGCATAGGTGGTGCTGTGTGGTAAGAGCTTTGGTCTTGGTGCTAGGGGAGCTGTAAGGAGGGCACCAAGCCTTGACTTGAAGGGATTAGGGAGGCTTCTCCAGTAAGGCATCTCCAAAGTAAGTCATTTTAGTGTGAGGTGGATGGGAGAGTTAGGAGAGGAGAGGAAGAAAGAGATTAGGGCAGGTGTGGACCCCAGGCTAGACAGGGATGGATGAGTGATAAGGTCTTGATAGTGGGTAGTGCCAGATGCAGGTGTATAGTTTTGAGGACTTTGCCCTAAGGCCTGAAGGCAGCCATTCAATGTTTTTGTTTTTTGTTTTTTTGAGACAGGGTCTTACTCTGTCACCCAGGCTGGAGTACAGTGGCGCAACAATGGATCACTGCAACCTCGAACTCCTGGGCTCAAGTGATCTTCCCACCTCAGCCTCATGAGTAGCTGGGGCTATAGGCATGTACTACCATGCCCAGCTAAATATTTTGTTTTTCTGTAGAGACAGGGTCTCTCTATGTTGCCCAGGCTGGCCTCAAACTCCTGGCCTCAAGCGATCCTCCCCTCCTGCCATGGCCTTACAAAGTGCTGGGATTATAGGCGTGAGCCACAGTGCCTGGCCAATTAAATGCTTTTTAAGTAGGAGCATAGCAGGGTGCAGATTGCTGCAAAGCACCTTTCTAGAATATATCCTGTTCCCCTCATTCTCCCTCTAGTACTTTCTAGTATATACCCCGTTCCCCTCATCCTCCCTCTAGTACTCTGCTGCTTAGGCTTTAGGTTCAATTCAGGCATCACTGTCTCTGTATGTGCTCCAGATTCCCCGGGCACCATCGGGGGTCCCTCTGCCCCACAGCACCCTGGACATGCATACTGGAGATAAAGCAGCAATTGCTTTTGTATTTTAACCGTCTAGTTGTGTGTCCTTCCTCCTAGACCACTGGTTTTCAGGATTTAAAAGTGTAGATTCTTGTTGCCCACCCCAGATATTCTTACTTACTGTGGGATAGAGTCTAGGCATCCCCATTTTTTTTAAAAGAAGCAGAAACATTGCAGTAGGCTAATCTTATTGAGGGCCTGGTTTATACATTATGTGTGTGCACACACGTATGCACACACCCCCACATACTTGATCTCATTCATGCTTATATCTGTATTTCTTTTATTTTTATTTTCTTTGATCCTGTCATTCAAATATCCATATTTCTTAAGAATGTCCGGTATAAATTTGCTATGCTACAAATGTTTGATTGAATGAATGAATGAAGTTGCCCAAATTTACGTGTGAAGATGTGTTGGAGCCTAAGTTAAAATTCATAGGTGATTCCGAGGCAAGGCCCTTTCACAGCATCACTCTTACACCACAGTTGCTACACTGAGATGGCCTTTGAAAAGCAGGCAGTCCCACTGAACCACAGTATCCTAGAGACTAAGAAACGGGGACAAGAGATCTTTAACTTGCATTTTATAATTTTCAGTGGCACATCAATAATCTGCAGGGATACACTAATAAGATGGGTATTGGACACTCATTACGACAGACCCTGGAGGATCCAAAACTGTAAAATCTAGCTCTGATCTCCTACAAATTTTTGGTCTACTTGAGGGTAAAAGGCAGAAATACACAGACAGTTGAATGACTGTGCCAGATCGTGACAGTTACCTGGAGTACCGTGCACAGAAGGGCAATAGAATGATGCAGTGACTGAGTAAGAAAGAGCATGCCATTAGCTGGAGTGGTCTGCAGATACCTTTGGATGAGGAAGCACTTTTATGAGGTTTGGCTTTAGAAAAGTGAGAAGCCATTCCAAGTGGGAGGAGTGACATGAGTGGAATCCTGGCAGGAGATGGGCTATGAATGGTGAGGGCATCAGTTTGACAGGAACATAGGTTTGTTTGTGTAGGGGAGTGATGGTTGACACCTAAAGGGAGTGCTGGTTCAGGATTGGGAGGGCCTTAAATGATAGGTGGGGCTATAATACAGTTGGGGATGTGTGGCACATTCAGCAATGTAAAAGTCTGTTGTCCTCGACCCCAGATCCATTCACCTTATTAATGAAGGTCATGAATTTTTAAATATAATAACTGATATGGATAGGTTTTGTGTCCTCACCCAAATCTCATCTTGAATCATAATCCCCAGGTGTTGAGGGAGAGACCTGGTGGGAGGTGATTGGATCATGGGAGCAGTTTGCTCTTTGCTGTTCTTGTGATAGTGAGGGAATTCTCACGAGAACTGATGGTTTTATAAGGGGCTCTTCCCCCTTCACTTCTCCCACATACTCTCTTTCTCACCTGCTGTCATGTAAGACATATCTGCTTCCCCTTATGCCATGATTATAAGTTTCCTGAGGCCTCCCTAGCCATGTGGAACTATGAGTCAATTAAACCTCTTTTCTTTATAAATTACCCAGTTTCAGTATGTCTTTATAGCAGTGTGAGAATGGACTAATATAGTAAATTGGTACTGATAGAGTGGGGTACTGCTATAAAGATACCCAAAAATATGGAAGCAACTTTGGAGCTGGATAACAGGCAGAGGTTGGAACAGTTTGGAGGGCTCAGAAGAATATAGGAAGATGTGGAAAAGTTTGGAACTTCCTAGAGACTTATTGAATGGCTTTGACCAAAATGCTGATAGCGACATGGACAATGGAGTCCAGGGAGAAGTAGCTTCAGATGGAGATGAGGAACTTCTTGGGAATTGGAGTAAAGGTGACTCTTGCTATGCTTTAGCAAAGAGACTGACAGCATTTTGCCCACACCCTAGAGATCTGTGGAACTTTGAACTTGAGAGAGATGATCTGAAATTGGAACTTATTTAAAAGGGAAGCAGAGTATAGAAGTTTGGAAAATTTGCAGTCTGACAATGCAGTAGAAAAGAAAAACCCATTTTCTGGGGAGAAATTAAAGCTGGCTGCAGAAATTTGCGTAAGTAACAAGGAGCCAAATGTTAATCACCAAGACAATGGGGAAAATGTTCCTAGGGCATGTGAAGGACTTTTGCAGCAGCCCCTCCCATTACAGGCCCCGAGGCCTAGAAGGGAAAAGTGGTTTCATGGACTGGGCCCAGGACCCTGCTGCTCTGTGCAGCCTAGGACTTAGTACCCTGCTTCCCAGCCACTCCAGTCATGGCTAAAATGGGCAAATTTTTAAAAAGTCAGCTCAGGCTGTTTGCTTCAGAGGGTGCAAGCCCCAATCCTTGGTGGCTTCCATGTGGTGTTGGGCCTGCAGGTATACAAAAGTCAAGAATTGAGGTTTGGGAGCCTCAGCTGAGATTTCAGAGGATGTATGGAAATACCTGGATGTCCAGTCAGAAGTCTGCTGCAGGGGCAAAGCCCTCATAGAGAACCTCTGCTAGGGCAGTGCAAAGGGAAAGTGAGGGGTTGGAGCCCCCACACAGAGACCCCACCGTGGCACTGCTTAGTTCAGCTGTGAGAAAAGGGCCACCATCCTCCAGACCCCAGCAGATGGTAAATCCATCTGCTTGCACTGGGCACCTGAAAAAGCCACAAGCACTCAACACCAGCCTATGAAAGCAGCCAGGAGGGGGATATACCCTGCAGAGCCACAGTGGTAGAGCTGCCCAAGGCTATGGGAGCCCACCCCTTGTATCCACATGACCTAGATGTGAGACATGGAGTCAAAGGAGATCATTTTGGAGCTTTAAGATTTAATAACTGCCCCACTGGATTTTTGACTTGCATCAACCTGTAGCCCCTTTGTTTTGGCCAATTTATCCCATTTGGAATGGGTGTTCTTATCCAGTGCCTGTACCACCATTGTATCTTGGAAGGAACTAACTTGATTTTGATTTTACAGGCTTATAGGCAGAAGGGACTTGCCTTGTCTCAGATGAGACTTTGGACTGTGGACTTTTGAGTTAATGCTGAAATGAGTTAAGACTTTGGTGAACTGTTGGGAAGCCATGATTGGTTTTGAAATGTGAAAAGATATGAGATTTGGGAAGGGCCAGGGCTGGAATGATGTGGTTAGGCTTTGTGTCCCCACCTAAACCTCATCTTGAATTCTAATCCCCAAGTATTGACTAGAGACCTGGTGGGAGGTGATTAGATCATGGGGGGTGGTTTCGTCCATGCTGTTCTTGTGATATTGAGTGAGTTCTCATGAGATCTGTTGGTTTTATAAGGGGCTCTTCTCCCTTCACTTCTCCCACACACTCTCTGTCTCACCTGCTGCCATGTAAGACATGCCTGCTTCCCCTTCTGCCATGATTGTAAGTTTCTTGAGGCCTTTCCAGCCATGTGTAACTGTGAGTCAATTAAACTTCTTTTCTTTATAAATTACCCAGTCTCAGGTATGTCTTTACAGCAGTGTGAGAACAGACTAATACAATAACCATGTTCTCTTCTTTCTGGAGATCTCCAGCCACATTTGACTTCCAGGTCTGTGGGAAGCAGTCCAAGGTGCAACCTGGAACACTTTCATTTGGCTTCTTCATGTAGAGGAACATTTACATGTCGCTGCTTGTTCCTTCTACCCATGGCCTACACACACTGCCAAGCTGTCACCTTCCCTGTTGTGCAATGTGTTTGCCATCACCTTCAATGAAAACAATTTTTTTAATGTCAGAATTTTCTTAGTTATTAATCCCAAACACAGACACCAGAAACATGATCCAGAATAAAGTTTTCAGTTCACACTGAGCTTGTCATTGCTGAAGTAAGACTCTTAGCTCTTTCACAAGTATGGACAAAATTCAGTAGGAATGTTTTCATCACAAGTCTTACTTCTTAATAATGCTTTGATCTAGGGTAATTTCTCTTTAGTCTTGGATGGTAATTTTGCCTGAGGAAAGTCCAAGAGGTCTTATGTGAAGATTTCTGTTTTGTTTAGAGTTTGCCACAAATACTGGAAGGAGAAAGTTTTCTGTAATTTATACAGCTTTACATTAGAAGGCTATAGCTTATTTTAAAATGGTTTCTGTTCAAAAAATTTTCACCTACAATTATAGTATAAAGTGCCTTGTCCTTGTATTCACAGAGGAATTTTCTCATACAACTACAAGAAAATGTGGAAAGTTTCGTCTGAGAAAATTCAACTTTTTCATCTCTCATAATTTACTGCTTCAGGAATGCAATTTACCAAAGTGGATTAGAAACTGTTTGTAATGGGGAAATACGTGCACTCTTTGAAGGCAGTTGTCGACAAAGAGTCAAACTCTAAAATATTTGAAGAGGTTTATTCTGAGCCAAATATGAGTGACCACAGCCCAAGGCACAGTCTCAAGAGATCCTGAGAACATGTGCCCAGGGTGGTTGGGTTACAGCTTGATTTTATACATTTCAGAGGGACATAAGACATCAATCAGTACATGTGAGGTATACATTGGTTTGGTCTGGAAAGGCAGGACAACTTGAAGCAAGGGGTGGGGAGTTGTATGGGGGAGGGTGCTTATAGGTTACAGGTGGATTCAAAGATCTGCTTATTGGCAGTTAGTTGAAAGGATAAATTAGTTATTATCTAAGGACTTAGAATCAATAGAAAGGAGTGTCTGGGTTAAGCTAAGGGGTTGTGGAGGCTGAGATTCTTATTATGTAGATGAAGTCTCATAGGTGTCAGCCCTTAGAGACAATAGATGGCAAATGTTTCCTATATAGACCTAGGAAAAGTGCTAGACTCAACAGTTAATCTCTTTAGGATTGGGAGGACCTGGAAGAGGAAAGATCTAGTTATGTTAAAGAGATTCTTTACGGATGCAAATTTTCCTCCACAAAAAGATGCTTTGCAGGGTCATTTCAAAATATGGCAGAGAAACATATTTTGGGATAAAATATTTTGATTTTCTTCTTTGGTTGTTTTGTTTGTTTGTTTTTGAGACAGGGTCTCACTCTGTCTCCCAGGCTGGAGTGCAGTGGCGTGACAATGGCTCATTGCAGCTTCAACCTTCTGGGCTTAAGTAATCCTTCTGCCTCAGCTGCCCAAGTAGCTGGGACTACAGGCATGCACCACCATGCCCAGCTAATTTTTGTATTTTTGTAGAGACAGGGTTTCATCATGTTACCCAGGCCGGTCTCAAACTCCTGGGCTCAAGTGATCCACCTGCCTCAGCCTCCTGGAGTGCTGCAATTACAGGCATGAGCCACTTCACCCAGCTGTTACCTTTATCTATCATGTGATGCTAGCTGAGTGTGGTGGCTCACACCTATAATCCTAGCACTTTGGGAGACTGAGGCAAGTGGATCGTTTAAGACCAGGAATTTGAGACCAACCTGGGCAACATGGTGAAACCTCATCTCCACAAATATATATATATAGATAGATAGATAGATAGATAGATAGATAGATACACACACACACACACACACATATATATATACACACATATATATATATATATATATGTATCTCACACGATGCTATACCAGAGTCAGGTTGAGTTGGTATTTTTGTAGAGACAGGGTTTCACCATGTTACCCAGACTGGTCTCAAACTCCTGGGATCAAGCAGTCTACCTGCCTCACCCTCCGAAAGTGCTGGGATTATAGGTGCTCTGCACTCTAGCCTTTGTAACAATAAGGGTCTATTCTGTCGGTTTTAGGTCTCTATTTTAGTGTTAATGCTGGTCAGTTGAGTCTAAACTCCAAAAGGGAGAGGATATAATGAGGCATGTCTGACTCCCTCTTTGCGTCATGGCTTTCACTAGTTTTTCAGGGGTTTTTTTTAATCCCCTTGGTTGAGAAGGGGTCCATTCAGTCAGTAGGGGGAGCTTAAAATTTTATTTTTGGTTTACAAAGTGAAGAGCTTTCCTCTTTTAAGTCCTCACCATATAACCAGTCTCTACCAGATGCTGAGAATAGCTTAAACTTTCTTACTGTCTTATTTGAGCCTGGGGTGGTTTGTTGTAGGACCTTATCAACATAGATTTTTTGATAATTGATCTACTTTACTTCGATGTCTGAGTAAAGCTTTAACCTGGCCCTTAAACACCAAAAATGCTTTAGTGGGAGCTCTTGTTTTGGGAAAATGAAAAATTTCTGTGTCTATCAATCACGGAAAGTATTCCCCACTGGTTTGATTCTGAAATTCAATCATTGCCTATGAAAGTTAAAAACATTTTTTTTTCCCTGTAGCTAGCTTTTACTCTGTCTCTTTAAAATACCTTTTTTTGGAGGAGAGGTGGAGCAAGATATGTGTAACTATAGTTTTTTCTTTTTTTGCTTAGATGGTTTAAAGAATTCTGCATGTCATAGTTGACATTCCATCATTATCCTGTGTTCCACAGTCAAGGCCAAAGGTTAAAAATAAGTTCTTAAAGGAAACAAAATTAAAGCAAGAGGGAATTACCTCTGAATTGTTTTAGGGACTCCTAGCATTTTGCATGAGTTTCTGTTGGTCTGGAGAATAGAAGGAAGCATGAAAGGTTTCATTCCTTGCAAATCAAGTGAAACTGGCTCCTACCCTCTTCTTCAATACAAACATGAAACAGAAAAAGTAGACTGGAAGACCAGAAAGGGCACAGATTTTTATACCATTTTCATCAGGATTACTATGTTCATGTTATGGAACCAATTTGTAAGTTTTGGGTAACAGCTTAAATAGAAACCTATAGAACTGAGGCAACCTTCTGTTTCTCAAAGACAGATGGTGAAGCAACATTTATAAATGCTTTACAGTTAGAGAGCATATGCTCTCGTCCACTGTTTTTTGTCTTTGTGATCAAAGAAGGATTTGAGGAATTTCTTTTAAAAATCAGTCTGTACAATAACTGAGTACATTACTTTCAGATAATGGAGAATAGTCACACCCATTGTTTTCAGGGCCTCAGGGAATCCTAGAATGTGTGTCTTGTGGACTGTGTCATAGTTGGCTAGTTACAGTGGCAGTTACTAAAATCAAATCTGTTTCAATTAATAAAGAACTTGACAATGAAACTAACAAGACCCATTCTAAAGACGCCAGGAAAATAAAATAAAAACCCATATGTACTAGGAATTGTAAATAGAGAGGAAGCAGAAACAATGTAATTTGAATTATCTTATTAAAATTTTAAAATATTAAAATTTAACTAGTTTCTCTTATTCAGCTAGAGACGGTATAAAAACTTGGCAGAAGTGTGATTTTTGTCTATCTGCTGGCCAGAATAATACTATATAGATGGGATTT